>NC_000018.10:74838883-75140239 GCF_000001405.40 Homo sapiens
ATCTTTTTTTCACTATTGATTATCTAGGAGTTATCTATTTTTAAATGGTTTATAATTTATATACTTCTGTTTCCTGTGCCATTAATTTCACTATTATTGAGTAGACTGTCTGCAAAGTTGGAGTTGAGAAAAAAAAATACATATATCTCTAAATACAGCTGTATTAAATGCTTGAAGAAACACCCTAAAACGGACAATTTCTTGTTTATCTATTGTATTTATACTTTCATGTATCATGCTGATAAGTGTAGTTGAGAGTTGTAGTTTGGACTTTAATATTGTATTTAAGAAATAATTTCATTGGTGCACATCTCTATTAGTAGGGAAAACAATTGCCATTGTACATTCAAAATTATTAAATTACTTACTATTAGAGGAACATAGAGTATCTGTCAGATTTCCTCCAGAGAAATAGAACCAGTAGAAGGTACATACACACACACTGGAGATTAATTACAAGGAATTGTGTTATGCGATTTTTGGGTAGCTAGGCAAGTCTGAAATCTGATGAGCAGGTTGGAAATTCTTGGACAGAACTGATGTTGCAGTTTACATGCAGAATTTTTTCTTCCTTATGGAAACCTTAGCTGTGCTCTTAGGCCTTTCATCTGATTGGAGGAGGCTGTTCAGATTACAGAAGATGAGAATGTCCCTCTCTTCAAGGCAACTGATTTCAGCTGTTAGCACATCTACAAATACCTTTAGAGAAACACCTGGATTTGTGTTTGATTGAATAACTTGGGACTATAGCCTCTCCAGGTTACTAAATGTAACTGACAAGAATCCATTGAAAATGCATTGCCAGTTGCTAAGCAGTGTGGATACCCACACTTTCAGGTACCCATACTGTAGGTATCTAAAAACTATGTGTGTATGTATTGAAAGAGCACATTTATGAAGATTTTACCAAGAGATTATGGGAATTAGTAATAAGGAATAGAAGAGGGAATAGGGAATGACATCAGTCATAGTGATATTTACTTATGGATACCAGGAAGAGTCAAAAAACAGAAAACACCGTTAGACTCTATAAAGCACGGAAGAGGACCTAAGGAAGCAAGTGAAGAATTTCTTCTTTTTCAAATTGAGTTTTGTGGGGAAATTTAATGTCCCCTTGAACATCATCAGCCCTGGCATATTAGATTAGGCAGAGATCTGAGATTCTAGACCAATACTCTTACTTTAGAACTGTACAGTTGGAAGTTGGAAACATGAAGACTTTGGAAAGATTCTGTCCTCTTCAATATACACATGGCTTTCGGGAAACCACACTTTCTTGGTCTTTCCCGTACCTTACTAGTAACTCCTTCTCTAGTCTCTTTTGTTGGTTCATCCTCTTCTGCACACACCATTCATGCTGGAAGATGCAGGACTTAGTCTTTGGCCTGTCCCAGGTTTGCCTCATTTTCTTAGGGGTCTTACCCAGTGCTGTGGCTGTCAGTGGTCTCTGTGGGCCAAGAACTCTCAAGTTGGTGATCTCGAGCCAGACCTTTCTCCCAATCCTCCAGGTCATATTTCCATCTGCTGATTTAGTCTCTCCATGTTGATGTCTAATAGGCATCTCAAATTTAATTTGTCCAAGTGGAAAAACTCGTTTATTCTTCACCACCTCACCATCCCTCCCACCCCAATCCACAAGTGCTTGCCTCTCTTACAGATTTTATTTTATTTTTTGAACATTGAGATAGATCTTGCTTGTTGCCCATGCTGGCCTTGAACTTCTGGGCTCAGGCACTCCTCCCACCTCAGCTCCCCGAGTTGCTGGCACTACAGGCATGCCCCACCACACCCGGCTGTAGACTTTCCTGTCCCAGCTGATGAGATCACCATCTTCCTGTTTACATAGGCCATAGCCTTTGTAGTCATCCTGGACTTCTGCCTCTCATAGCTCACATCCTATCTATCATGTTCAAAATAGATTCTGAATTTTATAGCTTCTCATCACTACAATCATCTGTTTGAATTATGCCAGTGGTCTCCTAATTAGTCCTCCCAACTAACTCCGTCTTCCCTCATGGGATCTCTTCTCAGTTTGGTAAACACATTGATGCTGAAAGTGAGAACACATGACTCATTTGCGCAGAGCTCCTCCCTGGTGCCTCAGTTCTCTTAGAGAAAACCCAGTGATGAGGTCTCTGTTGTCACCTCTCAGGCCCACCTTTCACCTGCTGTCTCTCTCCTGCACTGCTCCGGTGTGCTGGGCTCTTCGCAAGGCGTGCCCCCTCTTCAGTGCCCTTTACTATCTGGATTATTGCTTTGCCAGATTTTCTCATGTAGTAATGAGCTGAAACCAGCTCTTATAAGGTGGGCCAATTGTTAAACTTTAAGGAATTTTGTGAACTGGTTGCCATTCTTTTCGTAGGCTGAAATGGGCCACGGTGGAGGCTTTTCACCATAGGAATGAGCAAGCCCTGCATATTAGTTCCTCACTCCACCCCCAGCCTCAGGGGGGCTGCTAACTGTTTACCACCAGGTCACCCTCACGGCTGATCATTACCCTTCATCCCTTTGCTCACCGCTTCCCTTCTCAGTGAGGCCCGTCCTTACTGTTGAATTTAAAGTTGGCGGTACTCCCAAACCTCCTCACCCTGCTCTGTTGTTTCCAGCAGCACTTGTTATTTTTAAACATGCTATGTGAGTGTGTGATTTATGAACTTTTGTTTGCTATTTATCACCTGTGTTCACCCAGGTGCCCACCACAGTGACTGCTACGTAAAAGGCCCTTAGTGAATAAATGAATTGAAAGGTTGTTGCTAATGATGTTAATTGTAGAATCATTTCAAGGCTTCTATGCCAGGTACTAAGAGAGAAAGGGATTTGTTTGTGTGTTTTGTTTTAGAGCAACACTGATGAATTTGAGCCATGTGCATAGATTTTAGGAAATTCCGTGATGAAACTCATGAAAAAGAGGTATAGTCAGTCTTCTAGGTTATCCCTAGACTCAAGTATCCAGCTTGCTTTGTAAAAATGTCAGCGTCATTAGGAACTATGAATCCTTCATGTTATCTCCTACGTTTGTACCTTATTACTAACGTTGCAGTCCTAAAATTGTGAACTTTCTTTTTCGTGAAAATTTACATTTTGGATTACAGTTTAATATTATGTTCCTGAGGTGAGATTCATAGTCCTTATTCTTAAGATTAGATTAAGATAGCTTAGTCTTACATGATTTAGATTTCTTTGGTCTTTGTGTTATTTTGGTCAGACATTTATGCATTAATATTTTTTGGAAAGGTTGCCTAAGATTTTTTTATTCTGTTGGATACTAGGCTGTAGGCTCTTTCAGATCCTAGCTTACCTTATTCATGGCTAAATTGCCCGCACCACTTAGCAAATGTGGTAGAAACGACAGGTGCCTAATAAAAGGATCTTTGATTTAACTCAGTAGCCAATTTCACTTTCTTTGTGTTGGCCCATAAATTTACAGCCTCTTTGAAACTCCATTATAACATTGTTAAGTGCACTTCTCATATTTGAAGTAAATTATTTTATAATTTGCTTATATAAAACAAAGTATTTCAAAAATTTTTAAATTCCTACTACTGTGTTTAAATCTTTTTAATAATGATTTATGACACTTAATGGAGTAACAATATTGTTCATATTGATGCTTTCAGCTGCGTTTCCTTCTATCCTCGTATTGTTCCTTGTTAGGTCATTAGTTTGTTTTTGAAAAACAGTGACGCCTTTTTGACCCTGGAAGTTTTTCCCTAGTGATGTGTGTGTGTGTGTGTGTGTGTGAGATTCCTTTTCATTTTCTTTGACCTGTTGAGTGTGTCATTTAGACAAATGTTTGCTTATTTTATATACTATATTGTTCCCTTTTCGGCTATGCTATTTATTTATTTATTATTTTTTGAGACAGAATATCGCTCTGTTGCCCAGGATGGAGTGCAGTGTTGGAATCTCGGCTCATTGCAACTTCTGCCTCCTGGGTTCAAGTGATTCTCATGCCTCAGTCTCCCAAGTAGCTGGGGCATGAACCAACACGCCCAGCTAATTTTTGTATTTTTAGTAGAGACAGGGTTTCTGCATGTTGGCCAGGCTTCTCTCGAACTCCTGACCTCAGATGACCTGCCCGTCTTGGCCTCCAAAGTGCTGGAATTACAGGCATGAGCCACCGTGCCTGGCCCTTCTGTGTTATTTAATACTAACTTTTCATGGGCTCTATAGATATAAGTATGTTTCTCACATCTATCCACTTAAGGAGTTGAGCTTCCTGCATGAGACATAGTAATGCTTAACCAAAAATACTTTGACGAATGAGTATATTGGGCATATGTGTTTTATATTTCTATTTTTTGTAGTATTTTCTCTTAATTACTACTTTTTGAGTGCTTCCTGCTTCATCTTCTTTGGAAACTAACCCTGTTAAAATAAACCAAATATTTATATAAATAAAACATATGTAAGTTCTAAACTTTCTATATTTCTAGATCGTTTATATTTATTCAGTCATATTAAGATTACAGAGTTAAAAATGAAAAATTGCATAGTTTTTACCTTAACACAAATTTGATTCCAGTGGAGACATATATATATCTTCTCTTAGAATAAAATGAACAAAAGTGTACCTTATCCACACTTCATCTTTACTTTTTCATTTGTTTAAAAATGATGATTAAAAGTGTATTACAGAAGATAACAGCACAATGAAAGAATTCTCTTACCTATATGCTTCCTATGCATGGGACTAGCAAATCTGATCTTATTTAATACTATGATTTATTCTCAGTGTCTGTAAACTTATACTCATACTGGAGGGAATGAGATTATGCTTGGAGAATCCCAAAATCTTGCTTTAATTTTTTTTCCTTTTTCTGCTATCTTGGTTTATGCTAGAACTATGCAAGAAATATGTATTGAATTTATCAAGAGTACACAGATCTTACCTTACAGCATAACAGCAGCCCCTTGAAGGGATAAGCCATGTTCCACTTGTGTTTATTTATCATAACCTCATATAGTAAATGTATGATTTTATATAAAATCATATTTATATAGTTGTCTTAGTAAATGACTGGAAAAAATTCCAACTTTATTAAATATGCAACTTAGTTTAAACATGAAGCATGAACTATATTCTGGAAAAATGTTTCTAAGGTGTTAAAAATATAGATGAAAGTGTTGAATTTCAGGAAAAATTGATGTAAAACAATTAGGCTGTAAATACTCTCAAGTCTCAAGCACTGCCACGAAACATTGTCAGCCGGCCTATGTCCACCCCTCCAACCTTGACTCTACTGCCCTGCTCCTCTACATGCTTGCTGACACCATCCTGAGTCTTTTTCCCTCCTTGGCTGAGCCGTGCTTTTCCTTCCCCCATGGCTTGCTTCTCCTCCCCCATGGCGTGAGCTTCTCAGAATCCTCCCCTGAGTTTCCGCAGTTGGACGGTGAACCCCTCTGTGAGCTGGAGCACCCTTGAGCACAAGGCGCTTGCCTGTGTCATAGCATTTCTGCCCACTTGGAAATCCAGCTTCCCTCAGGACTTCAGATTCTTCTCTAAGGCACAAATTGCATTTTGTTCTCCTTTGCGTGCCTGTGTTCATGCCCTTAACACAAGTATTTATGATGAATGACTAAAGTAGTTTGAATGATATATTTAATATGCATCTGTATTATTGATCTAATAATGGCTTTTTAAATAGTAAGTTAAATTAATACTTGTATTCAAAATATACCTCAAAAAGATACATATTTATATACACATATAAATGGTAGTTATCTTTTATAAGAAATATTGAAAACACAATCTGATGTTTTTCAAAATTTTTAAATTATTTAAAATATAAATTTGTAAAAATTACCCATGCAGAATTATATATTTAGAGTCATCAAAACGGGGAAACACCATGAGAAAACAAGATAAAATGCTTTTTAAGGTCCTGTCCTAGGGAATCTGATGGGGCCCAGAGGGAGTGCCATGATAGGGTTTTGAAAGGCCACCAATAAAGGACTCTTCAATGTTAAACTCATCCTTGATGCGTCTGCCCTAAATAAGCTGAAGAGAAATCAGCCTAAGAAGAGACTAAGGGCACATAGGCATCCAACTAATGATTGAAAAGCAAGTTCTGAAAGTGAAATACCAGAAGGAAGAAGAGCCAGGTGATCCTGATTGATGATTCCGGAGTAAAGCGTGTGGCTCAGGCCATCTGTGACCCACATAAAGAGAGCAGGATGCTCTGCTGCCTTCAGGGTGCCCGGCTTGAAGGCAACCAGAAGGGCAAAAGAGATCCCAGAGAGAATGCAAGAATTGTTACTTAATTTTAGTCAACCTTAAATTTCTTCATCGTAAATTAAAATTTATAATAATTGAAAAGAAAGCACTGTGATATGTTGGTGATGCTAAAGTTCTCCTCCTTGAGTTTATGTTTGCTTTAAATGTGTTTGGAATCAACCAGCGGTGTTTGGTGATTTACCAGATAATCTACTAAGAGATGTCTTTTGCTGAAAACCAGTAATGGAGAGATAGCGAGAATTAGCTTCTACAACTTTTCAGTTTGGAAATGCATTATGAAACATGATTTTCATCTAAACATAAAAGAATTATTTAACCTTTTTCATTATAGTAAGGATTATTGATATCGCAAGCCATTAGAAATGAAGAATACTTTTTATTCCCATTTAATTTCCTTTATTTCTTAGTTGTTTATTTTGTTGGCATTCAAAAAATGAGAAAATTCTACAAAGTTCATAATTTGATTGTATTTGTAAGTCATTTCATCATCAGAAGGAAATTACACTATAACTAAAAGCTTAAGTGAATGCTGATCTATTTGAAGAAAGTACTAAAATATACAATGAAGTTTTGCAAGGAAAAGATTGAGTTTAACTGTACAGCATGAGCTAATTCTTCCAGAAGGTGTTATCTTGAATGAAGAGTGCTTTTACAAAAATGTTGGGGAGATACATAATAGCAGAGAATAAGTAAATCCATTCATAATTGAAGATTGAGATGAATTAATGAAATTAGTTTTAAAATGGTTGGGCTACCAACTGATTATGTAAGTTAGTTGTTAATATAGGAAAAAAAAATCCCTCACACTTTGAAATGAGGCCCTAGACAGGCAGAGGAACTGGTAAATATAGCTACTTAAAATCTAAGTAAAATAATTCCTTGAAATTTGAGTAAATCTATATCAACTTGGCTCTTTTGTATGCAACTTAGGGTTTTTAGGAAAGTATCTAATTAACTTCATGCCTCACTAGAAATTATTTTTGAGAGATGCTAGTGAATCAGGAGGAAATGTGAACATTCAAAATGGTCTATTACAATCTTATAAATCTTAGAATAGCATTAAGAATATGGTCACAGAATTAGAAATTATTGATATTCAATCATTTTATATAAAATACATCCTAACAAACAGCTTAAAGTAGCATCAGTTCATATACAGTGTTGGAAAAGCATTGTATTAATAAACCTTTTCTAACAATGTCTGAACTGGGATGTTAAAACGTCTTTTTTTTTTTTGGAGACGGAATCTGCTCTGTCACCCAGGCTGGAGTGCATTGGTGCTATCTCGGCTCACTGCACCCTCTGCCTCCCGGATTCAAGCAGTTCTCCTGCCTCGGCCTCCTGAGTAGCTGGGATTACAGGTGCATGCCACCACGCCCAGCTAATTTTTGTATTAGTAGAGATGGGGTTTCACCATGTTGTCCAGGCTGGTCTTGAACCCCTGACCTCAGGTGATCCGCCTGCCTTGGCCTCCCAAAGTGCTGGGATTACAGGTGTGAGCCACTGCCTTTTAAGGCATCGAAGTCTTCCTTTAAATATTGAACACCTTTAGAGAATATAAAAATAATTTTATCTTAAAAAGTGGTTTACAGCCAGGCACCTTGGCTCACGCCTGTAACCCCAGCACTTTGGGAGGCCGAGGCTGGCGGAACACGAGGTCAGGAGTTCGAGACCAGCCTGGCCAACATGGTGAAACACTGCCTTGACTAAAAAAGTAGAAAAATTAGCTGGGTGTGGTGGTGCACACCTGTAATCCCAGCTACTCGGGAGGCTGAGGCAGGAGAATCACTTGAACCCAGGAGGCGGAGGTTGCAGTGAGCCAAGATTCTGCCACTGCACTCCGGCCTGGGCGACAGAGCAAGACTTAGTCTCAAAAAAAAAAAGTGGTTTACATGAAGTTTTTCTGTTTGCACTTTTGCTATTTGCTCAAAATGATTCTCTTAGGATGTTCTACTGAGAGATGCCTTTATAGACTCGGTAACCAATTTATTTTCTTGTGCAATAGAGTTTGAATTACATTTAAGATTAATTTTTTACATGCTTTAGTAAGAATAAATAAGCAAAATAATGAAAAACAGTGTTTCCCCCTACAATCCACAAGCATAAACATTAAGGAACACAGCTTTGAAGGGTGTTTATATGGGACAGTGTTTAACAGAAAGTCCTATTACAATATTAACTCTAAATGCATCTCACTTCTCTCATATCAACCACTCCATGTTTTTCTCCCTAGGCCTTAGCTGAAAAATACTTGGCTTTCTATCTTTCCTCTAAGACCTCTTCCCACTTCAAAACTGTTATCGTTGAATTATTAATTTCAGTTCAAAAGCTCTTTGCTTTAAAGTTATAAGGGTCTAGGTTTTCATGATTCTCATCAAGAGTCAAAATCTTACTGGTTCTCATCTTTTTAACTTTCTATTTTTTAATTTCTTTTTTTCTCTTTTGGCAAACATGAGGAAGAAACTGCCAGCAGAAATACAGGTGGAAGCACCTCCTACTATAGCCTTCTCTTGTATTTTTAAAGCAGCTTTGTCATATGGTTAATGAAGGAGAAAGTCGACAACATGTGTAGTGTGTATGTCTGCTGTCAGCATATTGCAGTGTGTGACCATGTTTGTTTCCAGTTATCTGAAGTATCTTCCCAATCTGATATCTCTTCCTTTAAAGAATTTTTTGTCATTTAAAAATAATCATGTTTATTCTATGATATGTATAAAATGAGGTAAAATACAAAAAAAAAAAAACACGCTACCCAGCACAGTGTTTTCATCCTTCTCTCACGTTGGGAACCTTTCATCCAAGATACACCTTTTTTTCCTCTCATGTAAGGCTATTGTCGTGTGTGTATACTGACTAGTTTTTTCAGCTGGACTTTTTATAAACTTAAATTTAGAAGTGATGCCTTTTTTTCTAATTACAAATTTGTTTATTTCTAGAAATTATTACCTTGAAATCCATATATTTTATAGCGTGACAAACCTGAACTCATATAGGATTTTTCACAGACATACATTGTTTTCCAGACTTATTATATATTTCATTGAAACATGTCTGAGGACCATAAACTACAGCTTAATAATGATATGAATTGAGAAACGTTGAGAAGAACTGAGCAGTTGCTTGTTGCGCCACATTTCTGTTTCAGATATTAAGGAAGTTTATCAATGATTTGAAATAAGGTCAGCAGAGTCATTTTTGGGTGATACTTGACTGGAAAGTTTTGGAGTTTCTTGAAGGAATTGAAACAATAAAACCGTAAAAAAGAATGAAAAGAAGGTACAGGAAGTAAGGCCAGTGCTTACACTGGGTTGTGACGGATGCTTTATGTCTACATGGGCATGTGGGCAAGATGATGGCTGCTGTAATTCAGCTGTCTAATCCTTGGTTTCAATGAACATCTCATCTTTGGTTTCATTGTTTTGTAGAAGCTAGAAAATAAAATATAACAAAGAAACAGAATGTAAATTTGATAAAATATTTTATATTTTTATATAAATACCTCAGTAGGCAAAACTTTTTATTCCTCAAGTTATAACACTGATCATTGGAGACACATGGGCAAGAGTTGAGCCGTAAGGCCAGCAGCATCTTTTTCTCGCTTCAGCTCCTGAGGTTGACATACTTTCATGTACCCAAAGTGTTGCCCCGTTTCCACAGTATAAAGGTGAGAAGATCTCTGGCTAGAATTTAGGCTACTTTCATAGAGGCTATTCATAAGCTGTGTCCCTGGGACAAGTTTCTAAACCATCCTGAGCCTTTGTTTTTGTGATGTATGCGTGAATATTAGATTGTCATCAAAGTCTGTTTCACAGTCAATTCTAGCTTGAAAATTCTGCGTTGTACTGAAGTGGCAAACCATGGATTTGAAGTCACATGAATTTGGATTCCTTCAATGCCACTTCTTGTGGTGACTTTGGGCTACTTTTGTTTCTTTTTTTTTTTTTTATTTTTTATTTTTTGTTGCTGTTGTTGTTGAGACGGGGTTTTTCTCTTGTCACTCAGGCTGGAGTGCAGTGGCGCAATCTCGGCTCACTGCAACCTCCGCCTCCCGGTTTCAAGCAATTCTCCTGCCTCAGCCTCCCAAGTAGCTGGGATTACAGGCGCCTGCCACAACACCCAGATAATTTTTTGTATTTTTAGTAGATACGGGGTTTCGCTATATTGGGCAAGCTGGTCTCGAACTCCTGACCTCGTGATCCGCCCGCCTGTGCCTCCCAGAGTGCTGGGATTACAGTCGTGAGCTACTGCACCCCGCCGTTTCTTTGCTTTTCTAAGCACAGCTTTTTCATCTCTTAAAAGGTAGTTGTAATGTTTACCTTATAGAGGCATTTTGAGGTGTAAATGAGACCACATCTGTACAGTTCCACAGAGTATCTTCTTTAGATGAGAAAGTGTGTGGTCAGGGGTGGGGGACGGGGAGTTGTCAGACTCTGTGCCTTGAGACCCTGGGTTCACAGCCATGAGCAAAGCAAAACAGTAGCGGTGCCCTGTCCGCTGCACCTCCGTGCTCTTCAGTCTTTAGTGCATTCCTGCCTACACCTGTGCACCTGCTTAGACAGTCATCCTTCCAGCGATGTCCTGAGAAAGAGACGAAGGAGATTCCCTGAGACTTACCACCATGGGTAGCATGCTTCTGGAGGAAATGAGTGCCAGCTTCAAGAAAAGATAATAAGATTGAAATCTCCTGTTTATGTACTGTGGAATATTGAAAAGTTGGCTGTGTAGAGTTTGATTTCCATTTAGTGCATGTAAGATAAGCTAACAAAACATTTTGTTTTTACTGGTCTTTGAACCTTTTATTAATGAATAAGTATAACTTATTTTCATAAGGAGGCTAATCCTTTCAGAAGAAAGCCTTTTGACTATGAGGCCATATGTTAAAATTAGAGGGAAAAATAGCCCCATTCATGAAATTATACCTGAAGCTGTGGAATAGGTGAATGGTACATTGTTTCTTTGATTGTGTCTCTTTTGTTGGAAGTTAAAGGGTTTTCCAGTGAAATTTTAAAAACACTGAACACTACAAATATTTACCATTTTTGCACTTTTATTTTACTAAAAGGTACAAGTCTATCTTGTTTTAAATGTTTTAGTGAAACACTGTTTTAAATCTTTTAGTGAAAACTCAAGATATTTTTTAAAAACTTGATTCCATGGTTAATGGATAGATTTCTTTGTTGCCCAATTTTCCTCTTCTTTCCTTTGATTTGTTTCTCCTAAAAAACTTGAGATGGGTCACTTCTTCAGCTTTAGTATATAGCTCTTAATTGATGTCCAGGGTGTCATCTTAATTCATACTTCTCTGTCTGTTCTATCCACGCATTCTACTCCTTTCCCTCTTTTCCTCCTTTCACTTGCCAGTACGCCTGTTTCCGTACCCTACCTTATGGCAGATGCACTCCCATGCCAGTGGGTCTAATCTATGAATTCAACGAATATTTTTATTTCTTAAATGTATAGATTTGACCAACCCTAAAACTTGATTACTTATACTCTTTTCTTTGGTTTATAACAAATAAAGGCTGATGCTTTCAGTTCCTTTCAGTTTCTGCTCAAATACTATTCTATTAGAAAAGTTTCCTCTCACTGTTCAGTTTCAAATGGTACTCCACACCCATGTAGCAGCCCCTTACTTGCTTGATTTTTCTTCATAGCACTGACCTTCGTGTTCCGTATTATGTTTATTCAGTTTTTCCAACCACTAATAAAGAACTCTCGAGAGCACAAACTGGGTGTTTTCTTGTCCATTGCTATTATCATCAGCACCTGGATTAGAGAGTGTCTGAAACTGCATTAGGCTCTCAATAAAGATTTCTTAAATGAATGAGTGATTAGAATTCAAACTGTATATCTGGAGGTCCATAAAAATAATTCCCCTGATAAGGATTCTTTTTGCCTGTCTGCTGTTACTTACGGTGTTCTTTGGTTTGCATGGAAAACTATGGTTCTCCTTGATACACATTTTGAAGATAAATTAACGTGTAGAAAATGTTTAAAAGTATTTTTATAAACTCAGTTCCTAGCAGTGATATCGTAATAGGACTGATTATTCAAACGTCTTTTCTTAAGTATAAATTGTACAGTTGTTCTTGGGAAGTGTTTATGCTCCATGCAAGTATGATCTATGAGACACTTCATTATTGCCGCGAGTTCTCGCTATTCCTGTGCATACTTATGTGAGCCACAAGTTACTGACACATTTCTTTCTTTTTTAACAAGCAGAGAACATGTATAATCATGGCAGTATTCCCTGATATAAAACATTTATGTGATTTTCATGATTCTGAAAATTAGAGAAATGTCATGAGTGGTTACACATTTATGTATTATACTTATATATGTTCATTTGAAGTATTTTACATTATCAGAAACTTGGGAGTATGGCCACCTGAATGTGACCCAGGCACAAGGGCGCGAGGCTGTGCGTGAGGTGTGGAGCATGGCAATTGGTCCTGGTGACCAAGATTAATGAAACTCAGATGGGTTTTAATTAGTGCAGCTGCAGTCATCAATTATCTACTGAACACAAATATTGTTATATTTGGGAAATTCTTGATTTATTTTATTCCACTGGCCAGCAGATTTAGATGAATGAGTTCTCATCATAAACATTCTGAGAAAAATCGCCAGAGGCCACAGTTTATTATTTAGGACACAATCAGCAAGAGTGAACAATACAGAACAAAACGATGCAAAGTGCCCTTAGCATTCATTTGGAATTCTTGCTGGAATGTTCGGCTTGTACAGGTTGTCAAAAACATTAGGGCATCTTGAACAAAAGTTAGAGCAGTCTATCAAGAAAGGAATGTGCAACTCTGATTATGGAGAGGGTGCTCCTTAAGAGACATCAGAGCGCATGCACTGAAAGGGTAGCAGCCGCATGGCAGTGGTTGGGTCATAGAGGCATCTCCTGCTCCACTCCAGGGACACATTGTCACGGGAGCATGGACAGGCGCCTACCGCGGCAGAGAATAGGAACGCTGAGTCAGGACTTTCTGGTCCTAAAAACATTCTGTGTTTATCTGTATGCATGGATGCATGCTACACACACACACACACACACACACACACACACACGCACGCACGCACGCGCACGCGCGCGCGCATTGCTGGCTTTATTTTTCTTCTAAAATAATTTAACAGAAATTTTAAAAGTAATTTTTAAAATTTATACCCTTGAATTAAACAGGTATAGGAAATATGCATAACTTTTGAGGGGAGGGAATAGTATTTATACCTAAAAAAGAACTGTGACACATGTCAAATTGACAACTAGCTGTATCAAACTAAGATAATTTTCACATTTGTAAGTTAAATTTGGAACAAAATCTGGAATTATTTTTAGAATGAAGACTATATAATATAAATTTTTATTATTAAATATAGTAGCATTATTTCTGAGCAAGTTTTCTCATAGTTTGTAATTTAATATTTTGAGCTCTGTAATTTAGAGTATCTGGTAGAGTTTTGTAATAATAGCTACACATTAAACATGATTTCATTTCTTCACTTTCTTATAATATCAAATATCTGTCAAATCTTATTCAACAGAAGGGGGCAAAAGAAGGAAGTGAGCTTGGGTGCACATTCTCGTTTTAAATTAGAGTGTAAGGTGGTAGCCAAGAAGGCTGTTCTGAAAAATGAGTTGTAAGTCATAACCGAGGCTTCATAAAAAATCAATTGCAAATGATTTTTTCAAGGTTTGTGATGTGATACTTGATTTATATTAGGTTAGGAGTAGTTCACTTCTGAAATACATTTATTACAATTTTCTAAATCTTGTATTATGTATACAATTTCTGTTTGCTGTATAATTTCATAGTCAACTGGTTCTTTAATGGATTAGTCAAATTAATTAATATCACAATTTAATCCAAATTATGATTCCTTAAGGAACAAGAAACTGTGGCTAGTTTCTAAGTGTGGATCATGTTGGCTAGTATTCGTTCTGGCTGAGAAGGTCCACCTTTTTCCCTAGGAAAGGAAAAAACGTATCAAATGTGTGTACATCTTTGCTACACTAGATTAGAATGGCTTTTATCATATCTGAATTGTCAGAGAGCTTGCAATTAATGCTCCTAGCCACTACTGTTGTCTTTGTATCATTTCATAAATATTGTGATTTCTGAGCATACTTCTATGGCATTCATGTTTTATAGAGTAAATCGTAGAAAGCCTTCCGTTTTCCAGTTAACAGATGGAGGAGCTTTTGTTCACTGAACCAAGTTTCTTAGGAGGAGGATTTTATTTGTTTTGCATTCATTCATTTGTGATTATACTTTACCACTCAGGAACACATCCTGCACCTCTGAACTGACTTGTCTGAGTGGCCAGACATCCTGAGATTGGGGCCAGAGTTGTCTTCTTTGCATCGTTAGGCTTTACGATTATAGATTTTGGTTTGTAATTGAATAGTTATTCTTTTTCATAAAGTTTTAAAGAATTTAATATGCCTGTGATCTTAACATTCACCTTTAACTGTAACTCATATGTCCTTCATTACAAAGAGTCTGCAGCGCTACCTGTCAGAACCATCTGTACTTCTGCCCATTTCCAGCATGTTATCTTTGTTGCTTTACTTGTCTGTGTTGCTGCTCTCTGTTTGTTCATCTGTCCATCCCCACTGTGTACCCACCCAGCAATCTACCTCAAAATTAAGGAGACAGTTTTCCAAGTCTGACAAGCAGTAGGAGACAAGTGTGGCTTAAGTGTGGTGTGCACAACGGTAGTGCTAATAGACCAGGAGGGGATGCGAGCGGGGCTTAGATTATGTCAGTTCTTAGAAGTCATGGTAAAGAATTGGGATTTTGTTTTCGGATCAGTGGGAAGCCACTGGACAAATTTTAATGACTTCATGGCAGAATTTATTGATCATTTAGTTTCCAGACCTCTTAACATTACCTGTCACATATATAATGGTTTGCGAATGTCTGGCGGATGAGTGAGGGGGCCCAGCCTCTCTGACTGCTTTACAGGGTCAGCGTGAGGGGTTTAATGTCTTGCACCACAGTATCCACCCCTGGGGACAGGTGATACGGGAGGCAGTGTTTTATGACTAAAAGAGTCCTAGACAAAAGTCAAAAGATCTGTGTTTTACCACTCTCCAGCAGTTTATGGAAGTCCTAAATTTTGTTTCCTTAGTTGTTAAATTAGTGTGTTAGATAATTTGTAAGATTACTTGGTATTCTAATGTTCTTTGATTATATATAGTGTTTACTGTGAGAAATGTGTCTTCTAATCAGCATAGTATGAGCTACCTACATGGAGACAAATAAGCATCTCTTACAAAATTCATACTTTTGCTGTAACAAGTAGTGATAATTTTACACAAACACTTTATTTCCTTGGTTTTGAATCTATAATATAAAACATTAGCTTATGAGGCCCTGTGACATTTCTTGTCAAAGAATGAAAAGTTTAAGCTTTAGTTATTATGGCAAAATAATAACATTAATTTTCCCATGAAGTTTTTGAAAAATAATCTCCCCCTTTAAAAATATTTATTGAGATTGGATTGTTTTTCTCAATTCCTTTTTTTAATAATCAAATATTTCATACATACAACAATATATATTACACACCCAATGCACTACACAGACACACACACATAGCCTATATATATAGTATCAAGAATAATGACAGAAACAACCTTATAGCACCCATGCAGCTTAAGACATGCACCCGAACCGCTGCCTTTGAAGTGTTCTGCGGGCTTCTCTCTGGCTGCATCCTTTTCATTTCCCCAGAGCTGACCACTGTCCAGATTTCTGTTTCTCATATTAAACATAGATTATTGAAACCTAGTACTAACTTATAGATTAGTGAAATATTTCTTTCTTGTTAGGCATTTTTATTCTCAATCTATATATAGTTTTCAATTTCCAGTCTTTAGAACACACCATTATGTGTTCTCTAAAAAATATTTTATATTTCTTTGGAAACTTATTCTGTTAGTAAATGGAAATGACTTAATAACTCAACCTATAAATAAGTTGTGCTTAGTTTCACTGATGCTTTAGAATTTGGGCTCTGGCCTCAGTACAAGACATTTGCAAACCATCAGATCTATTGGTTTTGCTAAGATTGTTTGTTCTATTTTGTAGGCTAGGGTGCATACCTACGGGAGCTTTTATTTCAATAGGCCACTATTGATTTGAAAACACATTAACTTTATCATGCTAAAGCTTTGTTGATGCTTATTGCTAAAGAAGGATTTTCAAAATGTGATCCATAATAATAAAGCAAAACGTATGTTTAAAATTGTTTAACAGTCGTTGGAAGATACATGTAGCATAATTTAACAGTAATAATCACAAAAGCTTGGTACTTTTAAATCCAATATCCAATATTTTTTTGAACCTTTTATCTCTTAGTTTTCATATTCCCAAAAGCCATAATGTGAAATTACTATTACTTTTAGTGTTTCATAAATTTCAAAATAATTTAAAAGAATAACAATATGAATAAAATGTTCTGATATTTAATACATACAGATTATGTTTTTGCACTCATAATCTTGGGGTTGTACATTTCCACCATAAGATTTCTCAAAAGTTGCAATGGGTTTTGTAAAAATAGCAAATATCCTCTAGCAAATATCTTCTGGCCTCTTGTATAATGCATGCAACTTATTGTAAATTAACTGTTTGTTTGAAGCTTATCTGAATTCTTGTTGGGGGTAGCTGTGAAGAGGGAGGGTGGAAACACCTAACAACAGGAGAGATTATTTGGTGTTGGAAGTTATACTTTACATTTTTGCTTTATCCCATTCAATTTGACTTGATACACACCTCACACTGAAAGGCGTGTAGAGAGCTGCCGTATTATCACTTTGTCAAAGGCTGTGACAACAGCCCTAACAATAAGAGAGTCTTCCCTTTTGTTTACAACACTTACATGTCTTGGCGATTAGAACTTTCCCTTTCTTCTCTGAATAAAATTGTTTTGTTCGGACTTTTTTTGTTCCAGTGAGGAGAAGGAAATAAAAGCAACCCTATTTTCTATTACAAATTATCATAAATATTGGAGATGCAGATTTTTCTTAGATCATTAGCATATCATGCTGCGACCCACACCAGAATGTACCATTAACAAAGCAGCCTTCATGTAATTAATGTAAATAATATGGAATACAGCTTGAGTTACCCAGTCAGCCTTGGCAAAAGCATTTGTCACAACGCATCATCTAAGGAGCTCGGCCCCAATTCAAATTAAACTTCATGGGTTTGCCCCTTTATTTTTTCCTCTCACGCTATAAATTCCTGTGAAACATTTATGACTATAAATTTCTTTGAAACACCTATATAGGAGAAGAAAGCAATCTAGTAAGCTGAAATTAAAATTTTATTATTTACTATGCTTCTGCTGGTGAGGACAATTAGTATCTTTATAAAGCCAGAAATGTAGAACCTGGGGATGCAGCTGAGGGTTTTTCTTCCCATCCTTGGAAGTGTTTTCTGTCCTCTGTAGCTGCCAGCAAATCTAAAGTATGGTTTCTGTCTGCCATTTGCTACTATTGCCCTCTGACTCCAAAACACAGAGGAGCATTGTAAATTTTTCATGAAGAGGTTTCAGTCTGTAAAACAGCAAACAGGAATAATGTTTTAAATGCAATCATTGTCAAGTTTGAACAATGTAATTTATCAAGAGAGCAGTTTGTACTATATAATAAGTTTCATATATTAATACAATTTTTCATCTGATGTCAGGCTTCTGATTTATGAATAGCCCATGATCTAAGGTGATCATTGAATTATAATTCAAGTAATAAGAAGCCAGGAACAAGACACTGGAACTGCTATCCTGCGTTAGCTTACATGCCACCAAGCCAATTTACTAAACAACCGTGGGCTAAATGATACAGTTTTTCTAATTCAAAGAAGGCACTCGTTAATTAGATAAAGGCTAAAGCTCTCATTATTTTTAAATGATTTAAGAACGGGTAAAGATCTTACAGCGTATACTGCAGCTCTAATAGTTCTCTGCTTACTGCCTTGTAATAAGAGTATTAAAGACAGATGGGCAAGGCCGATTTAAACCAATTACAGCGTTTCATGTACACCAGCAGCAATGACTATTCACAGGCACTTCAGAGGCTGATATTCGACGTGTTTCAGATGGCTAACACAGCACTGATTAATGTGATTTATGAATAATTTGTTTTCTTCTGCTAATTTTGGGGGAATAACCATACTTCTGGACTATGTTTAATAGTTTTTGAGAATTATTTCATATTCTTCCTTAATATTTACAAGTATTTTATAGATGGTTAACTTTCTGATAAACCAAAGTAAGGAAACAAATCAATTTATTTTAATTCCTTGAATTTATTGAGCACCTGTTAGGTGCTAGGCACTAGGCTAGGCTCTGGGGAAATCTGTAACTCATAAATAAGTTTAATTTTAAATCTTTTGATTCTTGTGATGGAAAATGGATAACACATTCTAAAAAAAAAATCAGATCATTGTCAGTAATTATTTAAGAAATAAATATAATACTTCAGAAATTCTCATCAAAATACTTGTAAGAAGGTGAATTTGCCTTATAGTAATATCATAGTTTGTAATTATGTGAAAATTATGAGTTCATAAAGTAGCTTTTTTTTAAATTAATGAAGTACTGAGTACTTGAATCCTTTTGTCCATGTACTTTTATTGTTTGATTATATTTGGTTATATTTTATGTTGATGGCAAATGTATCTTATGATATCTCTTTGTGGTGTCATTCCTTTCCTTGGTATTGTGTTTTGGTTGTCTGGCTGTTCTTCCTCCCCTCCCCTCCCCTTTCTTCACCTCCCCTCCTCTCCCCTCCCCTCCCCTCCCCTTCCTTCCCCACCTTCCTGACTCCCTTTGCTTCCTTCCCTGACTCCTTCTACCTCTCCCCTTTCTTCCTTCCCTTCCTTCCCTCCCACCCTCTCTTCCTTCCCTTCCTCCCTTCCTTCCTTCATTTCCTACTTCCCCTCCTTTCCTTCCTTCCTCCCTTCCTTTGCTCCCTCCCTCTCTTCTTCCCTCCCTGCCTCCCTCCTTCCCTTCCTCTCTCCCTCCCTTCCCTCCCTCCTTCTTTCCTTTTTTCCTGCCTTCCTGCCTGCCTTCCTCATGACAGAAATAATGAATGTCCACGTATTAACACCCCCTTTTCTGTAAATATTTTTTATTTTAAATATATTTCCTATGGGTACCATCAATATAATTTGTTTTTGTATTAACCTCCTCTTACTTATTGTTTTCTATTTTGCTGTTGCAGTGGTCATCTTCAGATTCAGCTGATTGTATTTATAGAAAGCATCTACTTTGTACAGCCAAATGGTAGCCATACTACCTATCCTGAAAAATAGTCACTGGCTGGCTTTTTAGTATAGCTTGAATTTGGCATTCCCTTCATGAATTTGTTTTCTGTAAGTTGATATAATCTTTGAGGGAACAGGTAGTACTTGTGTAAGCTGTTTCTTGTGGAGGACGCAGTCTGGGGGCTGTTGGTGACCATCACTTCTCGAGGCTTGCAGATCCTAGTGGACTGTGACCTTTCTGCCCTGTTCAGTCATCTTCCACTTTTCCTTATTGATCTCAATGTTTCATGTAGTTCTTTCAAAATTGTTGGGCATATGCTTAAACATATAGCAATAAATTTCTAGATTCAAGAAAAATATTAATATATGACCAATAATGTTGAGCATGTGCTTCAAATCCCTATGAAAGAAACTGGAAAAGGAAAGGGTTAAAGGAGATCAGGAAAGGACAATCAGACACATTAACAATTTCAGATTGTTCTGCATTTTTCCCTTTTTGCCCTTTTTTTTTTGTCTTTTTTAAAAAATTTCCTTATCTGAGCAACAAGATACGTTATTAATGGCCCCTGAGTACAGCGAGTTATTTGTTATGGTAACTTTTGACCTGTTTAATAAGTACTCAAGCTCTGTAGTGGAGTTTTTATTGTACTCCGCAGTGTACGGTTATGAAGTGTGGTACATAATAAAATAAAAGCAATAATGCTGATATTTCTGAGGGATCCATCAGAGCTGACCTGAAGCAACATATTTCATCTGGTTTGTCTGGGTACGCATGTTGAAAGTTATAGCTGAAATTACTAGAAACAATATTGTGTTTATGACTTCTAATTGTTTACCATTATAAGTAACATCACCCTTTGTGATTCCCAAAACTGTTTCTATCACAGTTCATTAATGCTGGTGTCTAGAAACAAATGAAAAAGACTAGAAATACATTATAGTGTTAGGCAGTCAGACGTTTTCAGCTAAATGTTAGTATTTAACGTGTAACACTGGAAAGATCAAATGTGGGGCAGTTCTGAAAGGAAACCAGAGAGCACAGGTCAGTTTTTAGCTGTATGTAGGTTTTATATGTGTGTAATGTTCAGACCTGTGTTTCATAAAATCATTAATTTAACTCGAGATGGATTTTTGTAGGAAAGTAGAAAGATAATTAAGGAGGAAGCAAATCTTTTCATGAGAAAGTATAGGATAGGTTTCACAGCGTTGTCCTGAGAAGGAGAATTGCTTGATATTGGAATAGATTGCCATTTGAATCTAAAAAATACATTTATCTGTGAAAAGATAAATTACTTACTTTGAGATGTTATTTATGTGTTTGCTTGTCTCTTTTCCTTATCAGATTTTATGTACCTGGAGGATAGGCCCTGTGTCCTATTTATCTTTGTATTTCCAGAACACAGGATAGGACCTGGCCCCATGGTAGATGTTTAAAAGATGTTTGTTTAATTGATAAATTAATAGTAGAGATACTTGAACTTTTTTCCTTCCAGTAGCTCACAAATAGTGTCATACCTAAGAAAACGAGAAACAAATGGTGTCCTCTCAACACAGTTAAGATATTCAATACTCCCTTCATGGCTACTGCCTAGCTTTGTCTTATTAAAAGAGAATATGGCCAGGTACAGTGGCTAACGCCTGTAATCTCAACATTTTGGGAGATCGAGGCTGGAGGATTGCTTGAGCCCAGGAGTTTGAGACCAGCCTGGGCAACATTACAAGACCCTGTCTCTTTTAAAAGATAAAATAATCCATCAGGTGTGGTGGTGCGTGCCTGTGAACCTAGCTTCCCAGAAGGAGGATCCCTTGAGCCTGGGAGTTCAAGGATGCAGTGAGCTATGATTACACCATCGCACTCTAGCCTTGGCAGCAAAGCAAGACCCCATCTCTTAAAAAAAACGAAGAAGAAGAAGAAGAAGAAGAAAATTCATAGGTCTCCATCACCCAGACCACTTTGAATGCTTTTATTTGTATGAAAATCACATGCCTATATTTGTTGAGAAGTATGTAATTGTTAAATAACTAAAGTTTGACCCAGAATAATTTGTAACTTAGATACTAAATTGCAGAACCTCTATATTATTATTATTATTATTATTATTATTATGTCTTAGACAAGCAAAAAATGAAATCGTCTATTTTCAGCAAGTTCATAATATTTATACAGATACAATTTACTCATTATCTTTCTACTAACATTTTTGTTGCTGCCAAAGTAAGTTTTAAACCATGTTTTTAGATTCATCAAACCGTACCAGTGTGTTAATTCTGTAATTTTTGTTTTGGGTATCATAGTGGGGATAAGAAGTAGGTTAATTAATACCAGATGACTTTTTCAGCATTCTTTCATCTCAGTGTTACGGTTTTTTAGGACTGTGATAAGTCATTGGCATTTCATTCATTTAATGGACTATTGCAAAAATATTCATTATAAGACATGGCAGCTGTAAAAATAGTAACACTTATGTATTACCATTATGTTTTGTGTGATTGTGTTTCATATTTTATAAATAAAGCTATTTAGCTTTATTTCTGAATGATTTCTGAGGTCGTACTACAAATATGGACACATGAATAAGTGTGTTAAAATGGTTGAGCCTTAAAAATGTACCTTGGGAGCAGTCACCTTTCCCCACCCATTGTGTCCGCCTCTTTTTATATGGCCTGTAATCCTAGGGTTGGAAAACCTGATTGGACCTCCAGCAAGTACTCTGATGTTAATCAGCCTAGTGTGCAAGACAGAAAAGCTGATAGTCCAAAATTGCACTTTAAGCTAAGACAGACTGTCAGTCTTCAGGAATGGTGGGGAATGGCCTATTTATGTAATCAGATACTAAACCTGGGAGGAAGCTGTCAGGCACATTCTTGTTGTGTAAGCAGCAGGCAAACTGTGCTTTATCTGACAGACAGTGTGTAAATCTGTCCATGCAAAAATCCAAATGTTTAGTTTGCTTCTAGTCACTGTAATAATCTGCTTATTTTCGTCTGCTAGAGCAATGACATCACTTAGCGGAATGTGCTGCAGACAGAAGGCCCAGATAAGGCTATGTTAGTGTCAGTCACTCATTCCTTGATTGGCAAGGAGATAAATAGGAATTTACTCGACGTTTGCTTTCAACTAAAAGAATAGACAACATATTCAGGACAGGAATAACTTTATTTAGCTTGGTTATTTTACATCTGAAGGAAATGGATAGAATACATTGTATCTAATTATAGCTTCTAGGAACGAGTAGCCTACCATATCGATAACGATTGAATAATTGTGCCCAAAGGGTATCTTCTTTGAATTCTTAGGATGTTTGTACTGCTATATATATTTAGTTATTTCATTGACTTTTATATTCGTGTTATATTCAATACCCTTTCATGTTTTTCATTTAAAAAATATTTTTATTTCATTATTTCCTTACTGTAAATGGTAATGATTTTGTGAATATGGATATTTAACTATGAATCTGTAAATTAAATCCTACTCTTGAGGATAAATTGAAGTTTTTAATTCTGAATTTATGACTTTCAAGTCACATAGAGTTACAGATTAATTCAGTGTTTTCATAGGTGCTTAGTGAGAATAGAATATCTTTCCATGATTTAAAGATTAATATTTCATTAGATATTAATTGTGAATAGTATTTTCTTTGATACCCACTGGATAAGACTTAGAACTTTAGGAATTTTCTTTAAAAGTTCTCTAAAATTGTTTAAATTTGTTATTAAAATCTTCATTTTGGTTTTATCCAATACATAATTCCTTTGTTAACTACAAATAATGGATGGAAACATTGTTGGTTATTTTAAGCAGTGAGGAAACCTAGGTCCTAGAGCAGAGTATTTTATGACCGGTAACTTTACAGAACACACGCCAGAGCTCTCACTCAGGAAAGCTGGCTGCACGTTGGATCGAGTGTGGCACACACAGTTCCCTGGGTCTACAGATGCTGTAAGTAGCCAGATATGTCTGGGAGCAGCCAAATGTTTTTCTGAGAATTTTAACAACAGTGATAGGAGAGAAATAAAAAAAAATTAAATCATACATTTATGAAACCCTGATGTTAACCTTATAGAATAAATGTATAATTGCAGTTCTGCTGTTTTTACTATAAAGCTGTAGCTATCTTTTTGTTTTGTTTGCCGAAGTACCAAGATATAAAATGCATTTATGTAGTACTGTATCGAAGTTATTTATTACTTTAATACATGATAGTGGGTCCACATAATTTGTCAAATTTTAATTGGTTTTGTCACTTGTCAGAGTCAAATCTCCCAAATTGTCAAATAAATTTATTTTAGAATCATACATCCTAAAATTTGATAATTCTGAAGTTTTTCTTCTTCAGCTTTGCTTCCCTTTTTGCCAACTCTTATTCATCCTGTTAGTCCCTGGTCAGATCTGTGTTAATTCAGGTAAAAGTTAGAATTCAGTCAGAGGACTTGTTTACTTTATAGTAATTAAAATGTGTTAATATTTTTGCCTGTGTTCCCCAGAGGAAAAGTTTCTCATTATTTCTCACTTTTTTTTTTTTTTTTGAGATGAAGTTTTGCTCTTATTGCCCAGGCTGGAGTGCAGTGGCACGATCTTGGCTCATTGCAACCTCCGCCTCCCAGGCTCAAGTGATTCTCCTGCCTCAGCCTCCCAAGTAGCTGGGATTACAGGCACACACCACTACGCCCGGCTATTTTTTATATTTTTAGTAGGGATGGGGTTTCACCATGTTGACCAGGCTGGTCTTGAACTCCTGTCCTCAGGTGATCCTCCCACCTCGGCCTCCCAAATTGCTGGGATTACAGGTGTGAGCCACCGCACCCGGCTCACTTGGGTTTTTTTTCTAGGTATTTCATACTTCCACCTCTTCTGCTTGTAAGTGACATTGTATGTATTCCTTAGTGCTTGATTGCGTATTATTTTGAAGAATAATAAATATCAGTAATTAATATAAACTTATTTGCTATGCAGAATATTAGAAATTTGGGGAGATATACAACACACATCTCTACATATTCCATGAGGTGTTTGTCAACATGAGGACAAGTGTTTCTTCTGTCTTTTACCACCTCCAGTTCTTAGCTCTTTTGTTTTTGTGAATAGCATCATGTGAATTCCAGTGGAATGTTTTGTCCTTATCTTTTGGTTATTTATACACCATAAGTCTCCTTTTATTTGACTAGTTGCTAGTCTAGATTTTATGAAAGGAAAACAAAACCATTCTTTATATTGCTACTATCTTTTTATTAAGGATTTTTCAGACTGCAGCGAATTAAAGGACCAGAAGTTATTTTACTGAAGATAACAACTCTATTATGTTTTTCTATTCTAGTCTCACAATTTTAGATGAGACTTTTCAGTTTAATAATTGAGCACCTACTGTATGTAAGCATGATGGAACCTAATTGGGGTGTTGGCTACAGCATGTATTCTCTATTCTTTTGCTGTTACTATTCCACCACCTTTGCATATCTGAACCTCTGGTTTTATAGTATTATAAAGTTATGCCTGGCAGTGTAATTTATTGTAATGTTATTTTCTTATTTTTGTTTTTTTGTTTTTTTAACTATCTTAGACAAATTAAATAATAAAGAAACATTCAAACCTCTGTCTCCTGCAAGTCAGGTCTCTTTATTCCTGAGGATAATTAAATAGCATTTGGAGTGCATGTAGACTCTATGGGCAGGAAATATGACTGAGATAGAATTGTTCACTAATTATGATGGTTGGTTGGGCTGCAGCCACATAGATTGATTAGTTTTTTCAAAGATTACTCTTTGATTACTCTTCGTTAGAACCCTTCCTTCTTCTTCTGGAGAGGCATAACCTTTGGTAACATGCCTTCAGAAGTTTGAGAGTCGTACTACACCTTATCCTAGGACTGGATTTGGTATAAGGTTAGTGGAAATTAGAATTATAGGGTTTTATTATTGGATCATACTTCGAAGATAATTTATTCTAACTCGACTGACATGTAGAAATTAAGGCTGAAAAAACAAGTAAGCTGCCACTGTCACACAGCTGAGGTGGTGTCAGACTTGGTATCCCTTGCACTTCTGTGGCATGACCTCCTTCAAGCAGTTTGGTTTCCAGTTTTGAATATGTCATTGGGAACATAACTTATCAGAACACTTCTCTTCACATCCTGAGCCTTTGATAAAATTTAATTATGTAAAATTATTGAGTTTTATGAACATTTCTTAATCCATAATTTTTATGACCTTACTGATAGGCACTGTAAATGATACCAAAGAATGAAAATCAAAATATATTACCTTGCATTATTTCGAATTATTTAGGGAGTGTGTGAATATGAAAGTAGAAAATAATTGAAGTGTTAATGTTTATGAGGCAGTGTTGTATCAACTTGTGAGTGGCAAATAAGATCACAATAAGATGAGGATGCTTGCGTAATGTAGAAAATACAAGTGAAATCGTAAGCAAAGATAGGGCATTAGAGAAAGCCTGTCTGGTCTCTAAAGTTTGTTGACATATTTTTTCCATTGAGCACCTAGAACCATGTCCTATAATATGGTGATTGTGTTGTTACTCACTGCTAAGAGAAGATTCTTTAATTGTAATGAACAATATCTATAATTAGCTGTCAGCTCCATAGGGGGATGTATTAATATGAGTTCCCTGCATCTGTGAATACTTGAACCATCTCTTGAAGCCTCTGCTCCTATCTTTGCGCAGATGCTGTACTCACCACTCACCTGGGACTCTCCTTAGGCACCTGGCCAGGTACTTGGCCAACGCTCAGAGCTGACCCTGGTGTCACTTTCACTGCTTTTCCTTCTCAGAGCCAAAAGAGGAGTTGTCATTTGTGTGTGTGTAATTTCTTGGACATCAGTTCATTTCCATCTGAAAAATGTTTTAAAAAGAGAGACAGTAGCAATGTAAACAGTTGTGTGGTTTTGTTTTCTTTTTATCATAATATCTAAACTAGCAAGCGATTTAACTTTCATTTTTATTCTTTCCTTGCCCATAATTGAAAAAGTCCCTTTAATTGTTAACCTCATTTTGATAGCTTCAGTTAATTCTGTATGTTTATGTTAGCTTCCCTAACACTATACTTAATGCCAAATATAAATATATTTTATCACCTACATCCTTCCAGTCAGTTTTGATTATGCACTTAATAATATTATAAAGAAACTTAGTTTAATATTTTGAATGCTGGAAGGTACATAATAAATGATAATGTTATTCCACATGGCCTTTTGTTGCAGGTATTGAAAAATTAGTATAAATGATCTATATCCAGTATTTATTGATGTCTATCTGAATTTATCTTTTCAAAATAACTTAGAATATATGAGAAGTAGATTAAATCTGCAAATCTGTTTTGTAAAAAATTCATAATTGCACACATCCAATTTTAAAAATAAATTTCTTTTGTAGTGAAAGTACGCTAAATTAATATGTAATTGCTTGCTCTATGAGGTTTTTCCCAATGATACCTCACATATGTGTGTATTCTCTAGTTTTATTTGTGTTTCATTGCCAGTTACCTCAAAGACATTGCTTAGTGGAGGCATGTGTCAGAAACAGTGAAAAACTTGATAGTATTTTATTAACTACTTATTCTCAGTTGCATCACAGTTTAACTTTAAAACCATAAAACTTGTTTTTATGTTAATTCAATCTTTGTATTTTCCCTTGAACTTACGATTTACCAAGGAACAAATAACTCCCTACAACATGATCTTTCAATATGTCTGCATGTCAGAATATTATGATTTAGAGCAGGCTGTGATCTATGTCGGGTTCTACTGTGTCTATGTTGAATTGGTCTACTGCACTAAAATCGCATCTTGGTGATGCTCCAGTGCACAAATGCCCCAAGATATTTACTCTAGAAGTGTAGTGTAACTGCGGCTCTTTGGACTAAGGTCTCTGAAAGGGTCAATTTTGTACTGAACTCTGGGATTACTGGGTAATACATCTCAACCTTTCTAGCTAATCTTACCTTGAGCTCAAATGGTTCCTTAGATCATCCTGACATGCTAGAAGGCCGAGATGATGACAAAGTCCAAGACAATGAAATGCCTAAGTGTGGAAAGCTGCCCTTCCTAACTGCAGCAAATCACACACAGTCACCATCAGAGAGGACAGTCCATTCTAAATCTAGCATATGTACTCAAATTTCTTGAAATTATGTATCCATAATAGATACATAAAGACCTATAGGATAAGTTGCAAACATAGCGTATTTGATTGTATATCAGTTGTATGAGTCTATGAAACACTTCTGGGTATTACCAGAATCAATTTTGTGAGAAATAATATATATATATAATTTAAAAAATTATTTGTATGGAATTTCCACTTGTTCGGTAGAAATATTATTTTATTCATTGATTATTTTATTCATTTTATTGTATTCATTATATTTTATTCATTATATTATTTTATTTTATTCATTATATTATTTTATTCATTTATTATTTTATTCATTGATATTTAGTGTAAAAGTGGGCCTTGTGGCATGTACCTGTAGTCCCAGCTACTCCGGCTGAGGCTGGAGGATCCCTAGAGCCCCTGTGTTTGAGACCAGCCTTGACAACATAGTGAAACCCTGTGTCTACCCGAAAAAAAAAAAAAAAAAAAAAAGGAAGAAATTTAATCCACCATAGTTTGAATCTTGCATAAAATCACATTACAGATTAACAATAAATAGTGATGGTTGTCATCCCTTAACTAATGTCCCAAGGTCAGAGAGTTAAATACACTGGTGTCAGTTAATGGTTCTAACAGGATTCTAGTGTTAATAAATTTAAATCCCATGTGTTTTGTGTCTAATGCAGACACTACTTATGATCAGCCGTGTTGTCTTTGGCATATTAACTTTGTTTAGAAAACTGCTACTGTTTGTAAACTATACGATATACGATAGACCTTTTCTGGAGAGTTTGACCTGGCACGAATTGCTGGCAAGAAACTATGACTTTCTTATTGCTGTTTTAAACAGTTTGTGGAATAGTTATCTTAATTTATATTTATAGAGCACTGATGATGTGGACTATAATGCAAAATTGAACACGTGTCCTGTGCCCAATGTTGTAGAAATATTGACTCGAATACATACCAGGAATAAAAATTCCATGGTCCTTCTGAGGCTCTGAGAGGCTGCCGAAGGCCAGACACTTACTAGCTGCTTTTTCCTCACCAGCATGAGTATCTGACTGCAAATGTGATTTCTGAACCTGTGGCATGAAATGAACTGAGCAGTACTGTTCTTATGAAACCATCGGGTTTATTAGTAAAGGGTTTGGGATAGTTGATTCTATGCAGATATACCGTGTTTTTCCATAATGTATGTTTTTACTAGTAAAATTTTATACAGTAATATTAATGAAATATTTTCTAGCCATACTATTATATCAGTACAGTATAAATTCCTTACTAGGGCTTTTCCAAACTCTGCATATCAGTTTCCTGATGAGTTAGACTGTGATAATAAGTTGAATTGGGACAGGTTTTATTCATAGCTTCCATTAATATGCCAGTTTAGTATATTGTTTAGTATGTTGAAATGTAAAAGAAAATAATGTTACTAGAGTTGACTTTGTAGTTGATTTCTTTTTATTTATACTTTTCTTTTTTCTGTAAGCCTATTTTTGGTTTATGGATAAAATCCATCGTAGTTATATTTGTTAATTCATTCTAATGCTGTGAATAGTCATCTTAAAATAATGTCATCTTAAAAGTTATTAAAACATTTTCCATTGACATGCAAAGGAAACAGAGGTTCTCAGCTCTCTGAAATGACATTTTGTATCATGTGTAGGTATATAGCTTGAAGCACAGCAGCATTGCTATAGCTAACATGCTGTTTAGTACATTACTTGGCCACATGTTAGAACGATGTCATCATAAATCTTGGGTGAGGGCATTGTTATAGGAGGTTTTTCCATAGACATACACATATTTGTGGGTTGTATGCATATGTACTGTATCTTTCTGATCATGGGCACCTGGGAAAGATAAGGCTGCATTTAGCTCCTTAGAAAATTATAGTTAAATAATTGTGAAAAGCAAGCACGAAGAATGATAGGAAAGAAAAAGAACGAAAAACAAAGAAGAGATTGTTGGTTGCTTTTGTCATATATACCAAAGCCAAACTTCTTTAATTATCAAGAACATTTTAATCTGACTTTTAAAATTGTGCAACTTGATTGCTCGTCCTATGTAGCCTGTTCCCCCACAACCCCCGTCAGCATGGTTGGCTCACTGCTCTTGCATACCACCTGGCTGCCTGGGCCCCAGAGCTTGTCTCAGTCGCTGCTGTTTCCATCACACCACTTGGCTCTGTCCTTGAGACTTGTCTGAAGCCCCACCTTAACAGTGAAGCCTTTTTCAACTATTTCAATCTATGTGTATTGACCCTTTTTCTGAACAGCTTTTAGAGCTTTTTCAAAAGTCCCACATACTGTGGGGTTCTGATGTTCTCATTATTTCAGTGACATTAGTGTTGACCATTGAATCATAGGATCCTTTTGGGGAGGAATAGATGTATTTTATTTATTTATAGGTTTCTACATAGCATGGATCATTGCTAGACACACAGTAAATCCCCAAACATAATTTCTTATTGGTTGGTTGATAGAGAAGTAGCTGAACTATAATAATTTGAAGATGGTTAGGATTGTGTAGTAAATGTCCAAAGATTGAAATTAAGGCATTTGGAATGAAGGTGTAAGTGGGGATTGAAATACATTTTATCTTTTTAGCTCAAATTATGTATATCAGTAAGAATGATGACTTAAAAGAAATTCCCTTTATTTGTTCTTTAAATAGTAATATTAGTCCAATATTAGTAACTATTATTTTAACTTTCCTTACATAAATCCAGTGGCTTTTTACCTAACCTGAAGCAATAAAATTTCATTTAGCTCAGACTAGAGAACTGTGGCAGTTTAATATATGTCTTATTCTCCAGGACTTGACTTCTATGGTTAGTTAAAATTGTTTCAACTTTCCAAGCCCTGCAGCCCTGCCATACAGTTGAAAGGGGGTAGTTTTAAAAAGGACAGGGCAGCCTCTGACTGGAATGGGTCTCATATGCAGTATAATTCCTTCCACCTGTTCTTCTCATGTTGAAGTTTTAAAGCTGTGCAAGAAACATGAATAAGTTCAGAACTAAACCAACTTCTTGAACCCTGAGAATGGGGCTTAATGGACCTTTGTGTGCCTACAACATTCAGTGTGGGTTCTTTTACCCTGTATAGATGGGGTTTTTTTAGGGGCAGAAGTGGGGGGATTTGAACTTTCATCCAATCCAGCAATTGGTAAACTGCAGCTTCCAGGCCAGAGTAGGCCCACTGCCTGTTTCTGTCAAGTTTTATTGGAACACAGCCACATTGATTTGTTTATGATGCTTTTGTGCTACAACAGCAGAGTTAAGTAGTTGTATCAAAGACCTTATGACCACGAAAGTTGAAAATATTTACTATCTGGTCCTTTACACAGTTTCCTAACCCCGATCTAAGATACTATTGTGCTGGTGAGTATTGGATGCATAGTGTGTGGTATATTGGGGAAAATTTCAGCTAAAATTAATTTGGTTGGCCAGAGTTGATGGTCTCTTTGACAAAGAAAAATTTCATAGCAGAGATTTTGAAAGATGAAATCAAGTCTTTGAGGGCACAGCAATTGTAATCCTTGAATGTTTTCTTTTAGAATGAGTCATTCTCTTGGTTCTTAGTAGACTGAGGCAGCCTGGGGTTAATATTCTGCTTAATGCTCCTCCCAGAAGTTATTTTGACAAAAAGCTTTTTAACCCTTGAATTGAATTGAAAGGGCTAGAAAAATATGTTTCACAGCTTTTAGAACCTGAGTGATATGTTAAGAGGTATAAAAATGACAGTCTTTGGCATGAGTGAGGTTAATTTTCTTTTCCAACTAGTTAACAAGGATCTAGCCTGTTAATTAGGCTAATTATCACCTGTTCAGGGCAAAAATGTGCTCAAGACTCTTGGCTTAAGTAGGAGGCTCCCTGGTGAACTGTTTAAAAGCCCTCAGGGGAGGTTTTTCAACTTTCGTCTTGAAGCCACACTAGAGCCTTAGAGTTGAATTTAGTAAATGAAACCTTTCTATTCTTAGGTCTTTGTGGCTTCTTAATACGAATTATGCTCACATTTTATATATAATCTGAAACAAGGAACTCTCAAAGTCTAGTCTAACTTAAATGATCTAGATATTAGTATTATCATGGAACATTTTTGGTGTCTGGATGTAACTTCATTCATTGAGCAAGGTTTTTATTTAGCCTTTGTACACACACGTACACACACAAATGTTTAGAAGGAAATGGTCAAAGATGACTGTGGTCTTATCACAGTTACTGTTATTTAGCTATTAGAGTACCTTTTTGATTATTAAATTTCTAGACAGTATTGGGAAATTTTTATTTTCCATCTAACGTTGCATGTTGAATTTAAGCACGATATATAGTATTTTGAAACTCCATAGAAATATGGTGAACAGGTTACTATGGAATTATTTGGGTATATTTAATGTGGTTCTAGTGTCTGTGTTGTATGAAAGTGTGCTTAAAGTCTACAAGCAGTATTGTAATTTCACTCAGATGTTTCCTGGACCCAAAATACTTTAAGTATCTCACAATTATGATGCTTATAGATACTGAATTTGTTGCTGTGGCAGGATTTTGTGAGTGTCTTCATTTTGCTTTCTGGTCTTTTGGGACACTTTCTAAGCACACGGCGCTCCTGTGAGTCAGTTGGGCATGGTGGCCGGTCGGCAGTGCTCGTCCCTGTGTGCCTTCTGTGTGCTGCATTCTTCACAGAAGTGATTGTTTTCAGATACAGTTGCAGCTCTGAAGAAATTCAGGTGGGAACCCTTCTAGGCAAAGACCACTTCATTTTCATTCCCTCTCTTAGTATATTATCATATAATTATTAAATTATTATCTTGAAAAAAGAAGGCTTTTATTTCAAAGAAACTGCCTGTGAATTGGAAGTCTTTGAGCAACTTAGAAATTGTTATAAACTTCGTTAGTACATTGAGCTGTTTTGCTAGGAATTATATAAATCTTGCATTGTTTTCATAGTTCTATATTTTGTTTATTCAAAAGGATAAGCAATACCTGTCAGTTTTTTTTTAACATTAGTGTAGTTTTACAGTAATTTTTAGTCAATCAACACATTTTTGTCACAGTTTTAGAGGATAGTGACCACATAATTTTTAAATACTTTGATAAAATTTAGCTCACTCTTTTATTAAAATTTCATTTGGAACATACCAGATCTTTCCCACTGGTGTGGTTTTTGTAGATATGAGTTTGTCTCATATACTAATTTGAAAAGACTGGTCCAAGTTATCATATAGAGAAGTTAAGAAATATTTGATTGTCTTAATTAAAATATTTTGAATTACAAAAATTTTCAAAAATAAACACTTTGGAAGATATTAACATATAGTCATATTTATTACAGATTTCTTTCTTTCTTTTTTTTTTTTTGAAACAGAGTCTCAGAGTCTCACTTTGCTGCCCAGGCTGGAGTGCAGGGGTGTGATCTCAGCTCACTGCAACCTCTGCTTCCTGGGTTCAAGCGATTCTCCTGCCTCAGCCTCCTGAGTAGCTGGGACTACAGTTACGTGCCACCATGCCTAGCTAATTTTTGTATTTTTAGTAGAGACCGGGTTTCACTGTATTGGTCAGGCTGGAGAGTTCTTTCTTTTTAGAAACAAAATTTTAGAACTACAGTTAGCACTGTGCTGCCGTCAGCCCCGCCCCCCTCCTCAGCATCCGCCCCGCCCCCCTCCACAGGCTGATCAGTGGTGAGATCTTCCTGCTTTTGCACATGGACGACCTAGGTTTACATATTTAATACTGTTTATTTTGTTGCAACATTTTATATAAATGATACAGTTTCACACCCAACTTGTTTTTTAATACAATCACCTTTTTGAGATTTTTAAAAACCCATACTAATAAATGTAGCCCTAGTTTATTCATTTTCACTGTATTATAATATTCCATTCTGTGATTAAATTCATTGTTTGTCTACTCACAACCTGACGGATATTTAAGATTGTTTAAATTTTAATGGGGGAGATATTTTTTGGGCACGGCGGCTCACACCTGTAATCCCAGCACTTTGGGAGGCCGAGGCAGGCAGATCACGAGGTCAGGAGATGGAGACCATTGTGGCCAACATGGTGAAACCCTCTACTAAATACAAAAAATTAGCCAGGCGTGGTGGTACGTGCTTCTAGTCCCAGCTACTTGGGAGGCTGAAGCAGGGGAATCGCTTGAACTGGGAGGCAGAAGTTGCAGTGAGCTGAGATCGGGCCACTCTACTCCAGCCTGGTGGCAGAGCGAGACTCAGTCTCAAAAAAAAAAAGAAAAAAAAAAAAAAGAAAAGATATACTAGTGACTCCTCTTACTGGTAAAAAATAAAATAATAAACCACTTTTATTAAAATACCTGTGTCTTTATATATGTGAGATGTGTGCCTATTTTTCATTAAGTTTTTAATAGCAGAATTAATACTTTGCCTAAAGGATATAAAAAATTTAAATAACATTTAATAATGTATTTTGAAGAAGATGAATAAAAAGCCACCTTTTTAGGATACTTACCTTAGTAATGTGGAAACATAAGGTTATAGATATAACTGAAATTACACATTATATATTTTGACATAACTTGTCTGATATTTAGACATTCAAAAATAGAAAAATGCTCTAACACAGAGTTTCTCTGAGGCCAAAATATCTATTAGGACAGTGCTATTAATCCTATAATCATAATTCAGTTCCCTACTTATTCTTTAACTTTATTCATGACATCTAGCAACACCAGGTGAGAGTTTCTAGTTATTGTCATAGAGCTGACAATGAGGATATTTAGTATTCTGTCTTCAAAATTTTCAGTCTAAAGATGTGGATTTTCATTTTGACTCTGTTATCAATCATATAATGAGAGAATTTCAGAGAAGGAATACCTTGGCATGTGCTGAACACCCTGGCTTGCACCTCTGCTCACTGATTTTAGCAGGTAGGTGAGCTAAGGCCAGAGTCAGCCCACATTTAGTAGGGTGCTAATGAAAAAAACAACGCACATAGTAGTGAAGAAAGAAACCTCTCATAAATATTTTGAGAATACTAGAAAAAGTGCTTAGAATTTTAGGAACCCCTTATTTAATTTAGAAATCCTGCCAGGTGAGGTGGCTCAAGCCTGTAATCCCAGCAGGAGGACCGCTTGCACCCAGGAGGTCCTGAGGCTGCAGTGAGCAGTGATCATACCACTGCTCTCCAGCCTAGGTGACAGGGTAAGACCCTGGCTCTTAAAAAAAAAAAAAAGGAACTCTTTTAAATTTATGCTAGAAGACTAACTCGTAATTGACTTCCATGGCATAGCTACGTGCATGAGAAGGGGCCTTATTCCAAGTTTAGCATAACAGACATCTCAGTGCCAGGAACTCTGTAATGAAAACGCCTGCTGAGAGGACACTAAAGGTATTATGTAGAACATTCAGAGTTTACCCATGTTGCTCTTGAGAAGTCTGGATCCATTTTGATTTCTCTTGCTTGTGACTTTGTTTCCTTTTGAAACCTTTAAGATCTCTTTATATCCAAGAGAAACATCTAGTGAAGCCCAAGGAAAGGGAAGATAAGAAATTGCCCTTTTTCATTTCAATTCTGTTAGCACTGTTTGGCGTTTTGAACTTGTAGTAAGCATTGTAGAGTCACTCTGTTACCTAAGAACTGCAGATGGTATTGAAGCCCAGCTCTCTCTTCTGGGCTTCAATTTTCTGGGCCGTAAGAACATGGGTGAACCATATACCATCATATTATGCGTGCTTGTGTTATTTACCCTCTCAGATTGTAATCTTTACATTATTACTAATTATTCATCTTTGCACATCCCTCAACTGACCTATAAAACAATCTTCACTAGTGAATTTTTGCAAAACAGACCTCTTTAATATACTGTAAATTCAGTTATGCAAGAAATCTCTCAGGAAAGTCCACCATGTGGGGATAGAAAAGCATTTAAAACATTGAATCTAGCCTAGGGTAAGCCACAGGGCTTGGCCCTATCCCTGGTGGCTGGAGGGGCATCTCCTTGGGGGGTGGCAGGCGAGGAAGAGTCACAGCCGGCGAGGAAGAGTCACAGCTGTTGAGGCCTGTCAGCACCTTTGCCTCTAGCTCCGGGACTGTGCATCTCCCGTCTCTGATACCCTCCCAGCTAGCTCTGCATTTCCAGTTGTCACCTGTTTTTAAATGTCTAAATTAAATGCCACCTCTGGGAAGCCTTCTCTTATCTGCCCTGCCCCACTGTAATTGCTCTTCTTTTAAATTTATAATGGCATTTAATTTTTTTTTCTGGCATTAAGTTTATTTTTGTGAATGATTTTTCTCTTAGTAGCCTGCAATTTCCTTGAAAGCCAAACCTGACTCCTCTCTTCGTTTGATTTCTCTGTGCTATGTGGAACAGTGTGTTGGGGACAGTGGGTATTCAGGTGTTTCTGCTGTCCAGCCAGAACACACACTGATGTCCCTCTTCTCGCAGGGTTCACCCGGCAAGATAGAGCTGTATGCATTATTAGCTCAGGTTTCGCCCAGGGCTCCTCGTGATAGACTTCCTGCAGGTCCCCAGGAGGACCAGGATCCCTTGGGTGATGGTAGAGGTCTTACTGAGTTGCTGTGTGAAGGCAAATATTTTAGAATATTTGAGACTCAGAATTTGTGTAGTTCCAGAGAACACCCCATTGTTAAGTACGTCTTGATCTTTATAAGGACAGTTTACATAGGTAATACCGGTTCTTTTTTAAGTGCCAGAATGAGCTTATTTATTTTCATAAAGCAAATTGTAGAACACATGAGGTTTTCTGAAAGTCAAGTGGTGGTCTTAGTTCTTTGTTATCTGGCTTTTGTCATTTCACGACAGGCACAAGCTTTAGTTTAACATTTTTATTACATAGGAATAATAGAGTACATATATTGAGGTTTCATAGATGTAATTTTGTTAAATGTACATCACAGTAGATTTAAAAATGAGGGATTTATTTTGTCATTCATAAAGTTGTAATAAAATCTGGAGAAACTATTTGTTAAAAGATAGTATCTACTTAACCTCCTTATTTGTTTCTTGTAGGAGAAGGTTAGAGCCACAATAAATACATGAGGAAATAAGTAGATAGGGGAATTTATCTTGGAAATAAGATCCCTGTCATGGTTTTGAAATGTTAAATGCATGAAGACCCGTCAAAGAGATATACGGACGTGATTTTTTTTTACAGTGCATATCCAAGTATTTAGTTATATTTGTCATTCTCTAGTACTAGTAAGCAATGATCCAATGATATAGTAATTTCAAAGTTAGTCCATGTTAACGGGTGTAAATATAGTATCTCTTTACATATATAGATAAATAAATTGGCAATTTTAATATTAATGAAGCATTTAACTTATATGGCAATTCTTAAATATTTAACTATTTTTATTTCTATTACATTTAAGATCTACCTTTTGAAAATATAACTAAATAGAATAAAAGATTTTTATAAAAGACAATTTTATAATTTGATTCATGGGAATTTGTGATATTCCGAGTGATGAATTTGTTAAGGTAATTCACATTTGCCTCAAAATAGGGAAGTTAATTATTTGGACCCTGGGATTCTTTATCAGCCCTTATGGGGCTAAGGAAATTTGTAAAAGTATGGTTAAAGACTCTATGTGAAAGTATACACTCAACATCTCCTTATTCATATCATAATTTAAAGCACAGATTATATTAAACTCATAGTTCTGATTGCATTAAAATGCTAAAATTTATGATAGCCAACCCAGCTTGCCAGACACTATCTTTGTGGCATCGTGCTTGTCAACTCGTTATAATATTTTACTGTTGATTATTGAGTTTTACTTTGCTTTTGACTGTTCATTATTCTGAATTAACTGGAGAGTATTTTATTAGTTACAGGGATTGTTTTAAACTCATATTGGAAATGTAAAGTAAATGTTAGCAACTATTTCATGAATGCAATTGAACAGGGGCAGAAGATCAAACAGAGGAAGTATTCAAGGTTCTGTTGGTGGTTCAGAGTTCCTTTATTATTAAAGGTATTGAAAGGTCTTAAATGGTAAACCTGAAATATTATATTGTATAAGTACTAATTTGTTATTTTCAGTATTTTTTTTTCATACTGGAAATAGTTAAGGTTTATTTTTCTCAAATACTGATTTTGTAAAAATGTATAGTTACGATCTGTTTTTATTTTTATCAAACGAACCTTTTTATGTACCCACATGGTCACACAGAAGGACCCCTGGTTCAGGAAACACCTTTGGGGTTTGCCTTTTCTTCCCTGCAGCGTAGTGCTGCAAGGCCGCCGGGTGCATGCAGGAGAGGCCCTGCTCCAGCCGTACAAGCCGCACACCAGCAGACAGCAGGGCTTGTCTGAGTGGTTGAGTATGGATAGCATTTCATTTAGCCTTTGCTCTGACAGCCCATGCCCTGGATAAGTGGTGTAGGCCTGTACAGGTGAAATCTATTCTCACTTTTGCCTCAGGGGTGACTGGACTGTAACAGAATTTTTCAAACCCGTTGGGCCCAACCGCAAAGCAGAGAATAAATGGCTGAAGTGCCAGGCCTCGACAGAAAAATCAATGCCTGGTTATACAGACATGACAGACCAGGCCTGCAGTGCTCCTCGCAGAGGCTGCGTGTGCACCGCACCTCAGGGTTCGCACACGCGCTGCCTGGGGCCTTCGGTGCTGGTGTGCGGGCCATATTTATATTGTTTTCTCTCTCCTTCATGCAGGAAATTTACATGCCACTTATGTGATAGAAGTTTCACAGAGAAGTGGGCCCTGAACAACCACATGAAACTCCACACGGGAGAAAAGCCGTTTAAATGTACCTGGCCCACGTGCCATTACTCATTCCTCACAGCCTCCGCAATGAAAGACCACTACAGGACGCACACAGGTGTGCCGCGCCGCCTTCCTATCCCAGGAGGCTGGGCAGAGGTAGACTGGGTGGACTGTGGGAACAGAGGCATTAATTATCCCATCTTCATAGTAATCAATGGAAATGATGTCCTGCTTTAAGATTGTGGTAATTATGTATTTATAGGTATGGTATCATTTCATTATTTTTCAGTGAGAAGGCAATTTTAAAGTGACATTTGTGCTTGTGTGTGAATGTGTTTACATAAAATAAGTCTATATTTAGAAGCTCATTTATGGTGTATGTATGTGTATATATATATTTGTATGTGTTTAACATGTCTTTTTAGAAGATCTTTATAGAAGGTCATATGGAGAGATTAAGTTTTCAAAGAGAGCTAGTCTTGTGTTTTGTTACTGATATAAACGAATTTCCATAGTATGTTTGAACATTAATGAATCTTGGTTTTATGTACCGTTTTAAGAAACTGTTACCACATGAATATTTTTCTTCTGAGGAGGATACTGTCAGATCCAAGAGTTTTTGATAATTGATACAAATACTTGGATAATTGATACAAAGACACTAATCCGCATTTAGCTACTATAATTTTTTTGGAAAGTTATTAAAAATGTTCAAATTCACATACATTTCACATCAGAACATGTAACAGAGGGTGTGGAATTTCCGCTAATTGGTATGTGGAGCAACACTGAGCGTACATCTTTGGTAGGGGTGGTGCCAGAACTCTCAGTTGGGCCCTTGTAAATGTAAATCCCAGTAAGACCCTATTGTGATGTTTGTGATTTCTTTTTTATAGTCTAAGTCTAGTGGGCCCAAAACTTCCTTACAAGCTTATATTTGAGTCTCTCCCTAGAGCATTGTGGCCATATTCCTGTGAGCTGTTTGATATTTTTGTGGTCTTCCTTCTCTTTACACCTCTCAGAATGTATTTTGTTTCAGGGAAAAAAAATAATACATTTTAATCAGCATTCCAAAATGTTCTTCTGATTGCCAAGAATTTTATATTATTGTTAGAAATTATAGGTTAAAAGTTCTTCTCAAGCAGTTTGTGGGAAGCCCAGGCCTCCTTAGCTTCCTTGACAAGGGTGTTGACGATTTAAGGTCTCCAGCCTGCCCTGAGAGATCACTTATATCGAACAGCAGATGAAAAGCCAGTGCAGATGTAATTTATCGTCGGCGTTTCCTTCTAAAGAATAATTGTGGAGACTTGGCTGGATCAATAATATAGATTTTTGTTGTTAGGTCTTGTAGTCTGCACCATAATGAGAGATAGGGGACAGTGGCTGTTTTCTAATAGAAAATAAAGGATTAGTTTCCGTGTCTTTCTACATTTGAATGCAAAATGGCACACTTGAAACTAATTCAAGTTGTTACAAAAAGAAGTCTCCCATTATATCTCTGCTATCATATAAATAGGGCATGCTGAATGAACCCCCTCTAAATTCAAGAAATTTTACATTTAGTTTTTTCTTAAAATTTTTTTTCTCAAAAAAAACACTCTGTTTGGCTGCTGATCAAACCTAACACCCCAACCCACTCCAAAAAAAAAAAAAAAAGGCAAGTGAAAATTGAGTTTAGAATGAAAAACAAATCAAGCCACCCAGGTAAATATGATATACAATACATTGGAGACTAACATCCTAAATAAAATCATACACATAAAAAAATCAAAGTCACTAATGTATTGAGAATCAACTCACATAGAAAATTAATAATTTTGTCTTTTTGTATGTATAAATCTTAAAATAGGGAAAGGAATAAAAATATATAAAGCATATATGTAAGTATGCAGCATCTATGCATGTAGAAAATATAAATCTTAAGAGGGATTTTCTATGCTTGTTCATGTTTCTATTTTACAAGATGCAGGCCACAAAGAAGTTCATAAATGACAGAAAGGAAGAATACTTGAATCCAGAAGTCCTAAGATTGCTCTTTCCTCATTAGAAATTTTGCTTATTGAATGATATGGCACAAACACTCCCACTAGCACACACCACCAGATGTGTGTGTGGTGCTGCACACACACTCCTCACACGCACAGCAGGCAGCACCCACGGACCCGCAACGAGGAATTGATTGGAGGGAACGATTTTGCCTCAACATAGAAAACTGTGTTAATATTAACGAGCAAATTGTCTTGTGGGATTAAAAAAAATCTACTCTCAGTGTTATTTAATTGATAATACAGCTAGTTAGAAAGATTTATTTCAAATTGATTAAATAATTAAATGAGTGATTATAATTAAACTTTATTCTTTACAGCCCATCTACTCTATTCTTTCTATATTGAAATAATAATACCAAGGAATAAACTTAGCCCCAAAATAAGAAGTAAAGATAGCAAAAATATTTAAATTCAGCCTTATTTTTAAAATGATAATAATGAACATTTTAACTTACCCTTAGGAAATAAGATTAAGCGTAATTTGGTTAAAACTCTCTTTAAGTATATGTGTTCGTTGAAAGTAGAAAAGCCAGTAATGTTCTTAAAATAAAGGGAAGACTCTTTTGATTACTGAAGTTATTCTCCCTTCCTATATGTACTATTTATTAGAACCTTAAAAAGGCAATTATAATTTCCAAAACACCACAAGTTAAGTTTCTATTATGATAAACCAAAGTGATTTGGGACAACACAGCCTGACTCTGGCCAAACTCTTGAAAGACTTGTTGCATTAAATGTCTAAATGAGTAAAGTAGTTAAAGATAGATACAAATGATTTATTTTATTTCTGGAAAAACATTTTATAATTTCACTGAATCTCTCGAAGGTTAGCATTTTTCTTCTATTTTGCCTTTCTTTGTGAGTCTTATGGGATGATCTGCCTAGCTGGCCAGCACTTACTGCCTGAATATGCTGCAGTGGGAAGATAGATTGCATTTATAAACTTAGGGCACATGTTAGCTTGTGTGAAAATGCTTAAAAAAATGAGCATTTGCACACATTTAACAAATACTAAGTCTGCCAAATCTGTCCCTAAGTGTTGCAAAGGTTTCCAATCCAGAGCTGTCATTAAAGATGAATAGTATGAATTTTTGTACAATTTCTGTAGCAATCCCTAGACTTTCTTTTTTATGCCATGAAAGCGAGAAACATAAACAGCATTGAATTGCTACTGGTACTAATATAGATTTTATTGTTACTTGGGATCTTCAGCATGTTCAAGGAAACCATTTAATTCATATTATTAAGAAGGAAGTGATTAAGGAAGACCCTAATAGAATCAGGTAGAACCAATTCAATATCCTTAAGTTGCTGGAAAATTCAATCTGTTTTCTTTAAGCAGAACCATATATACTGTATATTAACTATTCCAAGCAATCTTTACTCAGCTCAGAAAGGCCAGATGTATGGGAATTGTAAAATATCAGGATATGCATAAAAACTGTTCAAGTGCATAAAGCAGCCCCATCTGGAAGACATCTACCAGAAATGAAGTTGTACAAAACCATTCCATTGATAATAAAGCTAATTTTTATGGGTCTGACAAGTATGTAATTATGTTCAGTGGTGCTTTTCAGATTTTATCACAGTCAATAAACCGCAGTGGTAATTTCATTCCCATTTGACATATTTACATGGAAACATTTGATTGGAGGAATTAGTAACCCTGAAAGCCTTGATAGATATGTTTTAATGATCTGTGACCTCCGCAGTCCCTCATCTGTTTGTTGTTGCAACAGGCGAGAAGTCGTTTCTGTGTGACCTCTGCGGCTTTGCCGGCGGGACCCGCCACGCCCTCACCAAGCATCGCAGACAGCACACAGGTCAGTTCCGATGCTGCACTGGCCCCTTCTCTGCAGAGAGGACGGCAAGACACCCCAGCCTCAATTCTTGATGTCATCATTTACTTTCCTTTTTAATTTTTATAACATCTGTGCACTTGAAGGTCTACAGATAATTCCAGTTGAATAACATAAAATTTTAAATCATCTCTTTTTATATATTTGAAATGTAGACATATTCCATATTTCAAGAAGCAGGTACCCTCAGTAAATTCATGTTAAGTAGAAGTAAAACAGCAGGTTGGCTTCCAAAGCCCAGATACAGGAGACTATCTTCTCTGTCCGCAAATCTCTGCCTTAGGCCTCGTGGGTGGAAAATGGGGAGTCTTTGTCAACCAGTCTCCCTCTCAGTCATTCTCTCTACCCACCTCGTAGCTAATCACCCGCCTCCCCATTTAGCTAGCGACATGTCTACCCCTCCCTTCCTCTCTCTCTCTCTGCCTACCTCCCTGTCTCCCTCCCCACCCGCCTGTCTATCAATCCATCTGTGATTAGATAGGATTTGAAGTCATTGCTGTTTCAGTTGTTCTTGGTATTAAAAATAGAAAACATCAAACAGCAACATGAGAGTTAATTATGGTCATTGAAGAGGACTTTTCTCCATGATGTGCATTCTTGGTGATTCATTGAAATAAAATAGATTCCTTCATTAAGAACTGTATTAGTCCTTTTTCACACTGCTGATAAACACATACCCGAGACTGGGCAATTTACAAAAGAAAGCAGTTTATTGGACTTAACAGTTCCACGTGGCTCAGGAAGACCTCACAATCATGGCGGAAGGTGAAAGGCACATCTTACATGGCGACAGACAAGAGAAGAGAGCTTGCATGGGGAAACTCCCCTTTTTAAAACCATCAGATCTCGTGAGACTTATTCACTATCAGGAGAACAGCACAAGAAAGACCTGCTCCCATGATTCAGTTACCTCCCACCAGGTCTCTCCCACAACATGTGGGAATTTAAGATGAGATTTGGGTGGCAACACAGCAAAACCATATCAGGAACACTTACAGATGAAAAGTGTTAAACATTTATCAAATTGTATTGCCTACTTTATATAATCTAATGGGTCTTATGAGTAATTATTTTCATAATACTAATTTATGTGTGCCTGGGACAGTGCTAATTTATGGTGGTTTCTTGTAATTATTAATAGAACCACTTTTTTACTCTAAATGTGTCCTAGTTCAGATGATAAGTCACTTGATGACAAAATTGGTAATAAATGTCCTACTTCTCTTAGGTCTCATGAGAATGGTTGAGTTTGTCAGTCATACTCAAAATGGCATGAAATTAAAATACATAAAATGTGTGATTTATGTTACATTATGATTCTTGATATGTTGTATTTAACAGTTAGGTACAGGTAGCTTCTGTGCCCAATATGGCATTTGCAAGATCAATGCAAGCTAATGCCAGCCATTCCTTTTAGATGTATGAATATGATTCAGATTTTCATAAGAGATATGAGTTATCATTGAGTTAATGGGAAATTTCAATGTTTAGCACAATGTTGGAAACATAAACTAAACTTTGAAAACAAGGTCCATTTTAAGTGTATAGAAGCCACCTGTGCATGCCTGATTTTAACCACTGGCTTCAGGATTCAGCATAAGAGATGACAGGAGGGGCCCAGTTAGTGGCAATTGTTCTTGACCACTGTTGTGATAAAGTTGGAAATTGGAAACATTTATGGTAACAGTATGCTCATGAGGGCTTTTTTGTTCTTAATGTTTTCACTTTTAATCAGTGCTCAAATTGTTACTGTTTAAATGCCATTGAAGTTCACCTTGTCCCACCTGGTATGGCCCCAGGGAACAACAGACTGCTGTGCCACCTCTGCCAGTGGGCAGGTCAGTGCCCATCGAAGTGGAGACAGGAATGCTGTGATCACGGGCATCCCAGTGATAGATCGATCAGGAAGCCTGCACTGAGCTGGCACAACTTTATATTTTATGTCAGGTCCAGAGGCTCCTTATTACTTTGCTATTAACTTTATACCATATAGGACAGTGTCTCATAGACAGAGGTATCTGTCTTTTTGGCATTTATCTGCCTCTGTAGCACAAATCAAACATGATTCTTTAACACCAAAGTCAGTTCTTAAGACTGTTTGCTTCAACAAAACAGCTAGGCACAACTCAGTCTGGGCACTTAACTTTTATGCTGGATTTAAAATATTTAAGCAACACACAACCTTTTTCCCCCAAGGCCAGACTTGTATGGTGCATTTGAAATCTATATTTCTCTGACGTATTCCTCTTTGACATGGTTTACCTTTTTACCACAGAGTACCCACGCAAATTATAATCAGCTTGGAAAGGAATACGTATCAAAAGTGCTCCAAATGGTGTAAATAATTCCTCACCGCAATACAGACTGTCCAGGGGGCTGACACAAAACATCTTCCATTCTAAGATTTACTTTTATCACCTGTCAGGGACCCTTGATTCAAGGGCACAGGAGAAGATCCTCACGTGTGGTTGAACAGTGTTGGCCAGCTTAATAACCACCAGCCCGCCCAAAAGAATGTGGGTGTGTGTTTCCATGAGACGCGGTCAGCCCGTCTGACGGACAGTTGACACACAAAGAGCACCGCACTATGACGACAGCCCTTCTGCTGTTCATCCTCTGGCTTTCCTTATCAATGGGGCCTGAGATGCAGTATGTTTCTTAATGGTGATTTGAGCCAAGATTACTGCTTGTAACGGAAAGTGTGAAAAGCAAAACAATTTAAACTAATAGGTACTGTTATGTAGGAGGGAAACAGGAGGAAAGGAAATTTCATCCTTGTTCTGCTTGTTTGAAAAGCACATGTACAGGTAGCCCTGTTGACTTACAGATAACATTGTTTGAGAGTAGCCAATATCTTACTTAGATTTATGCATCCGTTTGCCTTTAAAATGACAAAGGATTTCAAAGCAGCACTTTTGCCAATATGCACCAAACCTGTTTGATCAGTCTGCCATCAGTTTTTCCTTAACAGGTATATATCTTTTCATATAATGTATGTCATCTTCAAACCATTAGCAAATATTTAGCAAACTTAAATTCTTATTTCAAATTTGTGATATTTTCTTTCCAACTTTACAGTCTAGAAGTCAGGTCTATATTTTTGTCTGCATATTGAGACTAACAAACACAAAACTCCTTCTATATTTCTGTAGTATATTTTCCTGAAGAAATTACCCATAAAAGAGAAGAAGAATTACCAAATTATGTATTAGAGTAATAGTATTGAACATGTAACTGATTGATGAGTTACAAATTGACTATTATATACAGATTTGAATCATCTGTGGTTGTATAAATTGACATGGACTTAAGCTATCAAGAGCTCAGATGTCTGAGCCTTGCTTAGCATAGGATTTTATGTACCATGATATTTTTGTGGCATTATATTTTTCCCTGTCATCCTGTATGTAATTCAAACTTGCTTAATATTACACAATGTAATCTATTGTGTGGTCAAAGAAAATATGAAAGAACCATTTATAATTTATTACAATATAATACTAGGTTAATATGAACTATAGAGAATATATATGACATTATTCCTTAGAAGGACTGTTTTTAAATTTAAATTTTGTCACATAAAGATTTTCATGTAAGTTTAAATAAAATAAGCTACATTAAACAGAGTTTTTTAAGAGGTTATGTTAAACTACGAAACCAAGAAAATGCAGCTCAGAGATCTTAGATGACCTTTAATTTATACCATTGACTTAGGCAGTGGAGTTCATGATGTCATCCTTTTACCCCACTTCAAATATCAGCAGAATCTATGAAAAATGAATAGTTTGAAGACACCTACCAACACTATTGCGATAAAGAAAATAGCAGTGAGTTTTAATGCCAAAACATTTTGTAAACACTTAGATTGAATGGAATAAGGAGACATCAGAATATATTTGTGAATTTGCATAATGAACAAAATCTTTAAATTGCTTGACCACTTAGACTTATTATATTGAAAGTATAAGATTTATACTACCTACCTAAGTCTTATTATACAGCAACCATAATCATAATAGTATCTTGGGGGTATAATGATGGCACACAGACCAATGGAACAGAATAGCATCCAGAAATAGACCTGTGCATCTGTTTGTCAATTGTTTTTAAATAAGACACCATATTTAAAGATAAAGTTAATAAACGATGTGCAAAACCATTATGGTGGAAACGTCAGAACACTGCTGAGAGAAATTGAAGAAGATCTGAACAGAGTGTTGTACCATGTTTATAGATCAGACAATTTAATATTGTTAGGATTTCCATTTCGTTCACATCGATCAATCCAAATCCCATCAGGCTATTTTTCTTAAAGATACCGACAAGCTGATATTAAAATTTATATGGAAATTCAAAGGCTTGAAATAAGTCACCAACATTGAGAAAGAATAGGAGGACTTACACTACTTGATGTCAAGACTTATTATAAAGTTACAATAATGAAATCCTTCTGGTGTTGGCATCAAGACAGACAAATGTTTATTAGTGGAAGAGAATGGAGATTGCAGAAATAGACGTGTACTACATGGGGAAGTGTTTTTTCTGCAAAGGAGTAAAGGCAATTTAGTCTTTTCAACATTCTATGTTGGAGCAGTTGGCTATCTATGTGCAATGAAAATGAACTTTGACCCATACTTTGTACCGTATACAAAAATTAACTCAAAATGATCATAATCTAAATGTAAAACTTAAAACTATATAAATTCTAGAAGAAAACATAGGTGAAAATTATTTCTGACTTTGGATTATCAATGATTTCTTTGATATGACATCAGTAGCCTGATTTATAAAATAAAAAATAACCGGAAAAATTATGTTGATAAGTTGAAAACTTTATAAAGTAAAACTTCTCTTTAAAAGGTGCTGTGAACAGACTTAAGACAAATGACAGAGAAAGTATATTTAAGTGACCAATTTTATAAATAATTTTTATCCAGAATATGTAAAGAACTTTCCAAACATAATTCTGAGAAAACAACCTTTTAAAAATGAGTCAAAAAGTTGAAGTAGATACTTCCCCAAAGAATATAAAGGTATGGCAGATAAGCACATGGAAAGATCCTCGGCACCCTCGGAGGAATGCAGGTGTAAAGCGTTGACTACAACAGGTGTTGGCGGGGATTTGAAGCAAGTCATACGTAGCTGGTAGGAATGTAAAATGCTCAAACAACTTTGTGAAACAGTGTGGCAGTTTCTTACAAAGCAAAATATATACCTACCATATTATACACATATGCCTATCATACTCCAGGATTTACCCAAGGGATGTTCATATAATGACTGCATATGAAGGCTCAGAGAAGGTTTGTTTGTGGTAGTAGCCAAAAATGGAAACAACTCAAATGTCCTTCAGTAGACAAATGGATAATCAAACTTGGTACACCCGTATAATGGAATACTACTCTGCAACGAAAATAAGTGAAGTATTTATACTCATAGTAGCATGGATGAGCCAGAAGATAATTATGCTGAGAGAAAGAGTCCAGACAATAGAGAATTCATACCATAAGTATCTAGGTGTATAAATTGCTAGGAAATGCTAACTAATATAATAGTGACAGAAAGCATGGTGGCTTGACAAAGGGATGAACAGGGAACCTTGAAGTTAAAAGGAGTCTTTTTGGGGGTGATGGTTGTGTTCATTGTCTTGATGGTGGCAGAGTTTCATCAATAACAAAACTTATCAAATGGAAGTTTTTGTGTATCAATTATGCCTCACTGAAGCTGTTTAAAATGCTTTATACATTTGGCCTCATACGGCCAGTCTAGACAGATTATAGGCCAAGTTAGTAAAATAATTTATAATATGTGTCATTTTATCTAGCCTAGTGCTTCCTTTGTGTTTCTGTTTCTCATGTGTACAGCACTTTGACATTGGTGTGCATTAAATTACTATTCATTTGTTTAAATGAACAAATCTTATAAATGTTTTCAAATATGCTATGTGTGGATGTTCATATGATTTCATGATACAGAATATTCTGTGTCAAATTTGAATAGCTTCACCTATTTTTTTTATTACGCAGTATGAATATCATATATTTTCCATCAAAGCAAAATCTGCCATCATCATAAAAGTAAATTTTTGTGTAAGTCATTTCAGTACAGTTGAGTTGTCTATAGCAATTTAAGTCATTTGACCAGAGGTTTAGAAACTGAGAACAAAGAGTTATTCAAGCAGACCTTGGGTGACCACTTGTTTGGGGTACTATAGATGGGATTTATCTTAAAGACAAAAGGCTAAAAGAGACAAAAATCCCTTTCAATTCAGATTTTTACTCTGCTTGGTATATAGTCTTTAAAAAAAAACATAAGAATAAGTCAAACAAATATTTCCTGGTAGGATCTGTTAAATGATATCTTTATGTCATATTCAGTAACTATGCAAAACCATGAATTATTTTATGTTTGCTAGCTGTTCATCTTTTTCCTGGTTATGAGCTCTTGATGAGAAGCATTTGTGTGCTTCTTTCATCTTTGGCAGAGACGTGTTGACAATTATCAGTGTTTAGGCAGTTCTGTCATCATAATGATAAAAGCCACTGGCTATTGAGAACTCTGTGTTAAGTGTACTCTTTCCATATTTTTAGTTGTCTTTAATCCTCACAATCACCCTGCATGTTTGGTGGTATTATTCTCTTGATCTTGTTCAAAGGGTCTAACAGGTAGCAAGTGAAATATGGCAAAACTGGGATCAGAATTGAAGTCCATCTGGCTTCATCTAACTACTGTGCTGCAGTAAGAGAGAAAATACCACCAAATGGGTTGTGTATGGATTCAGTTAAATGTTACTACAATTATGGGTAAGCAGTATAAATAGACGTAGAATGTAGGGCGAACTTCTAAACGTTCTAATTTTCAGGACAGATACGGTTTTGTTGATAGCCAAATTGATAAAGAGTAATTTTAAAGTAAGATATTTTACTCCTCATTTTCTAAGTAAGTCAGTATACTCATACAGCTATCACAAAAACATGGAAAGTAAGAAATAACAAGTAGAGTTATTGAACATATGTAAAATTAATCCATCTTACATGTAAAATTTGCCAGGAAAAATGTTGAGAAAAATATTACTATACATTTTTTTTTGAGAACAGGGGAGTGAGGTATTCTCTAAATCATTACTGTTTGATACAAGTATAATGTGATCTATACATGTATAATATTGTTTCCTGGTAGCCATATTTAAAAAAAGAAAAAGTAACAGGTGTAAACATTTTTACAATAGTTAATTTAACCAAATTCAAATTATTATAATTTCTACATCAAATCAATGTAACATTATTAACAATATTTTTATCATAATCTTTGTACTACGATTTTGAAATTTGGTATTTTACAATTTAGAACATCTCAATTCAGAGGCTAAATTTTCATCTGAAATATATGATCTATATTTAGATTTGATAAAAGTTACACTTCAAAAAGTAGATTCACATTCCCAAGCTGTTCCAACCATATTTAAACATTTTTTCAATAGCTCAGTCGAGTATCAGTTTTTACATTTAAATTTACATTAATTAAAATTAAATATCCTTGTTTTCAGTGCCTATCAGCCAATGCAGCTAGTGGAATTAAAAGCCGATAAGACTCCATGATTCTTTGAATGTGTGTGGGGTGGGTAGGAATGATTTAAAGGAGAGGGAGGTGTCAAATGAAAGAAATACTTTGTTCAAGATACCAGTATGCTATTTCACTATCTTCGTGTCCTCTGCAAGCCATGAACTTCTCATGGGTAGAATGGTTACACTTGATAAGCACGTTCACACACACACATAGGCAGGCATCACATAACTTGTTGGTCAACAACAGACCACATACACAATGGTGGTCCTATGAGGTTATAACACTGTGTTTTTACTGTACTTTTTCTGTGTTTAGATGTGTTTAGTTATACAGATACTTGTTACTGTGTTACAGTTGCCTACAGTATTTAGTACAGTAGCATGCTGTACAGGTTTGTACCCCAGGAGGAATAGGCTACACCATCTAGGTAGGTGTGTAGTAGGTTGTTTCGTCTAGGTTTGTGTAAGTGCATGCAGGATATTCTCACCACAATGCAGTCGCCTAGTCACGCATTTCTTAGAACCTGTCCCTGCCATTAAGCACTGCGTAGCTGTGTCTGTCTGTCTGTCTGTCTATTTACCTATGTCTGTCTGTCTATGTATCTATCTGTTATATCTACACAGGGTTGGTATATTTTAATGTGGTATTAAATATTCTAAATATTTCTTTGGGTCCTCTTTTTACTCGGCTTAATACAGTATATTTTTTGTTGCTTCTGACACTTTTTAAGGTGGTGCCCATTTGTAGCTTGATTTTATTTTTCTTCATATCTAATGTTAAGATTTTACTCAGTTTTAAATTATATATTCACAGTATATCTCTGTTATATGCCTATCCTTGGTTTTAACCTCTCTAAGATTTTTGTAATGGCTCTGATGTAACATGGTTTATTAAACCATTCTAAATACAGTGCTGAACCATCCCTAGAATTTAGATTCCTGTTTATGTAAAATAAACCTTGACCATATAATCTATACTTTGCTTACATTCTAATATAGAAACAAAAATCAATGATATCTTCTAATTTTCTCACTCTGAGAATAAATATTCAAATGTCCTAAGTGTGTGGAGTCCATTGAATCATATTCTTGACATTTCATGGAAATAAATGTTTTTTAAATTGTCAATACCAGGTTTATTCCTTCATTTCCAGTTGTTATTATTATTCATCTGTAACATTTCTTGATATATTACAGGAGAAAAACCTTTCAAGTGCGATGAGTGTAACTTTGCCTCCACAACTCAGTCCCATTTGACTCGGCATAAACGTGTCCACACTGGAGAAAAGCCCTACAGATGCCCCTGGTGTGACTACAGGTAATGACTCATCACTGAGCAGTCAAATCAGGTGGGCCGCCATGATGGATTAAAAGCCCGTTAAATCCCAATTAGAAGTGTAGTTTTTCTAATCACCATGAGTTCATATATTCGGTTGGGAGCTAATTACCTAATTTTAGTGACTTTTAAAAATAAACTTTTTTAAAGTGGTTTCAGGTTCACAATAAAATTGAGAGGATGGTAGAGAAATGAGTCGTGTATCCCCTACCCCACACGTGTAGAGCCTCTTTCGTTATCAACATTCCCCACCAGGTGGTCTATGTGTTACAGTTGATGAACCTACATTGACATGATTCTCACCCAGAGTCTATACTTTCATTTAGGATTCGCTGTGGACGGTGAACATTCTGTGGGTTTTGACAAATTTATGACATGTATCTGCCATTATAATATCATGCATAATTTAGTTACTGTTTAAAAAACATAACATTCTTTTCCATTTTCTATAATCTTAACATTTAGATTTTATACTTTTATCTTACAACTGCTTTTCCAGTGATTTTATTGCATTTCTCAAAGTAAGGAAACCATTTTAATTAATCAGTTGTTCAACCCATTTATGGTATCTTGTCTAGAGTATAGCACTCATTTATGGCAATGAAGATGATACAAGAAAGGTTTCCTGCCTTTAAGGATATAGCATAAAAAGTGACTCAGTGTTTATAAGTAATTATAATACAGATTTGAATGGGAAAAGAGAGAGGCCAGGGGAGTACATAAAGGATTATGTTGAGCCCAGGTGAAGTCCTCACAGAGGAGAGAACATCTCAGCCGTGGCGTAAAAAATGGTCCAGTTATTTCCAGGACCCAATCCGTGTGTGTTCGGAAAGGATGAGGAGGGGATGACACCGTGTAGAATGTTAGTGCTGAAAGCATCTTGGGAGGTCATGGATGTTCAGTGCACTCACTTGCATCCGCAGTGGCTGAGTGATGTCTGCCAGGTAGCAGAGTTACCTAGTGGCGGCAGCGAAGCCTTCGTGCAGAAGAGTGTGAGATAGACTCAGGCGAGGCTAAATCATCCTCTCAAGTACATGATGAGGTATGTGTAGAGAGGCGTAGTGGAAGATCAGGTGGAGCACAGAGCTTGCAGCCAGGTCACATTGTGCCTGAAGCCTGCAAGAGTGAGATTGGACCCCATGTGATGGTCTGTGGGACCCCACATAGTTTGCAGGCAGCTGAATGACATCTGTTTTAAGAAGCCTGATCTCAAGGGTGAGAGCCTTCCTTATCCTGGAGCTGAAGATCTCCACTGCGCTCGACCCACATGATGGCGTGAAATTGAGGGTGTGTCTTCAAATGCAGCCCACTTTTGTTGAATATTATGTATGTTAAGCCTGAAACCTTTAAAAAGTTAGGTTTTTGTATTCCTGTGGATCTAGCCTACGCGTTTAGCAAATATATTGCCATAATCTCCATTATCAGCTACATTATTGCATTAAGTTTTATGTGAAAGGTCATCATATAGTACAGAGATATTACAGATATATTTCATTCATTAATTATTCATTCATTTAACATTTTATGAGTTCTGTCTTCGCTTAACACTGGATTGGTGTTTCTTGGAAATTTGGTAAAATGGTGATCTAATTAGAGGTAGACATAGAAATTCTATGGTGCTCATAATATGGGTTCTTTAAAAAACAAACATTATTAAATGTTCTTTTTCCTTATTGAAGAGATCATGCAGTAGTTGGAGTTCTTGTAAAACACAGAAAAGCCATTAGAAAATTACAAGAATTTCCTTTAATTTTCACCCTTACCTCTTAGGATTATACCCATTCAGTTTTTACTCTATGCATAAGGTTTTTATTACTGTTGTTGGCGGGGGATTTTTTTGTTTCAGTATATATTTTATTTTTTATACTTAAAAAATTCTAAATACCTTTCCATGTCAATAATTATTCTCCTATATAACTACTTTGTAGTCTTCAAACTTTTATTTTTAAGTAGCAGGATTCTGATTTCAAACAAGATTATGTATAAAATTCCACAAATAAAACAGAGAAAAGTGTTATCTACCCACTTATAAGTAGATTTAATCATTATAATCTATATTTACTTATTGTAACATTAAAAATAGCACAAGACTGTTTTGACAAGCCACAAGTTTTTAAATAGGAGGAGTTGTTGATAACAATTGCCAATTAGCCGCAGCATCCAGTTTCTGTCTGCGTTTGGTATGAGCACAGCACAAGGGTGTCATGAGGAGTGCAAGCCATGTGGAGAACCTGGGCTCAGCACTCCTTAGCTGTGGGACCGCGGTCAAACTATCGAGTGAAATGCCACTTTCTGTTTTGTAAATTGTGGGTTCTTAGTGGACCAACCTCATAGGATTATGGTAAATATTAGGTGAGAAGCACTTTGAAGTCACCTAGAGAGAGTCGGCCACGTCAGTCGCTTGATGAGCGTCCGCCCTTGTTTTCACTGTCATCTCAGGTGAATGTTTCATCAGGGTTTCAGGTTTCCCCTCAACTTTCCATCTCAGGAGACTGCTCAACAAGTGAATGCAGGAGTGTCCATGTCCTGAAGGGCTTCAGTGTGTTAAAACGTTGTTTAGAATACCTGCCAATATGCTTTTCTTAAAAAACAGTTTTTGAAGTAGTTAAAAATTTATTAAATCCAAAAATCAATTTTTGGATAATTGCTGAGAATACAGCTTCAAAATGCCTAGTTTTTAAACCACTGTTTTGAAATGTAATTTTAATCTGTGCATGGCCCCAAGTTACATTGATGCACAATAATGAATTTATTAAGGCTTTAGACACATAGGCCGTTTTCAGGCTTTTACCCTGAAAATGCTCATGCCTAAGTCTGTGCATGTTCCAGATTTTTTAAAATGGCATTTCTAGAAGCACGATTTAAGGCTTTTGATAGTATGACTGGAAAGGTTGTGATTTTTTTTCCTCTGATCAGTACTGTGCTTTGGTAGATTCATTTATGCATACAAGTATTTCACAGTATTTCAGGTTTTCTTGGTTTGAAAATGTATTATACGTTTTACTAAGGTTGAGATCATATTACTCGTCCGTTATTCAAGTTATCTCCCTGAAATAGCCTCACTTCTGTTTAGGACCGCATTTGAGCCAGCTGGATCCCATCCATGTTATACCTCTGTCAGGTACTACATTTAAGAGGATGGTGTTTTCTAACTATATTGTTACTGTTCTATAAATAAAAGACTTATGACATTGAAATCCAGTGATAGCTACCAGATTTCCCTTTGAAATGCTTAATGTGCATTATAAAGGAGTAATTTTTAATCTTTATTTAAAACTTCGGAATAATTTGATTATTAATGAAAGTAAATGGTTTGAACACTTTCTGTTCCTGGGACAGCTTCACCATTCTGTGTACCTATGAATAGGCTTTCTTTTACTACTGAACAAAAGGCAAGTTCACCTTGACCGGGAGTATAAAAAATTTGCAAAAGTTTGAATACTTCTGAAGTGAGAGACTTCGAATGAAATATGGTTCGAACAGATATCTTTACTTTCTTGTTGATGTGATGAAAAAAAGATTTAAAAATGAGCAGATAGTTAAGTTTCTAAGGATTGTTTTTGTTGCGTACGATAGTAGGAACAGGATCCCATATCTGCCTCACATAAATGTATTTGTTCACAGCATAAATGAATTTGAATATGTATTATTTTCATAGATTTAATAAGTCTTTAAGATGATCACATATTTCCTAAGAAGAAAATTGTTTATTTTCATATTTATCTCACTGGTTTATTTTCATAATATTTTACTGTTCAAAATATTTAACTTCTAGTTTTATGTTTTTATTTGTATAATATCAATAGATAAAAATTATTCCTGTGGAGTATTCCTATATTTGCCATTATTAACACTTAATCTGCAGGCAGCTTACCATCATTAGAAACTGAAATATTATTTAAGTTTCATTTGAAAATGTATTTCTCATTTTATAAATTGAACATTAGTGGAGAAATACTAGTAGTTATAATTATTCATGAAAAATACAAATATAGATTTGTTTACAAAATAACTTTATAATTGGTCTTTTGAACCTGAGGCTATTTTTCAAGTTTGCATTATTAATTTAGGCAATGACATCTCATTCTATTTAAATGTAAACGTGTACCTCCTTCATTAGCTTTTACTGTCTAAAATATCCAAAAGTCTAATCCATTACAAATCAGTATATTCAATCATTACTCCAAAACTTTTTTGCCATTAGTTACTATTCGTTATAAATTCAAAGCACAAATTGGATTCATAGAACACTGGTCTAGAATATTATTTCTGTAGCAAATTCTTTAGATTTGTTTCTGCATTAAAATGAAAAAAAATAACATTTTTCTATGTTTTTATTTTTCTTTGTTACATGTCACCTCTGTATTAATGAGAATGAAATAGAAAAAAAATTAGTGTGTTATAGTAAGTAAACGTTGGAATAGCTTAAAATTCCTACTTTCCAAAACATAGGGTTTTTTAATATTGAACTACATTGTGTTTCACTCATCACATTGGCTTCCACATCAGAGTGGATGTGTTTCACTTCAGTGGCCTCAACTGGGCTTTTGTTTATGTGAAACTTATTTCTTCCATTTCTTCTCTATGATTTATAGGGGATATATAATAAATGCATATTAAACAGTAAAGCACTGATAAGTCATGAAAAGTAACACAGAAATACTACCTGTAGTATAAAAATATTAAGGATAACCCTACATTGCACTTTAAATGTTAATTTAGTAAATTGCAGAAAACTGAAATGGCAAGCCAGACTCTGACAGTTTTATCATCTGCATATTGTGTCTCTATTATTGAAATTGGGATAGCATCAGTGTTCCTTCAGACTAGTTTTGGCCAGAGTTTTCCTTAACTGTGTCACTTCCTTAGTACTTCTAACCTTACATACCCTTTTTAATTTTTTTTTAACTATCTACATCTTTCTCTATTTTTCTTTTTTATTCATTACTTGACATCATAACCCTGAGTAGAAAGTCTGTATCTCGTGGAGCAGAAGAATAGAATCTGCAGTCCCTGCCTCATATTGAAGATTTACCTCGTCATTTTGCTAAATTTGTTGGAAATACACTTTGGGTATTTTTCCCCCTACTTATGGCCGATATAGCTCTTAACCAGTGTTAATGACTTCTACAAAGTACTTTTTCATCTTAAGAGGTTTTTTTTTTTTCTTTTTTTGGTGAGGGGAAGTCAAAAGATATTTCAAGTAATATTGTAACTCAGATAGTGATGCTCAACTAGAAGTGTGCTTACATTTTGTAATAGTCTCCAGTGTCTCTTTGATTTCACATCTAAACATTTTGTTGAGTATTTCTAATCAAATTTCTCAAGTTCTTACATGTGTGACTGGCACAGGGCAAATTTGCTGTTCTTTACCACCATTTGATATATGTATCGACATCCTTGAAAATTTTTGCCAAACATACTTTTAATTTAATAGAATTTTGTCTGAACTTTGCATATTGCTGGAAGCATTTTTAAGGAAGTTTTAAGATGCAATGACAAAAAAAATTGTATTTATAATTTTCATTTCTCCTGAAAGTTGAGTTTAATTTTTTAAACATATATTTATCTAAAATATCTCAGTTATAAAACATGTTTTTCAGGTCATAGATAACAGTATACATTTCTATACAGTTTTCTTGTATAAACACTTTATGTTGATAATGCATAGCTAAGTAATAAGGCAAGCCTTCTTAGATACTGTGGCATTAAGAATTCAGTATACAATGGGATTCATTGTTCTGTTCTGCCACTTGTTTCAGCAGCCTCCTGAGTTAGGGCGACTCACTCCACAGGGAATAATTTTCTTCTTTTGGATAATCTCTTCAGAGACTTTCAGTTTTCCTTTTGCTTCCTGTGCAGGCTCATAGGCTGTACCACAAGAAGCAGTGGATAGAACAAATGTGGTTTTGCCCCTGAATACAGACAATGAGAAAAAATAGATCTTGATCTCTGTAGCAGTATATTGTATTTGCTGAGAGAAGTGAAATTATATATACCAAAATGAACAGTACACAATCTTCCAGAGAATCAGAGGTTTCATTTATTTCTTTTGGGTGATTTTGAAGTTCTTAAAGAATAAAGGGATCCCATAAAAATAATCAAAATGAAAATGTCTAGAATTAATATTAGATATAATTGAGATTTGAAGCAGTTTGATCAATGCCACAAACCTGGTTTGATCAGAACAGACTTTAAATCAAAACTATTTTTGTCATTTAAAGTACCAGTCAACACGTTTCCATTATGTCATTTACCTCAAGTCTATATGTCTTTATATTTTACTCTATTGTAACTGCCAATCTAGTCGATGGAATAAAAATACAAATGTCCCAGGCTGAAAGATTACTTTGAAAGCCTAAAATTCCAGTTACTTTCCAAACTTTTCTTAGGCTAATAATGATTCCAAGGCCTTCTTCAAATTGTGATGAATTTCTGGAAGACAAATGTGTCCCCTGAACTGTCTGTGCAGTGCTTGCTCCTGGTCAGATCGCCCCTTCCTGCTTGTCACCTGCACACAGTTCAGCCAGCCACAGGTAGATGTCAGTGTGGTGGCTGGTTTGCGAAACTGTTTTGTCCTGGCAAGCATAAAGATTGCTTTGAAAGGTTCTCCTAGCTTGTGTCATGATGACACTTTATACCGGTGTACTCCCTTTCACGTGGAGTAGAAGTTCCTGGCAAGTTTAGGTGGGATTTTTTTGAGGGGTTCCCTAACAAAATAAAATGAATGTCCTCTTAATTGTATCATCTGTTCAGGTGTTCTATAATGAAGTGTGAATGTTGTACTATGTGTTAATCTATTCTTCCTTTTTTTCTGACAATTCTTTGCAGCAGAACTTGAGTTCTTCCTGAATGAAATATTTCCTAGTTTTCTCTGCCCATTTCATTAGTGAATTTTATCTCATCAGTTCTAATTTTTTATTTGGTTTTGTATTTTGTATAATGTTTTTTATCTAGTGTTACTTTCATATTCAGCTTGCTTTATTCATAATTTTCTTTCTTGCCCTCTAACACACAAGTACATAGGCTTTTTAAAATTTTTGTTTTCAGCCTAAGAGGCTCTGTGCTGATATAGCACAAGCATTTACACTAGGTCTTTAGTTAACATTGTTAAATTTTATCTTAAAAAACAAAACAACCTTGTTTAAGTAAAAGATCTTACAAACTTGAAAACAAATAGATTCCATAGCATTAAAAATTATAAATTGGTTCACATGTCTTTAAAAGAAAAAGAATCAGAGATCCTACTTTTTGTTGATCAGTTACAAATAAGTTGCTTTGTTTGTTGATGTAGCTTAAATAGGCATTGGGATCACAGATTAATTAGAAGAGTCATTTTGAACACAAAGTGACCATGCATTCCGTCTGCTATCTCTTTAAGTAGAATCCAGATAAACATGTTTATTAAACCTGCTGTTGTTGAATCGCAAATCCAGTCATTATAAAAGGACCAAAGCTATCTTTGGGGATGGTCTTTCTACAAGGAATTACTATGGACAGTCCCTTGGGTAGTAGTTAGATATATCTGTATATATTGTGGAAGAAAGAAAGGCCTTAGAGATGAAAAAAATAGAAAATTTTTTTTTGGGCAATAGTCTCTTGCATAATAAGTTATTCCTTAGACACTAGAGCTATTATCAAACAACAAAACACTTTACTATGTAACTATCTATATCTTCCAGCAATAGAAGCTCATACAGTGTAGCTTATTAGGAAAACTCTCTAATCTCCAGGAGGAGCTGACAGAAGTCACCTATGCATCCCTACAGTGTGGGGTTGGATGTAGACTCAGCTGTGGATCTGAGAGAAAATAACCCAATTTTTGCAAGTACTATTGGTGGAAAATAGCAACGACAGAATAACTTTGAAGTATATAAAAGTTTGTACTTTATGTACAAATCAGTTTTCACTAATTTGGTCAGAGTGCTAAGATACTAGTTATTTCATTTTATTTTCAGCTTCTTTGTTTCCACATATTCTGAAATATTGCCTGTCTGGAGCCTGTAGAAAAAATGTGAAAGACAGAAAGACAAACTTTGAACATTTGGAAAATGGTGATGCCGTCGTTTTTATGAAGCAGAGGAAGACAGAGCAGCTTATGTATCAGCGTGTCTGACTCATTCCACTCCCTCTAGGCATAAGATGCTGCCTTCTGTGTGGTAGCATTTATTGTGTATATTTTGGCTCATCCCTAAGAATTTCTTTAAGACAATATTATATCTTTTATAAATTTTACATCTTTGTCTTCTTAATTAGGGAATGTAGCACAAATTTTTTGTTGGATTTTTTTTCCTATTCATATTATTTTCGTACTTAACTACATTTATTAGAAGTTCTAGAAAAAGAACTACTTCTGAGGTTTTGTTTTGTTTTGGTAAAACAATGTTGCACTGTTGCCAGCTGCAGAACTGCAAGTGAGCAATAATTCAAATAAATTAGAATTCCTTATTCAATAACGCAGTGTGTAACCTGATACTTTTCTCTGTGGAGAATTTTAACCTAATATTAATCTTTCCTCTTTAAACTTTAATCTCTTATTTTTAATTATTATGGCCTGAATCTTTGTAAACAACCTAGTCCTCATTTTGTATCTTTAATATTAGCTAGGGCACCATTTGGAGATCTCTGTGTAGGTCTTGAGTGTATGTTGATTAACTTGACATGGTATTTTCTTTCAGTACATTTTGTTTCTTCATCTTAAATTACAACTTTTAACACATACATGAAATGTCATAAAACAAGACTTTTTTCCATTGAGAGAAAACATAAATTTCAAATTTTGTGCTTAAATATGGAAATTAATATTTTGGATTGAAGTGTCTGGGGGGAAAAGTGGTTGACATTTGAATTTCATAAATTTGTTCCAATCTAAAAACCTCAGATATCTTTGAGTTAAAAGTTTAAGACTCTGTTCCACTCTGCACTCCCAAATTATACTTTTCCTTTGATTTCAAGTTCTCTTTTTCACTCGGACAAGCCTGGATTGTAGGTCACATGAGATTCTGTGGTAAAAGACAGCAGGAAGTCTGTGTGGGTTTCTCTCCACTGTCCATGCTGGATGATCTGTTTCCCTCCAAAAGCAGTAGGGAGCCAGTGGAGGATGTTGAGCAGGAAAATGACATAATCACACTTAACTTTGCAAAATCACTGGTGCAGTACAAATAATGAGTCAGAGAGGGATCCAACAGGAGACAGGAGACCATTTAAAAGACAATTGCAAAGGTACACGCAGAAAATCACCTTAAACTAATGCTGTGATGGAAGGGCAGAGAGTGGCAGGTGATGGGAAGGTGAACGAATGGATCTGTGGGCCCAGTGAATGGACTGAGGGGAGGGTGACAGAGAGCTGCACGCCATCCTTCGGGTGTGCTGGTCAGGGCTGCTGGGTGAGTGACCGTGCCAGTCAGGGAGGTCCTCTCTCCTGGAGGAGGATGTCCTTTAGGAAAAGGATGGTCTGGGATGAGCTGCTTATGAGATGCCCATGTGATGTCCAAATGAAACCAGGTCAATAGGTGTATAGTTCCATACTAATCTATGTGGAACTTGATGTGATTGATGTTTTCCTTGGAAAATGTGAAAAAGTGAAACAAGAAGAGAGGCAAATAGCCTGTATGGGAGACAGAGAAGCAGGCTCACAGACAGGGGAGGGACCTCCAGGAAAGAGAGGTGTCATACACCAAGCAAAGAGTGGGCGGCGTGCCAGGTGTTGATGAAATAGGAGAGTGCAGCCCGCCAGCCACAGCCACTGGGTCTCAGATTCTCTTGGGAAGACCCGTTTTAGTACAGTAGTGAGAACAGAAAACAGGTAAGTGGAGAGAAGTGCAGAAATGATAAGCTTGCCTTTTGCCTGGTGTTCACAGAAACTTTGCCTTGAGGCGGCTCTGTGAAAACACTGGGCCAGAGGGAAAGACAGAGGGTGGCAGCTGAAGGCAGGTAGACGGATGCGTGCTGTCTTTGTGTTGGCATTCATTTGTTTGCGTAAAATCACTTTCTGAAATGTACTTTAATGTTTATGTGCCAAATGTTTAAATGTCCATTGAAACCGTGAGGCTGAAAACTGCATTATTCGTGATGGCTAGTACAGTGTATACGTGATTAGGGTTGGTGAAGCAGGGGCACTGCTAATAGTTAGATCCTCTGAGGACTTCTCAGAACACTCCCGAGTTGAGCCAGTGCCTCACTATTGTCCTGTGGGTCGTCTCTCTGCACATGGAGAACTGTGGCTTCAGGCCTTCCCTGTCATTTCATGTGGCTGCGATAAGAACTTCCCACCTTTTGGGGGTACTGCATGGCACCACATTTTATCTTCACTGTGGTCGGAGTTTTGAGTCAAGAAAACAGAAGCGATGTCATGGTATATTCTGTCTCCTCCCTACCTATACACCCCAAAAGGTGGGGTTTTATTTGCCACATGTGGAGCGTTCTTACAGAAGCTTGTGTTGACTGTGTTTCACTAATTTAACAAGCTGCTTGCTGCTAGCTAACAGTTTAGTGTAATCATGTAACAAACACTTGCTTTCAATATAGTCTTTTAAACTGCGACATCTTTTCTGTGACTAATTTTAAACAATTTTTGCTAATGTCTCAGGTTTTTCTAAGATCAGTAAGTCTAACAGGACCCTCTAATGACATCATAAGCCAGTTGAAGAGCACCCAGTCATTTCTCTTGATGACACCTGACTCCTGCACGTATTTACAGCCGTTCAATTTGTTTTCACCTATCTTTTGTTCAGCTTATTCCAAGTAGTTATGAACATCATGTTACATTTTACCAAGCATGAACTAAATTATATATTTTCTGTGTTCTTATGTGCTAAAATTTCTATTGAAGACTGTTTTAAATTGTTCCCTACCTTCTTCAAATTGCCGGTTTTTTTCTAGAAATATGTAATTCTCTTGGAGTGTGTCCTACGAGAGGAATGTGATAATAAGGATCCTGGCGGTGAAGTTAGTGTGTGTATAATGTGAACAGGGAAGGCAAACATATCACCCTGTAGGCTGAGATAGGGAACGTGATTTGTTTCCATGACTTAGGGTGCATTATAACTGCTGAGTGTTGGTGTCAGTTGTATTAAACCACTAAAAAGTGGAAATAAGTCATATATATGGCCCCACCGGTTGATGGATGCTATTTTTTGCGTTCACTAGCATTTTGTATGGGTTTCCTTTGATTCTGTTGGAATTGTTGCTGCTTCGTTTCATTATGAATTATGATTACCACAAGATTGTTATGGCTGCATCTCCATTTTAGGTTTTAGCTTGTTTTTCAACCTTAAAAACAGTGATGTATTTCCCTTTGCAAATTGAGATAGTTCTGTTTTGTACATATTCTCTCAAACTTTTGGCACCATTTCTGCAAGTACAAATAAAGATGGTAGAAATAATCACCACAGTGCTCCTAAAGTAGGTTACTTCTAGCATCGGTGACAATGTTTTGTTACATTATGAGGAAGCTTCCCTGTACTAGGCTAGCATAGTATTTCTAAGAAAAAGAGAACCAGAAGACACAGAGTGGGAGTGGCTGTGATGAGCAAGTGTGTCATCTGGAACCATCCTCCCAGGCCCAAGGGCCCGTGTGCCATGCCTAAGAAATATATGGACAATATCAGCATATATATATTTTTAATTGCTTCCTTCCAATTCATGACTTGTGTGTGGCCTTTGAACAATGATGTTATTAATGCAATGATTATGCAATCCAGCTCTTCCTGAGCTGTGTGTATGCACTTGCTTTAACTACACATGCACACATATATTATTACCTTCCTTGCATCTCTTTTTAACAAAACAATCTTTTAAAACACTGTATGTTGTTCTGTAAAAAAGAGTCAACACAAGGTTTCAGTTTTATTTTTAAGGTTTTTTTTTTTTTAGTTTAAAAGTGGAATATGTGTTTTCCTTAGCTGTAAAAGCACAATCAAAGCGACATGATAAGTGAGTCCGTGTTGTAAAAGTAAAACTAATTTTGCCTTCACTCACATGAGCCATAGAAGGAGGAAGCTTTATTGTCCCTGGGAAGGTGATAAGGCAGAGTAATTGTATATTATACTGTCCTGGAACATCTGCCTGAAGACTGTTGGAGCAATTCATCTATCATGGACGATACAGCATGTTTTGTCTTTTTGCTTTAACCCGTCCCCACTGCTGGCCTGCGTGGAGGTTTTGATAGGGACCGTGCCTGGGCCGGGGCTCACATTAATCAGTCCCCTTGTTCAACACTCCAGCTGACATAATTACAACCTGCGCACAGCAGTTATTCAAGTCGAGTCCTTGTCACTCGTGGTGCGAAACTACACAGCTCAGATCCCGGAGGAGATTGCCTTATCACACAGAACAAGGGCTCGCAGGAGTCGAAGAGAATAGAAATGGGAAAATGTCTTCCGGGAGTACTATATATTCCTTTAAAATAAGACGTTTGAGAGACTTACAAGGGACAAAGGGAAGCATTGTGTGCAGGGACTGAAATGAACCAGTTATTATTTTTAAATGGGTTACATGGAGCATTTTTGTAAAAATGGACATAGATTATTACATAAATTCAGTGGTCCCTCATCGTCAGTGACTCTTCTCTATTACTTTTTCTTCAAAGGTGATCACAGAACTTTGGAATTATAAAAGGTTTACATTCTCTTTGCACGACTTAATAAAATTAATAAAGTATGCATTTTTCGATTAATACTCAGCAACTGTAGACTTAGGGAGCTCTGTACAGCATAGAGTTAAAGCTAGAAAACATTTTTTTGAAAGACTTTTCAAAGATAAGTAAGTTCACTCTTGCCTATGGCAACGTAGTATAAATATTGGACTGACAAGAGCTCCCAAAAAATGAACTCTCTTATCATATGTTGCACCTTCCCCCTCTACCTCTCCATGGGATGGATCACCCACCAGTGCCTGCAGTATGCCAGGTGTGGAGGATGGAATCTTTCAGACACTTACATAGTGTTTAAATTTTATGGCTGCCCTTGCCCCACCTCTAATACCCTAGGTGAGTCTAAGAGCTTGTGGTGACTTATGTGACCAGGCCTGCCAGACTGCCCACTAAACTGTGCTCCTATACATGAATGCCAAAAGTTGTTGTTTTAAATCTAGTCTTTTTCCCTTAGACATTATTAGATTGTCCCAAGTGAAGCCAGCTTCCGGCTTGAACTCTCAGAAATATTGTGAAACATGATGCTGCTTCAGTAAAAATGTTACGTACATCACCTTAAATTTGAAAAGCTTTCAACTAGAAAAATACGGTAAATTATTCATATATGCACACATATATATGTAAATACTTAAATTGCTTGATTTGTCAAGTAATATTTTTTTCTAGACAACGTATTTCAAGCCAAAGTTGTATGTATTATTTTATAGAGTTCATGTCCTTTTTGGGAATATATTTCTGTCTACCATTTTTACTGTACCTAACCACTCTAAAAAAATGATGGCTTGGATTTTTGGAGGTTGGTTAGGCTCCCATTTTTCTGTTGTATTTCCTTAAAGATCTTTTTTTTCCTCAGAAGTTTTTCATCCATCTGCCTTTTCTGGTTTTGCAGCATCTCACTTTGCTACACCTAGTGAGTTAACAGAAGTGGAAAGAATAAAACTTTTCCTATGAGGGAATAAATATGTAGCGATGAAGAGTTCGGGGGTCTATATTTATTTCAGAGTGGCAAGATAAAAATGAGAAGAATTTCTACTCTGCCATCCAGGCAGGAGATTAGTGAAAGGAAGTGATTCAATATGTAAGGCTAATTCTGCATTTTTATTTTCAGATTCTGAGCATCAAGCAATATTGAATAGATTGAAAATACTGCTTGATGCTCAGAATATCAACTTTGAAAAAATGTTTTGGTAGTCACATATGTTTGGGAGATACTCTCCATATTGTATCCCCTATCCAGTCCCTTCACACTCACAGTCATCAGCATATTAAAGACTCGGAGAATCCCTTTAGTCAGGACACACCTCTAGTTTTGTGTACTGATATATGCCAGACTTCTGTGGCCATGAAGGCCCTTTCCCCAAAGCCCTAGGAGTATCCTGCTGGATTATTTCTATTTCATTGAAGGGGAGGCAACCACTAAAGTCTGCTGCATGTTTTTAGCTCAGAGACTTTAGCATGTTCGTTCTTCATCTGCTCCCATTGTAAGGCATATAATAATTGAGTAAACTTACTAAGTTTTATTTTACTTCTATGAGCATTTAGCGTGGTGAGGATATCAGAGGAAAATCTTCCAGTTGCTCTGTGTTTCTCACGCACTTTCTCTTCTCCTTCTTTATACCAGCAATGTATCAGTATATGATGATATGAAACAGTTAAGGAAATGTATTATTTTTTCTCTTTGGGGCTAAAGAAAAAGAATCAGGGAGAAATCCAGGTTCTCCAGGGCTTGCCCTTGCTGGAAGCCCTGCCCTCCTTCCTGTGATGTGGGTGACAGTCCAGCTTAGCCTTGTGTTTGAATCACTGCACAAACTCAAAGTCAGTGGGACTCTTCCTGAAATGCTAAATTCTGAAGAACTCATTTGGGTTTCTGAATGAAAAAGTTCAGTGTCACTTCCTACCATTTCTTCCTTGTGATGTTCATTATTTTTCTATGGAGTGGAGGGTAGAAAGGAAGATGTTAAAGTCGGTGCCGCTTCTTATTGGTTGTAGATAGTATGATTGGAGATTTAAGTGGACAGGAATGTGGGAAACATGAAAGGTGAACAAAGCATGGGGAGTTATTCACAGTCCTGAAACAGAAGGAGCAAGTGTAACTCTGGGTGAAAATCTCATATGATAAATATATCTGAAGCAGTGGCATATCAATATGTAAGTTTACTGTTAACATAATTTGAAATCAGTGGAAGTTAGAAAAGCATTTGGAATAATGTGGAAAGCAAGACAATTTCAGGCCATTAGCAGTTGAAGAGTCACTGAAGGGCAGACGCAGCAGTCCTCTAAGTGGACACGGTGGGTTTTCAACCTTTTCTAAATGTTCACGTTTTCTTTTATGCAGTACAGCACAGCTTTTTGTTACTGCTCTTAACATACACAACTCTTTTGTCTTGTAAAATCATATCCTCGTTGAGGGCATGACCACAGTGATTTGTTTTTAGGCTTGTTTTTATGTAGTACCTACTAAATATGTTTAAAAAATTCATTTTGAAAGTAAAAAGTCAACACATAGGAAGGTAGACTTCTCTTGTAACCTATATACTTTCCATATAAACCGAAGCAGTAATCAGGTTTAAATTATTTGTCTTCTGAAGTGCCTATGATTGGGTCTGAAAGGCTGGCCTTGCTCCCAGACGTTTAGAAAAGCAGCTAGATGTGCACAGGTTTCCTGCGGGTGACAGAGAGGCCAGCGCAGCGCCTGCTGTTCAGGAGCGTCTCAGAGGCACACGAGAGCCGGTTGGCTGCTCGCGCAGAGAGCGCATGTGGACACCTGGACAGCCGCGTGACTTGGAAGCATGGGAGTTTATCCTCTCAAGGGTGGTGGATGAGACCAAGAATGCGTCAGTGTTCATCCACTTCTGTGCTAACTTACAAGTTTCTTTCTCTTATGAGGCACTGTGCTGTTTTAGAATCACTTTTTATCGCATAATAAACATGAACAGAAATATAACTGAGAAATGGAGAGAAAAATTCAATGTGCATCAATTTGTCCTAAGAACTAGTTTCAAAGAATTTAGATTTATGAAAAGCAAAAAGTAATGAGTAAATGATCTAATGGAAATTATCCCATTCAATAAATAGCTACCAGTTATAATAAAGGAAAATAAAATTCATAAGATTTAGAGCAAGGTGATCCAGAAACTCTCCAACTAAAATTTCCTCTTGCTGAAAATGTCCAAAGGATTGTATTTTGTGATTACCTCAGATTGCTGTAAACTCTTTTTATCTGAATAAAAAAAGAGACTTTGGGTAATTCTGTATGTAGTGTAATAGTGTAATATGGTGCCATTATTTTTAAATATCTAGTTTACTTAAATTCTCCTGACATTTACCAGTTTTGTACGTTATTATTACTATTTGGAGTCAGAGTCTTGCCACCATACCTGCATTCCCAGCACTTCTCTCTTCCCGTTTTCCTGCAGTACCCCTTGTAGGCATTCCTGGTTTTTGTCCTGGAGGTGTCCTGAAGACAGCTTCTTGGTGTATAGGCTGCATCTGGTGTTTGTAAAGAATAAAGAAGTTAGCTCCATTCTCCACCACACCCTCTCCTCTCTTCCCTGTTTTGATTATAGTATTCCTTCTGGTTTCCTAGAGATTACAGCTTGAGTTTCCTCATTTAAACCTTTTGCTAAATTCATCAGATTGACTCCTCCCTGTGTAAACACGAGGATCCAGGCACGTAAGCACATCCACCTCTGCCCCAACTGTCAGCTGTGCTGCTCTGCTGTGGTTTGTCAGGTTTACATTCCTGGCAATGCTGTACAATCTGGGTGTTTTTCAAATAGATGTTTGGTCATATTTGCTTTATATGTAGAACACTTAAAGATATTTTTATGAATAGCCAAAATGATCCAAATACACTGAGCAAAACAAAAGTTTCCTTGGACTTGGAAATCCTTCAATAAAAATATCATCAGTAGTTTACTAGGCTTCCTTTGAATACACATTTAATACATTTACATCTCTATATGTATAAATGTATGTATTTTCCATGTATACATTTTATCTGTATATGTATGTGCATATATTTCATATATCTGTGGGTGTATATATGTGCACAGATACTCTGTGTATATATTTTATATGTGTATATATTTTATATGTGCTTGTATGTCTGTATGTGCATGCACACACTGTGTATATGTGAGTATTTTATGTGTGTATGTGTATATGTGCACACATACTGTATGTGTATACGTATATATTTTATAAGTGCCATAGATGTATATGTGTGTGCACACACACTGTATGTGTATATGCATATGTGTGCACACATACTTTATGTGTATATGTATAAATCTTATGTATACATATATGTGTATATGCACACACATACCGTATGTGTATATTTTTGAAAAGCTGAAAGGACCCATACCTACATGTATCTGGGACTTGATTTTTTTAACTTAATAATGTATCCTATTAGTCTTTCCATGTTCATAAGAGCTACCTTATTCTATTTAATGGCTTTTATACAACAAGTAAGGTTGAATGCCCAGATAGTACACACACCAAGCTTTCTTCCACAGGGTTTACTGAGAGAAACTCACAGAGGGAGTGCAGCAGCTGTCGCTCCTCTCCTCAGTTTATCTCAATAACCTGCCGCATTCTGGAGCAACACGCAAGGATTTTGTGGTGCTGGACATCAGACTCTGGGGAAGTGTCTGGCTCTTACGCTGTGGGACTTTTAAGCTTCACAACTGGAGAAGATCCAGCTCCTCCATGCCTCTGAGGGTGTGTTGGCAGGTGAGGTTGAGTGGTCCTGTGACCTGGCCTACCAGATCTCTGGCCTTGTTCTAACATCAGTAACCGTACATGGTCGGGGAAATGGCTTCTCTTTCCCCTGATCAGGCTGTGCTCTCCCACCATTCAGCCGGGATGTGGTTGATTTCCATGGAACTCTGTAGGAGAAGCTAACTCTTAGCTCTCAATGGTATAGAATTCCCTAGTATGGATGCACTGTACATTTACAACCCGTTTCTCTCTTCATGGACATTTAGTTTTCAAATTTTGCCTAGTGTTTAGCTGTTCTAAAATTGATTTAATGACTTGTGGATCATCTAGAAATTGAGCTTCTGAACTTTCAAGGGTGTGTGTATATTTTAAACTTGAAGGATACTATCAAATGTTTTTCAAAAGCTTTTGCTAACTTACACCATTACCAGAGGTATATCATTTTCCCTTACCATTACTTAATATGATCAAACTTATTAAATTTTGCCAATCTGTCACCTTAAGTTTTAATTCGCATTTACTTAGTTTTTAGAGACCTTGATCACTGTGTAATGATTACATAACTATCTGTATTTCTCCAATTATGAATTGCTTATTCATATTTTTTAGTTTCTGAGATTTTTATCTTTTAAAAAAATTAATCAATGGAACCCATTTTGGAATCCGTATTAATCACCAGTTTTTGTATATGTTGCATAGTTTTACTCCTTTTCTTTGCCCTACCTTTTAACTTTATTTATGATGCATTATGCTATATAGCAGTATTAACTTTCATGAGGCATATTTTCCTACACATTTTGGTAGCATTTGGACGTTGCTTTTTCTTTATGGGAACTCTTTCTAACTAAGATTATAAAAATATTTTTTCTATCATTTTTGTAATTTGGTTTCCTTATGTTAAAATTTTTTAATCCAAATGGTATTTATTTTTGTATGGTGTAGGACAATAAGTCACTTATTTTTTCCTATAAAATAAGCAGTTGAATGGACACCATTTATTATATAGCCCATCATTTCCTAATTGATGAAATGACATCTGTGTTTCTTATATACATGGATCTTTGTGCTGTCTGTTCTGTTCTAGTGGTGCATGTGGTCCAGCACTCCAAATGACATGCATCTATTTGCTAAACATCGTTGATAACATGTTCCCTTTTAGGCAGAGGAATTTGAGGTTCTTTATTCTTGTAGCTTTTAACCGATTTTAAATTTAAACAGCACAAATGTTCAGTAATCTAAAATTATCAGACTCTTTCCTTATGGGTCCTTTAGTGAGAACATAAGTTATAAAGGAGTATATATCTTAAGCTGTCTTACATAAATTGTGAAACAAGCTCCGAGTTTATATATTGGAGCACATTCTTCCAACCTACAGTGAGCTTTAAAGCAACATATATGGAGGCTTATATTCCCCTCTACTTTGAACATTTTTTGTCTTTTTTTTAGGATTTATTTTTGCCCAGAAAATTTATAAATCATAATTAATCCTGGTAAATAAATGTAATTAACTTCTTGAGTTTAATTTACATAAAGATTTTCTTCGGATTATTCTATATGCATTTTGGAATCATATTACAAAGATACAGTAGAAACCCCCTTTCAACCAAAGTTTTATATAAACGTATAATATTGTATAGAGTAATTCTTTTTGTGGATGTGAGTTTTTAAAGTATACTATAAACAGGCCAAAAAAAAAAGAAATTGCATACCTGCCTAATTAACTTTGCACACATGATACACACCTCACATGTGCTCATACATATACTGTAACTGTTTGGGAATCTATTTTTAGTCAGATGAATTGCTGTTGCTTTTCATGTATAATAGGAAAAGCGCCGATAATGACTCACATAGTTGAACTCATTTGTGTTTAATATAAAAACTAGTGGTAGGAAGAAAAAAAGAACAAGTACCTACCGTATTACCTGAACATACTTAATGTTATTTACCTTAATCCTCATGATGGCATTCTGAGGTACATGTTGTTCTACCATAGAGCAACTGAAAAAGAAAATGTTCTGTAGTCAAAAAATTTGAGAAGCAAAATGTTAAGCAAAACTAAGCGTATTTCTTTAAATAGAACTTTCAAAATTTTTATTTCAATTTAGATTGTGGTTTTTTTTGTAATTTTCATTTTCTGCTTAAGTACACATTGTGAGTTTCTAAGAGGAAAATGCAGTCTGCTGTATTGCCCCTACTTTCCTGAACACGGATCTCCTCACACTTGTACTTACGGTTTTTCTTAACATCTTTTAGCATCTTCAGAAATAATATTTTTTGGAGAAGGGTTTTATAAACCTTTATACAAATTTCATGGATTTTCTGTTCATTTTTGTTGTATTTATGATCTTTTGACTTGCAGTATTTTATAGTATTCGTGTAGTCAAGTCTATCTATGTTTGACTTTATGATTTCAGCTTTTATTATACTTAGTAGTGTATGTTTGAATAAATGGCAGAGTTTTTCCTTTCTAAAAAAGTATTTCCAGAAGAGGAATTTATGTATTTCTCTTGTTGTAAATAAACTAGAAAAATTGGAGTAAAAAGCAGTAGAGTGATTGGTTATAATGTGGAGTTCATGACTTACTCTTGGAGAACAAATGGAAACAACTGCCGTAGTGTTACATGATTGGGCACATGTAGCTGGAGACAGAATCTCTAGTGACAACATCATTTTTGGAGTCAAAATATGCTGTATCTCAAACTGAAGGAGGGACTGACAATATTGTACTCTAGAAAACTGTTAGGAGATCACAGAAATGACTGTAGTGATAGACACTTACGCATATGAAGAGTTTGAATAGTTTATAAACATGAGTTGTAAAAGCAGTAGTTCCAAAGTAATACGTTATTTTAAAATAATAGGTTAACTTAAATATGTATATATTCAAATCAACAAAACATATATACTATATATGTGGTTGCTTGCTTATATTTTATAGATTCAGGTGGACTCTCCCTCCAGCTCCCCACCCCACCCTCATTTTTTGACCCTTTTAGAAAAATTAAGGTTAATTTTATATTGAAAGTCATATTTTTAGGTTCATACTCTATTTAAGTATATATGACTTAACATTCACTTAAGTCTTTTTTTAGTTTCATAATTCTTTTTAAAGCAGTTATGTGTAATCTATCCAGAATTTATTGTGAAGCCTCTTTAACTTATCACGGAAGAATTTAACCCGCTATGTAGTGCCTTGCATTACCTAAACCATATTTTAGCCCACGAAATTAATCGCCACTTTCATTCTTAATACCACCCTCAGTTTCCCACATTTTTAATGATTAGAGTTTCATTAAGTATAATAATTTTCAAAAATGCAGTGCTTCACTTGCATTTGTCTTTCTTGTCTTTGGCTGTCTGTTTAGTCTCTTTTTCCCCCACTTTTAAATTAAACTTAATGAACGGGTGGGCTTTCCTGTGACACAGCCGCAACACTGCAGGTGTTCTCTGACTCCTTCCCGTATCCCTTTCCCACCTCCCGTCCCCCTGGGCAGAATCCCTGTTACCTAGTGTGATCCTCATAGACCTGGTGCTGTCCATACTCCTGTGTAGAATTGTAATATGTGTGTGTTACATGTATGTATAATTACTTTACACACACATCTATATATAAGTGACTTTCGTGGTGTGTATTATGAATGTGTATATGTACACATACCTCTAATTGTTTTTAGTACATACTGTTTTACATGTAGCTTTTCTCAATCTGCGGCAGACATCTTTCTCTGCCAATATGTCATATGTATGTTTCTATATGTGCATTTGTAAAGATAAGTACATTTAGAAAGTTACTGCTGCATCACATTCTGTGATATAGCCCATTCCCTCCCTATAGATGATTGTTAACAACTCTTACTGTAATAATGTTAACATGTTGCCTACTTATTTTATAGAGCCATTTAACCATCACTCTCAAAGAGTTCTCAAAAAAATCTTGTTAGAATTGTAATTGTGTTAACTGTATAGATTCCTTTAGCAGCAATTGATATATTTAACATTAAGCCAACCCATACAGATATGTGGTGTAAGTCTCTGTTTAGCAAACTCTCCCTTATTTTTTATTGATTTTTATACATGTGTCATAATTCAACTGTTTTGTGTTGTTGTTTTTTTAAAAGAAGTGTTTTTTGTATATTACATAAGGGGGTTTGAGTGCACACATCCACAAAAGAAACAATTGGCCACCGCACTCAATTCAATTTTCGGTTCTTTTAGCCTCCCCCTTCAGCTAAACTACTACTATTATTTTCAATGAATCTTTGTAAGATTTACTAAGTCATTTCTGAAGCCATCCATGGCACACACAAAAATACGCATTCTAAAATAGTGAGCGATCACTCCATGCTGTCAAGTGGTTCCCCCAAAATCACCTAGGAAATAGGAATTCTTTCTTTTTGGAGCAGCATGGAAAACATAGAGTAGTGAAGTGGGGAGATAAGCAAAATGGAAAGTGGGTTGCGGGAATGAGAATGCTCTTTGGGCGGTGGGTTGTAGGAGCTTTCTGTTGTCTAGAGTCTCTTTCCCATGCCTGACATCATAACAGACCTGATTGTTGCCAGTATTTCAAGACAGCCACTAATTTTACAAAAAAGCAAATTGGGGTAGTGAGGCCGATGCATGGATCTTCCTGGGGAAAATGGGAATCAGTGTTTGTTTAGAATCTCTGTGTGCTGGGCACTCTCCTGGGTACTTATCCTATAACATCTGTGCCAAGCTCTCTGCTGTTTGGTTTATCAGTTAGATAATATTATTAACACATATTAATAAATACATAGAAATTACCTGGGTATGTCATAGTGATATTAATTTATTATTGGCCCGGTTCTCTCTAGTACTGTAGTTAACTCTAGATTTTTGCCATACCAGCTGACAACCACTGTCCCGTGAGTGATTTTGTGTTGGTTCTGGGTGGGCAGTTGTGATCTGGGAGAAAAAGAGCCATGCAGAATGATGAGGTCTACCAGGCAGAAACGTCCTGCTACCTGGTTCATTGTGATGGAGTGGCAGGTGAATACACAGACAAGTATAATAGAATAGAAAGTCCAGAATTCACCTTACATAATTAAAATACTGACAAAGGTGGCATCTCAAGTCAGTGGGGAAAATCTGACTTTAACAAATGTTATTGAGAGAGCTGAGTAGCAGTCTGGATCCACATTTAACTTACTGTAGGTTGATTTTGAATCAAATCTAGTATTTAATGTGATATAACGCAACTCTACAGGTACTAGAACCAAATTTGGAACAGTTGTTTTATAGTCTCCAAATAAGGAAGCCATAGAACAACAGAGCAAAATTATCAACATTTGCTTTCACAACCTACCATAAGCAAAGTCAAAAGAAAAAAAATGAAACTGAAGAAAACAAGTCTGCAACTTCTGTCCTAAAGAGCCAGTCTCCTTAATTTATAAGAGAATGACCAACAATCATTTAGAAAAAAAGAGCAAAAATCTGAATGAGCAGTACATAACAAAGAAAATATACATTGCTTTTCAGTATTTGGAAAGATAACCTCTTTGATTACAAGAGAAATGCAAGTTACACCTTAAAAATTAAAACTCCAATGAGATACCATTGTTTACCCACCACATGGGCAACAATTCAAAAATTTGGTAGCCCCCTACCTTGACAAGCGTGTACAGAAACAGGCTCAGGCTCTGAAACATTGTTAGTGGAATTGTAAATTGCTACAATTCCTCTGAAGGGCAGTATGGCAGAATTTATCAGAATTCATGCCCATTGACATTTGAAGCAATTCCAGTTGTCATGATGCGATTGTCATGGCACCTGGAGAAATGGAAAGCATTCTACAGGATTATTCACTGGAACCTTGTTTATACTAGCAAATGATTGGAAACATCCTAAATGCCCATCAGTGAAGAATCAGTTAGATAGAATAGGTTGTGTCCACACTGAAATACTATGAAGCTGTTAAAAAGGAGAAAAGAAGGTAAGGGTGGGAGTAGAGACATGTAGGGGAGATAAGCGTGCCCTTCGGTGTTCGATACGGCGAGGCCCCATGCTGTGCTGTTCCATGGAAAAGCGAGATGCCAGTGTGTGTGGTGCCCCTGCATTTAGCCAAGGGGAGTGGTGAGAAAAGAATATAAGACATATCTGTAGCTTGAAAAAGTAGTGTTTACTTCTCCCGAAAGATTGAGAAGAAGTTAGGGATTGTACCTAGCTGGTCATCTGGGACACAGGGTACAGTGGAGACAGTGCTGGAGGGAGACTTCTGTCATATCCATTATTGGATGCTCTGATGTTTAACAACTTCGGTGGTATAATTTTAACAACCAAAATAAACATCAAATTTTTTACAACTCCTTTCTCCTTAGGTTCAATAACATAAACAGGCTTTTTGTGTCCATAGGTCATAAGTGAGTGTGTAGTACTGACTAATGATTTTGTGGAGTTCTAGAAGTACTTGTGGTGTTCTGTTTATTATTTTAACATACATCGCCTTTGAACAGAATAAGAAATTTCTTTTATTATGTGTTTTTTAAGAAGCCCTATAAGGCATGGGTCCCATCTTGGGCCCTTTTGCTAATCAGTCACCCCGTGCTTTAAATTCTGTACGTCAAAGCTGCTCAAGACTTTCAACATGTTATATTCCAAAATTTGATTTGAAGTGCACTCTTAGAATGCCTTTTCCATGAAAGCGATGCGTGCTGTTTCTATTCTGCTGAGCCCTGCAGGAATCCTGGTGAGGAGTGTGAAGCTTGGCGCTGGGGAATCTCACTTCCCTTCCAGCAGGCTTCCTGCTCGTCGTGAGGAACGTCTTTCACCTGTGAGGGCCAGGAGAGGTTCTTCCTCAGCGGAAAGCCTGGTGACACGTTCTGTCACGTGGAGCTGTAGCAGTAGAGCGGAGTTGAGAAAGGACAGGGCAGAGCTTAGTATTTTGCTGAGAGCTGCGGATTCGGTAGCTTTTCTCTGTGTTGACGCTGACTTTGCGCTGTGTGCCGGAGCCATGCAGTGTGTGTTGCTCACCTTTCCCCTCCGTCACTTCCTACCTACCTTTAGAACTGGGAGCCACAACCTGGAGCCCAGGAATAGCTTTTACCAACTCTCTGACTTCCCAGGTGAAGATTTTGTGTTTATGTGCGCTTACCTTCTCTAAAGAAAAAGATAATGCATAGATTACATTCAGTCCTTTGGTAGTTTGCTGTACTAACCTCATTTTTTAGTTAAGGAAAAGAGATCTCAGAGTTGAGGTACTTTCCTGAGATCACAGAAACATTCTGCAGGTGCTGAAATCCTCATGTGGGGAATGGACCCGGCTGCCTGAGTTGACACCCAGGGGTGTTTCCTCTGCACCATGGTCGTCTGCTGCCAGGAATAAGAGGAAGAGGGTGGGGATAGGACTGATCCTAGTGTTGGTTAGGAAACTGGATTGAAGGTGACAGTTCTTAGTGAATCCCCAGGGAAACTGCTCAGTCATTGCATGTTTCACTTTCTCCTTCATTCAGAGATGTGCACCAGTGTCTCTTTCTTCCTAGTTCATTACAGATGGAAAAACTGTGACATGAGTTCTTCCTAGCATTCTTCTTGTTAAAGTATACATGTAACCCTTTGCATTTTTCTGAGAAATTGGACTTCTCATAAATTTTCTTAAAAGAAAAATTTATTAACTCTTTCATAGGGAAACACCAAGATACATATAGATGGTGACAGATATAAGCTTCTTGGCTTGTAATAGGAGGTCCCAGGTGGCAGAAGAGGGAAATTCAGAGATAAAATAAGGTCTAGGGATATTTCCAGAGGAGCAGTGCGAGGCCAGGAGGAGTCACACCAGCTCAGGAATGGGCCTAGTATCCTTAGTTTACGTCTTTTTCACCCAAGGTATCTGCTGTGCAGTGATTAGTAAAGAGTGTTCGAATCGGGAGTGTGTGTGTGTGTGTGTGTGTGTGTGTGTGCATGTGTGTGCTGGTATGGTGAGGTTGTATGCAGCATTGGTTCGAATCAGGAGTGTGTGTGTGTGTGTGTGTGCATGTGTGTACTGGTATGGTGAGGTTGTGTGCAGCATTGGTTCGAATCGGGAGTGTGTGTGTGTGTGTGTGTTCATGCATGTGTGTGCTGGTATGGTGAGGTTGTGTGCAGCATTGGTTCGAATCGGGAGTGTGTGTGTGTGCATGCATGTGTGTGCTGGTATGGTGAGGTTGTGTGCAGCATTGGTTCGAATCGGGAGTGTGTGTGTGTGTGCGTGCATGTGTGTGCTGGTATGGTGAGGTTGTATGCAGCATTGGTTCGAATCGGGAGTGTGTGTGTGTGTGTGTGTGTGTGTGCTGGTATGGTGAGGTTGTATGCAGCATTGGTTCGAATCGGGAGTGTGTGTGTGTATGTGTGTGTGTACATGTGTGTGCTGGTATGGTGAAGTTGTGTGAAGCATTGGTTCGAATCGGGAGTGTGTGGGTGTGTGCATGTGTGTGCTGGTATGGTGAGGTTGTGTGCAGCATTGGTTCGAATCGGGAGTGTGTGTGTGTGTGCGTGCATGTGTGTGCTGGTATGGTGAGGTTGTGTGCAGTATTGGTTCGAATCGGGAGTGTGTGTGTGTGTGTGTGCATGTGTGTGCTGGTATGGAGAGGTTGTGTGCAGCATTGGTTCGAATTGGGAGTGTGTGTGTGTGTGCGTGCATGTGTGTGCTGGTATGGTGAGGTTGTGTGCAGCATTGGTTCGAATCGGGAGTGTGTGTGTGTGTGTGTGTGCATGCATGTGTGTGCTGGTATGGTGAGGTTGTATGCAGCATTGGTTCGAATCGGGAGTGTGTGTGTGTATGTGTGTGTGTACATGTGTGTGCTGGTATGGTGAAGTTGTGTGAAGCATTGGTTCGAATCGGGAGTGTGTGTGTGTGTGCATGTGTGTGCTGGTATGGTGAGGTTGTGTGCAGCATTGGTTCGAATCGGGAGTGTGTGTGTGTGTGCGTGCATGTGTGTGCTGGTATGGTGAGGTTGTGTGCAGTATTGGTTCGAATCGGGAGTGTGTGTGTGTGTGTGCATGTGTGTGCTGGTATGGTGAGGTTGTGTGCAGCATTGGTTCGAATTGGGAGTGTGTGTGTGTGTGCGTGCATGTGTGTGCTGGTATGGTGAGGTTGTGTGCAGCATTGGTTCGAATCGGGAGTGTGTGTGTGTGTGTGTGTGCATGCATGTGTGTGCTGGTATGGTGAGGTTGTATGCAGCATTGGTTCGAATCGGGAGTGTGTGTGTGTGTGTGTGTGTGCATGTGTGTGCTGGTATGGTGAGGTTGTATGCAGCATTCGTTCGAATCGGGAGTGTGTGTGTGTATGTGTGTGTGTGCATGTGTGTGCTGGTATGGTGAGATTGTATGCAGCATTGGTTCGAATCGGGAGTGTGTGTGTGTGTGTGTGTGTGCATGTGTGTGCTGGTATGGTGAGGTTGTATGCAGCATTGGTTTGAGGAAGGAGATTAGCAGCATGTGATAATTAGCAGTAGCTGCACATCAGGCAAAACTCTGAAATTTGAATGACTTAAAAATTTATTGCTTACTGAGGTAAAGGCCCATGGAGGCTGAGAACCTCTTCTTCTTCTTGGTAACTTTACCACCTGCACATGTGGCCTCTGAGGTTCCAGTGGCAGGAAGAAGGGTGACAACGGCACGAGAGTTCTTTTTTGTTTGTTTTTGTTTTAGTGGAGAGATAGATCATATATTTGACAAGTAACCCATTGAAATTGCAACCTTCCTGGGTTTTTAATATATTACCAGAATTGTGAAACCATTACTACAAGCAGTCTTAGATTTTTATTACCCAAAGAGACTCCATACACATTAACACTCACTCTCATTTCCCCAAACGCTTCCCAGTTCCTTCTTGTCTGCATGTGTTTATGCTTCTGGTATGTATATGTTTAAAACATAAAATTACAAATATACATACACATATGTATAATATAATAGAACATAAAAACACGGTGTGTATATATACATCCTGTATACAAACATATGCACATATCTGTATAAGAATATATGTGTGGAATAGTCCTTAATGCCTTTTAAAATCTCAAGTTCCACACCACGTCTTTCTTGATTTATTTTATATTTTCAAATAAAAGAAGCTTCCTACCTTTTTAAATTCTCTCCCCTCCCTTTGTCCCCATATACGTCTTACCTATTTCAGTAATAGTCCCCGGTTGTTAGATCCTACATGCTGTTTAGTTACTGAGAGATACTGGCTTATTTTTGTCCTAGATACAGCCTTCTTGAAAACAAAATAATCTGTTTTCCAAGTTATCTCTTTCTTCCCTTCCCTGAATGTTAGGATTCATTGCTTATATTATTCTCCATTTAAATATGCATCATACATTGAAATGTATTTATTTTGGCAATTTTAATTTCTTCATATGATTGGTGATTGTCTTTGATGATGTTTCATGCCTAGCATTTTACATAAGGAAATAATATTGGTGGTACCAAAGAATCTCCATTCCTGATAAACAGTACTAATTAAGTACAGTAGTAGCTTTTTGTTTTCTCTCCCCAGTGTCAGTAAACAATGGTGAATTTAGGAGGTGTCTGTAATGCTGTAGAAAACATGTTGGAGATCTGCAGAATTAAGGGGGTAATTTGGAACGGTTTACCCAGCTTGAAGAATTCAAAAAAAAATTGTTCCTTTTCCTTTTAACTGTCATAAAAGTGGACATTTGTGTCAGTCACCTTCAGATGTTTTCCTGTGTTATTTCAGACATGACCCAGAGCTGTTACTCTAAGGATAATTACACATTTAAGAGACTCTACAGTCCTATCCTTTGCTTAGAATGTGCTAGTGTCTCTGATACGTAAATTTTAAAGGGAAAGCTGGCTGTGGTGTACTTGAAAACATACCAACATTCTGGCCTTGAAAACAGAAAACCTAGGTTAGGATTCTGCCTTAACCACTCACCAGCCATACAGCCTGTGTAGCCAGCTCATCATTGTGATATTTACCTTCTTCTCTGTGAATTGTGTAGCAGTCTTGACCTCAGAGGGTCATGCTTGCCTTCGAAGTCGCCAAGTCAGTGGAGGTACCTGGCATACATTAGGTGCTTACTCTTTTATTTCCTCTTACAGTGATTGTTAGTTCACAATAGGGAATTTATATATAAAGCAAGTTTGACAATTCGGTAGTGACTCATGAGAGAAAGAAGCTTGTGTGCATACATTCACTGTCTTGCATGTATTTAGTCTAAGATCTCAGGGAAATGTAACACCCAGATTGACAGAGCCTTTGCCCAAAGCAAGTTGAAAATAGCTGGGAAAATATCTGTTGTTCTAGTCCTTTTTTATTTTTTAAAAAGGTGTTATTGTTATTTTAATTTTTAAAATATATATATTTAACATATAAAACTTTATATTTGAAAAATAAGAGTAAGTGGGCATTGCAGTATAGCTGCATTAATATTTTAATGTATTTCTTTCTAGTCTTTTTCCTAGGCATAGAGGGATTTGATTTGTTCAGTTTAATTATACTGAGCAGATTTAGTTGTACATGTGCATTTGATGACAAGCCCTGCCTGGAGATGGGAGGGAAGTAGCAGGAACTTTTCCAAAGGACTGTCTGGATGCAGGTACGAGAACTCTTCCAGAATATGAGATCCCCACTCATGAGGAACACGTTTGCGTTTCAGCTTTGACCAGAGTCTGTAGGAAAGGACATCCCTGCACCCTCTGTCTGGGGAATACCTTTCCTAGTGCCATTTACATTAATTCTGCCTCGCTTGGACGATACTTCCTATACTCCTCTCGTCAGGAGTGGATAGATACCGTATTCACTGAGTCTTTGAATTTCTAGCGTCATTGACTGCCTTTGTGTGTGAGAGATAACAGTTATTTTCACTTCCTTGACCAATATTTCCCAAGGTATATTCCCTAAAAAATACACATGGTATAATTGAATATTATACTCAAAAGCAATTCTAATTAGAAACGTTCAGGCACTGTAGACCTACATAAAGTTCTTCTTAGAGCCTTCAAGATTCTGCAGTGCACTGTGAGATGTGTTGGCTGACTACCGTTTCCTGATCTTTTTTGTTCATGGGAATCTTTCTTCTAAGAACATCTTGCAGGATTTTTGTTATTCCACAATACCTTTGGGAAATGGTGATAAACATATTGCTCTATTTTCTTCTGGCATTTAATTTTGGTCTGTAGGAAGTCTGAGGCCAGCATGGTTTGTTTGTTTCTTTCTAGATAACCCCTCAACACCTACTTGAAATTGTATAGGGCTCTTTTTATTACTGTTCTAAAAATGACAAAGACAAAAGGAAAACAGCTCCGCGTGTGTATTCAGAAAGAGTCTAGACTTGCAGTCTGTGTTGCAAAGGATCTGACAGGGATGAAAGAGCAAGCAGAACAGTTTGCCTCAAAAACAGCACCCCATTCCCAGCTTGCTGATTATTTCAGGGCTTGCATTTCTAATTCTGCGGGAAAGCACTGGGAGAGGAGCCCACCCCTGATTTCAGTGGCACCGTGGCGTGGAATATATGGGCCCTCCGTTGCATTTTCCATGCCATCACTCTTATCACTCTTAAAAGCCTGTATCATCACAGAAAACGCCACGGGATTCACATGTTGCCCAAATACTGGAGTTGAGCCTGGGAGCCGTTTCTAGCTACAATTCCATCTTCACATTATTTTAGAGCCCACTTAGAAGCACCTTGCGTGACAGAACTTAAAAGCCAAAGTGTCTTTGTTCCCCAGATGCTCTAAATTCAGTGGAGGCGACAGCACTTTCATTTTTGTACCACTCCTCAGTGGTAATAGGTGTGTTCTCAGGGATCAGCTAACACCTTCACTGCCCTCGAGTGGTACCAGAATAATTTGATATTAAAATAATAGTGCTTGGGATTTGGTATTTCTGGTTCTTCATAGAAATGAAGCTAAAAGACCAACTTAAAAATTCATACCAGGGTTATAAAAACTACCAGCCTCATAAGGCTGATGTATTATATAAGCTAATTATTATATGAGTACAGCACTTAAAATAGTACCAAACACATACAGACAGTGTTATGTAATATCATTATTTGTAAGATAAGGTTATTGGTTTGACCTTAATTAGATTTACTTTTCTGTCTTACTTGGTAGGTCAAACTGTGCTGAAAATATCCGCAAACACATTCTGCATACTGGCAAACATGAAGGAGTCAAGATGTACAACTGTCCCAAGTGTGACTACGGGACCAACGTCCCGGTGGAGTTCCGGAACCATTTGAAGGAACAGCATCCTGACATCGAAAACCCGGACCTCGCTTACCTGCATGCTGGTAAGGGACAGAAACTGTGAAAACTTGTTTCTAACAGGATTTCATGTGATCACAGCAGTTATAATGCTATTTGTACATTACCATGATTTATTGTAATGGAGTAGAGTATGTGATAGTATCTGCTTCAAGACCTATAGAAAAGTACATTCCAGTTTGATCCCACTCAACTATGAAAACAGGACTTTTCAACTGTATTTTATCAAAAAAGGAAATCTGACAGAGTAATTATTTGATGACTGTAAAGTTAATAATAGTAAATATTTAAAGCATAGTTGACCTGAAATGAGAGTAGTTGTTAAATCTTCATATGTTGACTAATTGCTAAAATTTTAATTTTTTTTCTTAAAAAATGCTTGTGATTTGAAATGTTATGCCCTGTTTATTGACACCATCATCTTCTAGTGAATGCCTAGAAAGAATGTGACCTGCGACCACGACCACGGAGTCAAGCGTAGTGGGTGGTAACGGTGCTGTGCGTTTCCCAGAAATTGGGAGGGGGCTGGCCCTAGGTTGGGGAAGAGCTGGTGATGGGAGCGGCTGCTAAGAGGATTCTTGCCTCTTGGGTGGCAAGTGAGGGGCTCTGGAAGGTGTCAGCGATGTGGCTGCAACTGCAGAGTAAAGCAGATCCGTTCCTCCAGCCCGACATTTTGTTTAATTAGCAAGTATTCCTTGAGTGCCAAATTCTGTGCAGAGCAGCAGAATGATAGATTATGGGTGCGAGGACCTCTTTGAGGAGTAAATTTAGAGAAGCCTTCCAAGATTTAGCCCAAGCAGCAGAGTTTGAATAAGGCCTGTTGATCAAGGATGTGCTTTAAGCAGATGTTTTGGGACCTGTTAGAGTTGCTTTTAAACCCTGCTTCTCATTATTGGCCATATGACCTCAGGCAGGCTGACCTCACCAAGCCTGAGGTTTCCCATACGTAAATCTGCATGATAGTACCTACTAATAGGGTCATTGTGAGAATTTAAAAAGATAATGGCTGTGAAGCCAGGAGAGTCTAGGAGTTTGAATGAACTCTCCCCAGTACCTGCTATGCTGCTGTAGGCATGAACATTTATGCCTATCTGTGCCATATGATGGGGTCGTTAGTAGTGGTGGGGATGTGGGGATTGTGATATATATCACACCAGAAATGCGAGGTTCCAGCTTCAAAATGCTTAAGCAATGTTTGTTCGCAAAATATCTATGTTATAAGAAATTGAACTTGAGTAATTTAAGTTAGACTAGTTTTCTTAATACACTTGACAATACGTGGATAGAGGCTCATTACTGTTCTTTCATATTTCTCGATTGATGTTCATATGATTGACTTATTTAAGTAATGTCGAGTGTGTGATTTAGTAATTTTTCTGCTATCCAGGGCTGTATTTGGCAAACAAACAAAAACAGAGGTCTCTGCTCATTCCCTTTTGGTGAGGTTGTCACTGAAAAGGTTTTGAAACTAGACAGTTTATCAGCTTTAGTTCATAAAAACAGATAAAGTCGAGTTGAAATATCTCTGGCCATAAGTGCCTATGGGTTCTTCATAAATATGGACCCATAACCTTACAGATACCAGAAACACCACCTGTGAAGGAGCTGCTCCTAGCAATGGCCAGGCCACAGGGACCAAATCCATGGTGGGCATCAGCAAAGTGTCCTCCTCGAGGTGGCCTTGCTCTGCCTCCTTTCCAGGTGCAAGATTGACATATCTGTCTCTCTCTTCCATTACCAGTTACACATGAAAAACGGATTGTTCCCTAAAGTACAGTGAGTAAATAAGAGAAAAATAAAAACATTACTTATCTTTAAAAAAAAGAAGACTGTAAATACTGTGATTTGGTTGAGATAATATAAAGTTCAGTTGAGATAATATTTGGGAATTCATATATTAAAGTGAGGTATTTTATTTTTTATTTGAAAACAGTTCTGCAGAAAGGGGTTTGTGTGCAAATGTGCTATACCCTTGGTATCTCTACATTGGTGTATAACTGCAGTTACGTGATGTAATTCACGCAAGTAACACAAAACTGGAGTTCAGTGGAGACCCTGATTCAAGTCTCTATGTAAAGACAGGCGTCTCGGAGCTTCAGATTCCTTATCGAAGAGTCTAGGAGTTTGAATGAACTATCCCTAGTCCCTGCTGTGCAGCTGTAGGCATGACCTTCGGGGAAGATGGGCTCCAACTTAAGCTTGATCATTCTCTTGATGTCTGGCCCTGAAAACTGCATTTTTACTCTGTGGGTCTCAGTTTTCCTCTGAAGATGGGGATAGTGATGCCTACCACACAGAATGTGTGTGCCATCTAAATGGGATCATTTATACTGTATGTAAACTGTTTGACATGATCATTTTTAGCATAAATGGTTGCACAGTTTGTTTTTCCCTCTCTAGCAGAAGTTGATGATTTATTGTATTTTTTTCAGTCCTTTTTAGCAACCAGTAAAACGATTTTTGTATCTTTTTCTATTTCATATTCCAGAGCATGAAAGACTATATGTGAGTTCTAATTTTAGTTGTTGTCAGATAAGAAACACAAGACAAAAGTGGTTTCTTTATTTTTTTTAACCATGGATTATTATTTGTAAACGTAATATTCCATTTCCAGGTAGTTTGAGACTTTCTGGTTATCTTTTTTTTTTTTTTAAACTATTGAACTAATAATGCAAATCCACTACCAGCTTAAATTTACTGTTTTTACAGAATATAATATGAATTATTTTAATTCTTTAAAATTTGTGTAGACTTTTTTATGCCCAGCAAATGGTGAGTTTCGGTAAATTTTTGAGACACATTAGGAAAGAATACTTGGCACCAGTGGTGTTTGTTCCCTGTCTGTCGGTTACAATGTTTAGTTTGTTCACTGTGTTGTTCAGATTGTCGTATTCTTAGTGCTTTTTAAAATGCCGGTTCTGTCAGCTGTTAAGAGGAGTATGTTAAAGTTTCCTACTATAATTGTGGATTTATCTTTTAAAATTCTGTTATTTTTGGCTTTACGTATTTTGAAAATATATCACTAAATACTCAGAACTTAGGGTTGTTTTAGATACAGACATACACATAATTATGAAATATTTCTTAGTAGCAATATCTCTTGCCATAATTCTGCATTTCATATTGGTATACCTTTCCCAGATTGCTTATAAGCAGCTTATAGTTGCATTTTGTTTATCTGCTGGGGCAGTTTTTATCTTTTACATTAAATATTTAGTCTTTTACTTTAGTATTTGTACTTAATGTAATTATTGGTATATTCATCATAGTCAAAACTCCAAACTACCCTAATGTCCCTCAAGCAGAATGTACAAAAGTTGTATATTCACATAATGGAATAAGTCAGTGAGAATGAATGAACTACAAGTACAAGCAGCAGTGTGAAGTAAGTCTCACAGTCTTATCACTGGATGAACCAAGCCAGTCACCAAGGAGTACGTTTTATATGATTGTGTTTATATTAAATATAAAAACAGATAAAACAACTCTATGATCTTAGAAGTCAGAGTTTATTTGCCCTTGTAGGCACCAGTCACTGAATGAAGTACAGTGGTCTAGTAAGATTCTGCTTCTTAATCCCAATACTGAGACACAGTTGTGTTCAGTTTGAGAAATTCATCAAAGTCTCTTCTATGAGTTGTATTCTTTTCTGTATATACTTAAAAAAAAAAACACCTTTCTCCACATCCAAGTTTCTGAAGAGCTTCATTTAGGCCCAATCTAGGTCTAATATGATGAGATTTTACAGTCACATTAATCTTCACAAAATTGACATCAAATTAAAGATAGGTTTCTGTCATTGTACAATTTTTCTTCTATTTAGTAAAATCTATTTCATCTCAAAAATTATCTTGATTTGATCTCTTCAGTTTTAACAATTATATTTCTACCATGTTGCCCATCCATAAATAAGCTTGGTACTCATTCACTACATTTGGACAAAGAATTAAATACATGTCTGTGTTTGCAACACCAGTGGCCTGCAGTCTGACCCCATGTGTAGTTCACTTCAGCAGGGATAGCTCAGAATGCTTTAAATATAACCCCAGAGAAAGGGGAGTGAAGATCTGGAAGCCAGACGGGGAGGGCTGAGGAGAGGCTGCTCAGCCTTCTCTGATTGTGCCTAAGAAGAAAGAGATGTTTTTTTCTCATCATTTCCAAGCAGCAGACTTATAGTTATGCCTTACGGCTCAAGGAGCTTGTTTATTATTGAAATAGCTCTTATTGCTCATGAACGAATGCTCACTGGAAGACCCACGGGTAGTGTGGTCACTTTCTGAGCCTATGAGCAGTGCATCAAAGCTATGAAGTTGATTTAGTTATTTCTTATTTCTCTCTGAGACCTTAAATGTGGTAAGTGTTGTTGTCTTTTCCAAAGGTAATGATTACAAGGTGTTCTCTTTTCAGGGAAAATTGAGCAGTATGTAATGATATGGTATTTTTCTTAATTTCCTTTATTTTTCTACCCTCATACTTTTGTATCACATTTAAATTAATTTTATTTTCATCAGTTTTTACATATGCTAAGACTTGGTCATATACGTATGTACATTAGATTATTACCTGTGCAGAGTGATAACACTTGAAATTATCATATTCTCTTCAAAAATTGGGGTTCTTGTATTCTTCTCTAAGATAAGCAGTTTGGTGTTCTCTATAACGTGTATTATTTAACTGTATTCCCTACATTTGCCTCTTCCCATTTATAAGAATAAGAATTTGAAAGTTTGACTCTTATCAAAACCCCAAGTCCCTTTTTCTGCCTCATTAACGTAAAACAGCTAAAGTCTTTTGTCTTAACCATTACCCCTTATTTAGCAATATATTCAAATTTCCTACATAAAAAAATTTCCTTTGTCATTAATTAGAACCATTAGTGTTCAATACATAGAACCTTGTAGAATAGAATGCAGTCTTCTCCCAAATTCCTCTTGGCCCTCTATTTTTAACCCGGTTGCTTTCACCCCCTTTTGTTAGTTGGATGCCCTGACACATGTCATGACATTTTGTACAACAATTCATTTTCTGAAAAGGTCCAAAAATCTCAGAAAATCCTGACAGCTTCTCATTGGTTCTCCTTACATAAACCAATTATTACTTCAACCTAAAAAGGAACGAAATTTTTCCTGACATGATTGCCTTTGGTAAATCCATGCTGACTCACTCCTATTAAATTGTACTTCTCCAAATGTATCATTAAGCTCATCCATAAGTATCATCTCAAATTTATTTCCTAATATAGATGTTAGATTTACAGGTCTATAATTTTCAGCCTCTCCTCTCTTTCGTGTTAACCTTCAGACTAGATTCCTTGTTTTCCAGTGTCCTGATACTTCACCACTAACAAAAGACTTCCTAAAATAATTAACACTTCAGCAATTTGATTCTTTAACCTCAGACATCATCCTTGGGTTAATTTACTATTTTTCTTAAGTGCTGCTAAATGTCTTTGTTTCTTTCATACTCCTGTCCAAATACTCCGGAGCTGTCTGCCATAGCAGTACCCTCAATGTCCATCATGGCTCAACACATTTGGTATTTTGATAGCTGATGTTTTTCTTCATTCCCTTTCTCGCTCTCATTCCTGTTGGAATTCCTAAGTTTAGAAAGAACTCTCTTACATACTTCATAATCTATGAGTGAGTAATGTCAGAACAGTATTTTTCATCATCCTGTTGTTTGCAGTAATGTAATTGGTATCCAGGAAAATTGTATTTGTGGATATTTATCAGTAAACATACTGTTTACTGAGAAGCAGATCTTTGACCTGACCTCCACCTCTTTTTTCTTGAATAATATACTGAAAGAGGGTTTTTTTCAAAACTTTCTAATGACACATTTTAAAATAGTTTTACAACCAGGCGTGGTGGCTCACGCCTGTAATCCCAGCACGTTGGCTGGCCAAGGCAAGCAATCACCTGACGTCAGGACTTCGAGACCAGCCTGGCCAATGTAGTGAAATCCTGTCTCTACTAAAAATACAAAAATTAGCTGGGCATGGTGGTGGGTGCCTGTAATCCCAGCTACTTGGGAGGCTGAGACAGGAGAATTGGTTAAACTGGGAGGTGGAGGTTGCAGTGAGCTGAGATTGCACCATTGCACTCCTGCCTGGGCGACAAGAGTGAAACTCTGTCTCAAGGTAAATAAATAAATACAAATAAAATAGTTTTACATTTAATCTTTTTAAGAATAACTATATGCCAGTATTCTTCAGTACGCATATCTTCCTTTATCTGCCTAACACCGTGGAGCAGTGTCAGAGAAGCATTTGCTCCTTCCTGCCATCCTCCTGCAAGAGGGTGATCCTAATTGTTCTAGAGTGACCCAAATGGTTGTTATGTATGGTTTCCTTATGTTTTCATTAGCTAGTAAGTAGTAATGAAGAACTCTGTTTTTCATGCTATCACATTTTACCTTTTCAATTACAAAGAATCGTAAATAGTATCTGTGCCAAACTTTTCTCTACACCATTGAATCTTCAAAACAAATCTTGTTGATACATGTTATTCTCAATTTAATGGTTTTGAAAAATCTGTCTTCAAGAGGTTATGTTGCTTGAGGATGCATAACTACAGTGTGGCTCTATAAAATTCTCACCTGTCTTCAGAGTCTTACAGTTACATCACCCTGCTGTACAGGAGCTTTAAAATAATTGATTGGCAGGTTAATGAAGTTTTTTCAGTGGAAGCCTTAAAAATTTAGAGCTTTAAGAGTTCAAATAATCTAAACATATATTAGGAAGTAGAATGATATAGTATAATAATGTAAAAACACCATGGTAAATGTTTTCACAGTTGTACCTCTCCTGCCTAGTACAGAGCCTGTGGCACAGACGGATGGATGGAGTCAAATGAACTAGGTTTCAGGATGAACTTTTTCACCATGGAGATGTGTAACTTTGAGCCAGTCACTCAAGCATTTTGTGTCTGTTTTCTCAACTGCAAAAAGAGTAACATTGTTTAGCTTTTCTTTTGAACATGAGGTTCAAATTAGATAATCCATATGAAAGAGCTTGAAAATTGTATTCTTTTAAGAAAGTTACTGGATTTTGTTACTGCTATTTTAATAGTAGCAAAGTAGAAGGAAAAGACTAATGATTTTTTTGCATGTATTTCAAGTTGCTATTAAGGATAATGAATCTCATAACAACAAACATATATATGTGTACACATTAGTATTCATACATACATATTAGTGTAACAGTCTGAGCATATACTAAAATTAGGGCTACAGAAGGCCTACTTAAAACTTTTCAGAGTAGAAACGTATCATTTAAATAATGTATTTAAATTATTTCTATTATTTGTATGTTACCTATGTTGAAGAAAAAAGCCAAACTCTGTTGGATGTTTAAAGATGTTTATCCTGTGCCAAATATGAGTGACCATGGCCTGTGACACAGTCTCAGGAGGTTCTGAGAACATGTGCCCAAGGTGGTTGAGTTATAGCTTGGTTTATATATTTTAGGGAGACAGAAGTTATAGCCAAAGACATCAATCAATACATGTAAGGTATACATTTGTTCAGCCCAAAAAGGTGGGACATCTCAAGCAGGGAGTTAGAGAGCTCACATGTCATAGGTGGATTCAAAGATTTTCTGATTGGCAATTGGTTAAGTTAACCTTTGCCTGAAGACTTGAAGCCAGCAGAAAGAAATGCTTGAGTTAAGATAAGGGGGATTGTAGAAGCCAAGGTTCTTATTATGTAGATGAAGCTTCCAGGTAACTGACTGCAGAGAGAATAGATGGTGAAGGTCTCTTTTAGGACCTTAAAAGGTGTCAGACTGTTAGTTAAATTTCTGCTGGATCTGGAGAAGACATGGAAAGGGAAGGAGATTCTCTACAGAATGCAAATTTTCCCAATAAGAGATGGCATTCCAGGGCCATTTCAAAGTATGTCAAAAAATATATTTTGGAGGTAAAATACTTTGATTTCTTATAAGACCTGCTATCTGTCATGTAATGCTATACCAGAGTCAGGTGGGAGTTGAATATCTTCTTGCTACAAAGAGTCTGTTTTGTCAATCTTAAGATCTCTATTTCAATGTTAATGCCGACCAGTTGTGCCTGAACTCCAAAGGGAGGACCTTGTAGGGAGGCCTGTCCCTCCGGCCTTCCCTTCAGGGCCGGAGCTAGTTTTTCAGGTTTCTTTGGGATCCCTTTGGCCGAGAAGGGGACCATTCAGTCAGCTGGGGTGGGGGAGCTTAGAATTTTATTTTTGGCTTGTGTCTACTGCACTCTGTAGTTTTAAAACTGTTTTTTTAAAAAGAATATCATCCTGAAAAAAGTATCCTTTCTACTGTATAGTTTAGCGTTCTGTAAAGTCCTGAATGGCATTCATAAATTTAAAATAAAGTTAGAGTACACAATTAAAACACAGCTTTTGATGGTAACACCTAACAAGATTGGCCGAACTGGCTCTCAGGCTCCCGGCTCACTCATGCTCATCCTGTCACTACAGGACCTTAAAGAAAAGTTTTAAAGTGATTTTTAACTTTTTTCCAGAAAAAAACTATATTCTCCCCTTCCTTGAGTGTGCTGGCCAAGTGTGATGGCCTGTATGATTCGAGCCGCGCCAGCGCTTCCTTCCCGGCTCCCTTCCCTGCTGCGCCAAGGTCACCCAGCCACGTGGCATTCTCTTACCTCATGGCAGGCAGCACTGCGATCTTATCAGAGCTCACATTTGCAGCCTTCGTGAACTGGATTTTGAAAGTTAAAACAGTTAAAAAAAAAAAGTAAACAAAATTGAAAATCGTGATCTTATCCCCTCTGACAGCTTCATTTATCAAAATTTTAAGGGAAAAAATTGATTGTGAAAAGTTATAGTGGGGACGGTATGATTTTATCAGGTAATTGATGTGGTTTTTACTTTTATATAGACTTTTTATCAACTAATTCAATATAACTTACATATTTTAAAAATTTGCACACCCTCACACACATATTTTGACCCCCACCTAAACAGCAGTTTTAGATGAGGAAACAAAGATCATGTTGCCCACTCGTGTTGCTACTACTGCAGAACAAGTTACTGTTCCAGCTGAAGCCGTTTACTAAAGAATAGCATGACAAGTCTTTCAAATTATCAGGGAAATTTAGATACATTGTTTCATTAGCTTTGAAATGTAGTTCAGAATATGAAGTAATGCACATTATTACTCTTTGCAATTTCATTTATTTCTATTTGCAGTGAGGAAAATTACTATTTCGCAAGTTTTTATCTTAAATGATTTTAAACTTACAGAAAAGTTTGCAGAAATAGTACAGAGAGTTCCATATATCCTTCACCCAACTTTCCCAAATGTTAACATCAAACATAACCATACTACTTACGAAAGCCTGAGAATTTAGCATTAATACGTTGCCATTTTCTATGCTGTATTCTCGTATTCAGAGTTTATCATTTTTCCACTCACATCCTCCTTCATTCCCAGAATTCAGCCCAGGAACCAACATTCCTTTTAGTTGCCATGTCTTCTTGGTCTTCTCCAGTCCAGGACAGATTTTCAGTACCTTGGCACTCTTAAGGAACATGGATTTGTTATTTTGTAGAATGTCTCTTAATTTGGAATAGTGTGATGTTTACTCATGATTTAATTGAAGTCATTTAAGAAAATACCAGAAGAAATGTGTGCTGTGCCTGGAGCACCTGGTGACTGAGGACGTCCGCCTGGCCCATGGAGTGAGGTGGGATCTTCAGAATCCTCCAGTGGCAGCTTCCTGGTTTTACCTTTTTAATCAGTACACATCTTGGAGAGAGCCTTTCAGACCACGAAAATAGCCTATTTCTCCCCAGTCATTTGCCCAATAATTTTGACATCCATTAGTTTATCCTGCCTGAATAAGGTCTGTGATGTTTAAATGGTGTTTTTTTTCTTTCCTGCATTTCTTCTACGTTTAATAATTGGAATTATTCTGTAAGGAATGGTAGTTGGTTCCTTCTTTCCCAGTTCTTCATTCTATTTCTTTTTATCATTGTGGAGGTATTTTATCCTGAGGTTTATAATCCAATACCATTGTGGCTTATTTTCTTACTGAAAGCACTCCTGCCTTAACCACTGCCCCCTCTTTCCAGTCAGCTCCTGTGCCCTGTGTGCACCCCCATCCTTTTAGAGACATCTCTTTACTTTTCAGGCACCACAGTGTTCTGTGGGTTCATCTTGTGTTTTCCTTGCCATGGTCCAGAAATGAATCACTACCTTAAGGAGACCTGGTTCCTTTGGCTGGAGAATGGTAGTTATAAGCCAAGATATATACACTGTGTGGACTCATTGCTTCTGTGTACCTCTGCTTCTAGGCCTTCGCAGCAGATAAACAAGGAAGTGTAGGTATGTATACTAAATCCTGCATTCCTGTGAATATAGATGTTTTTCTCTATCTCTCTATCTAGAACATACATTATCTAAGACCTAAATATAAGAAATAAAACTGTAAAAACCCTTCAAAAGGAACGTACAGATAAAGCTTTATGACCTTGAATTAGGCAATTGTTTCTTGGATGTTACTCCGAAAGAACAAATAACAAAAGGAAAACATAAGTTGAATTTTATCAAAATTAAAAATTTTGTGCTTCAAAGGGCACCATCAAAAAGATGAAAGAAAAACTTATAAAATGAGAGAAAATATTTTGCAAATCTATCTGGTAAGGGACTTGTATCCAGAATATACATAAAGCACTCTGTCACTCAACAAGAGCAAGGCAAATAACCTATTTTAAAAATGGACAAATGATCAAAATAACCATTTCCCCCAAAGACGATACACAAATGACCGGCAAGCCATGGAAAATATGCTCAACACCATTACTGTTAGGAAAATGCAAATAAAAACCACAGTGAAATTCCACAGCTAGGGTTTTTATTCTTTTTGGCAATTATTAATAGAGAGGCTTTAAACATTCACATATAAGATTCTGTGAATATAAGATCTCATTTCCTTGGGTATATACCTAGAAACGAGATGCCTGGATTATATGGTATATTTAACTGTCTAAAAAAAAAACTGTTGAACTATTTTTCAAACTGTCTGTGCATAGTATGTTCCCGCCAGCAATGTGTGAGTTCCCGTCACTCCACGTACTCACCAGGAACTCATCGTGTGGTTTTAATTTGTATTTAACTGATCACTAATGATGTTGAGCATCAATTCATGATTATTTGACATCTGTATATTTTCTTTGATGAAGTGTCTTTTGAAATACAATATTTTTCCCCTTTTTTCATTAGGTTGATTTTTGAGATCATTTTTATTTTATATTTTTGACCTGAGACCTCTGAAATATGATTTGCAAATATTTTCTCCTAGTCTGAGACATGTCTTTTTTTCCGCCTCTTAACAGTGTGTTTCATACAGAAAAGTCATAGTATTCATAAGGTCCAGTTTATTAGTTTTTTCCTTTATGCTCTGAGCTTTTGATACAATATCTTCTAAAAGCTAGTTGCCTAACTTGAGTTACAAAGAATAATTTATATATTTTCTTCTAGAAGCTTTATGCTTTTATTACACTTTACATTTAGTTCTGTGATCCACTTTGAGTCATATTTTGTATAACATATAAGGTGTAAGTCAAAGTTCTTTATTTTGCATATAGATGTCTCATTTTTTTCAGCAGTATTTATTGAAAACACTGTCCTTCCTTCATTAAATTGCCTTTGTTCTTTTGTTGAAAGTAAGTTAGCAGCATTTCTCTGGGTCAGTTTGTTTACTCTGCTACCCTAGCAGTTTCTGAAATTAAGCATGCATGGGTTTGAAATTTTATCCTTAAAATGCCACAGTTGGATATGTGCATTTCCCCTCAGCTTCGTGTGTCCATCTTCTCCCTCATCTGAGACGTAATTTAAACTCATCACAAATGTGTTTGGCTTGTCACTGGCTCTTCTATGTCCTGAATGACTTTTGACTTAGCCTGATATTTGTTATAACCAATCATTCAAAAAAAACTTATGTGTAAATAAAATGAGATCTGCATATTTACATCCAGAATGTAATGCCTAGTAAAATTATTATTCTTCAATTCTTTAAGTTATCAAATAAGAAAATGTGTTCACTTTTTGTGTATGATGTGATTCTGGCTACCACCTTATCTGGTGGTAAATAATACTCACCAATTTAGTATTTTGCATTCACTATATTTTTCTCATTAGCTAAGAAATATGCTTTAATAAAAAAAACCTACGACTACCACCTCATACCTATTCAGATGCCTCCTGTCAGAAAAATAGAAAATTGCGAGTGCTGACAAGGATGCAGAGAAGTTGGAACCCTTATGCGCTGCTGAAGCGAATGTACAATAGTGCAGCTGCTGTGGAAGCGGAATGGCAGCTCCTCCAAGAATGAAACGTAGAATTACCGTATTATCCAGCAGTTCCACTTTGGGATAGATATCCCAAATCATTGAAGGCAAGGTCTCAAACAGGTGTTTGTACACCCATGTTCATAGCAGCACTATTAATAGTGAAAAAGTGGAAGAAACCCAAATGTCCATCAACAGAAGAATGGATCAACAAAGTTTGTTATATATTATACAGTGGAGCATTACTCAGCCTTAAAAAGGAAGGAAAATCTGGCACATGCTATTACATGGATGAACCTTGAGAATATGTTAAGTTAAACAAGCCAGTCACACAAGATGGCTTACATTGATAAGTATAATTGCATTATAATTCCACTTACAGATGATGTGCCTAGAGTAGTCGAAGTCAAAGAGATAGAAGGTAGAATGTTGGGTGCCGGGAGCTGCAGGGAGGGAAAATGGGGAGTTGTGTGACCAGGCAAAGTTAAGGTGTTGTAAGATGAAAGAGTTGTAGAGACTGGTTGTGCAGCAGTGTGATGGTACTTAATTAACACTGCTGAAATGTCCACATAAAACTGATTAGGATGGTAACTTTTATGTATGGTTTACCACAATTTTTAAAAATTACAAATACAAAAATAATTTGGTACCCCTATTTTTTCTGTCTTCCACACTTACCCATTTTAGAAGATATTAAATACATCTCTTGGTTGGTGAAGTGCCGTTCAGGGCAGAGATTTGATTGGGATGGGAAAAGTGGAAGTGGGGAAGAGTGAATACAAAAATTATACTAAATGGCTTGACCTTCTGAAATTTAATGGACTAAACATATGTTATATGATATGTTCTAGTCAGTGTTTGAAATATATCCATTTAATGAGGCAAAATGTGAAGTAAAATATTTGAACTTACAGACATGTTTACACTTCCTTGTTTTCTTTTTTTAATTTTTCCTAAGATTAAAAACACTTTGATGCATTATTTTAATAGGTAAAAATTTATCCTCGTAATCACTTAAATCCCCTAATAGCTTTTACTGCAGCAGAATATACTGTAGGCCCCAACTAGATAAAATAGCATTTTTGATGGCTGGTCTAGATGCTTCTAAAAAGCTGCACAGACTTGTTCACTCTTGTCATTGCTCTTAGTGTCGTTTGTTGAGTAGCATGTCAGTGTGATTGACAGGAAGTCATTCTTTCGTCTTGTGAAAAATTATAATTTTAGTGCATGCCTAAAATAAAAGCCTAGCATAAATGGTTTCGTGTTTGTGAAGGAAAAGGCAAGATTCTTTCAAGGGTAGTATAGATGAATTTAATCACTATTGTATGGAATATAAATTTTATTTTTTTTCTCATTGAGAGAGTACTTTTATTGGGGAACTATGTTTTAGGATTTTCTCCACATTCCTTGTCTGGTTTCATTAAGTTAATATGAATTATAATACCAGTTTCCTTCCAGATGTTGGCCAGGAATAGATTTGAACTTTGCTGTCTTAAATGGAAACAACATCGCAAGCTAAATAAATCCTTTTGCATCTTGGAGTAAGGTTTTTGTCAATTAATCACTTTTAGCTGGGCATGGTGGCTCACGCCTATAATCCTAGCACTTAGGGAGGCCAAGGCGGGTGGATCACCTGATGTCAGGAGTTCAAGATCATGGCCAACATGGCAAAACCCCGTCTCTACTAAAAATACAAAAATTAGCCGGACATGGTGGCGCGTGCCTGTAATACCAGCTATTCGGGAGGGTGAGGCAGAAGAATCACTTGAACCCGGGAGGTGGAGGTTGCAGTGAGCCGAGATCATGCCACTGCACTCCAGCCTGGGCGACAGAGCGAGACTCGGTCTCAAAAACAAACAAAAATTAATTGCTTTTTGTGATAAATGTCTTGGAATGATTAAATAAGCCAATATTTGCAAAGTACTTAAAATAGTGCCTGCCACTTATTAAGTACTCTATGAGTATTTAGTTAGTAAAATATATAACTGAAATTACTCTATGTCATTTATATTCATTTTAATTATGCCAGTAGATGCTGCTCTTGAGTGACAAGAGTATCCCAAGTTACATTTTATATTAACATATGTGACCTCGATTCTTGGCACAACTTGCATATTCATGTTTATGTACCCAATTCTCTTGATTAGAAATGACTATTTGTAATAAATAGACTGTTTTAAAGAATCCATTAGTACAAAATGACAGACATGAAAATGCTCAGATAGTTCTCTTGCAATTTTAATATACTATTTGGTAGTATTAGAAGTTGACTTCATCTAAAGCTTTATTATTTTAAAACACACCAAACTCATAACTCTTCTCATTTATCAGGTATCTCAGTCCCATAGTTTGACATTCTTTATGTTGGTAACTAAGTATTTATTGAGTCTATTGACATTTTCTTAGAGCATCTGGTCAACACTGAAATGTGGTACTTCTTGGTGTTTTACAAATAAACCACCGACAGGATTAGGCTTTTTTAGATTAACCTTGTTGTTCAGACAAAGCAAGCTTCTTGCTGAAATCGGGGACCAGATAGAATCCCCCTCATGCACATTTAATTGTAATCAATTCTTTCAGCTTGGAAGTGCTCTTGCCATTTAAAGGAGTGTTGGAAATAGTGTGTGCTACGGGGTGGCAATGTGGCCGCAGCTCATGTAACTTGTAAACACGGATGATTAATCTGAATTGCATGAAGGCAAGGGGGAGGGTACTTGGTTTTGTAAAACTTGAATAATCAGAGAGGTGAGAAGAGGAGATCGATGGAAGCACCGAGCAGGCAGAAGAGACTGTAGGCAATAATGTGTACCAGGGAGGAGCTCAGAAGTTGAATTGTGCGGCACATACAGTAAAAGCTGAAAAAGGAAGATAATCCAACAGCTGGCTCTTTAGAAGAGGCTGAATAATACTTTAGGTTTCTGTTTGTTGTCTTTTAATGGTTTCCTAATGTATTATCTCCATCCATATTTCTGGCCTTTTCTCCCTGTATGTAATTTTTTAAAAAAGTTTTTTCTTTTTGTGATGTGTGCTTTTAGATCATGATCCAGAACTCAATCAAAGAAGTAATTTTGGTTTTAGATATAATTCTGTGATGGCACTTAATATATTTTCTTTTACTTTTCACTCCAATTTCTCTATCTGCTTCTAAGGAAGTATGTTACGAAGACATTTTAAAGATATTTGATGCTCAGTTTGAACATATTAAATTTTTAAATATCTTTTTTACATTGAAAAGGACAATTGAAATCCAGAGCTATCTATTTTTATTATTTATGGCAGGATCAGTTTGGGTGTGTTTATCTTCTAGGCATTAAGATGTCAAGATATTCGCCTGTTACATTAATATGCATAGTCATTTTCACTCAAAGTGTAGGATACAGTATTTTATCCTCATAGTGCAGACAAAATGGAATGTTTGGCCTAAAGGGTTTGATATAGACCCCAAATCTGACATGTTAGTTTATGCAGACGTTTTATCTGAGTGTTTGTTTAGTGAGACTCTGCCCCTGCGCATTTAGGCTTACTCTCCACATCCCTCTCAGTGAGTCCCAGGCTTCCACATGATGAAGTCGCAGACTTACCACCACCCAGCTGTGCCCACCTCCTGAGAAAACAGAAGACTCCGTAAGGGGAACTCAGGTGTATGGCTAGTTCCTTCTCTTGCTAAGCCAGCCGCAGGTAGGATCTTTGACTCTGTATGAACCTCTGTTTAAAACCTATACCGAAAGAATTCTAGACAGTTGGGATACAGTTAATTCCAGTTGTGTAGGATTTGCACTGATAAATCAGAACAGGAAGATACCATCCCATTTCAGAAATATGGTCATATGAACTTTCTTTAATATTTCCAAATAATTAATGAAAAGCATTTTTATCTGCCGATGATTTCTGAATCATCATTGAAAAGCTGAATTAATAATTCTCAAACTTTTTGGTGAGAGAGGTTTTAGAAACTTCTTTGACTTTGTGAAATTTATAGTGTTGTAAAACACAGTTGAAAAGTTCTGATGAGACTAGAAATTAATTCATTTGAGAAGTTATAACTAATCTTGTGTTTATACATGCTGGATTATCACCAAACAAATTTTGGACATTTTGCTCCCATGATATAAGGTTGATAAAGAAAAGTGAAAGGTGCTTTAGGAAAGCACCCCTGAGCAAATGACCTGTATAGAGCATCTGGAAATTTCTTCCACAGCCATATGGCTTCTGTTCTCTAGAGCCTGGGCAAGCTCTAGAAAGTAGCATTGAGTCAATTCCATTTTATTCTAGATAATTGACCATATCATACATGGTAACAACTATTTTATACAAGCAATCACTATTTGCCAGATATGAGGCTGTTTTTAAGAGTATCATTTAATTTTCAGAACAATCTCATGCTACTATTAGTTTTAATTTAATGGTATGGTAGAAAAAATGAGGTAAAATAACTGACTGAAACTTTAAAGACTAGCACTAGAGTTTGAAGCCAGCCTGTGGTTTCTGTATAACCACTATTATGCTACTGTTTTATGCTAGATAATTGACAGTGTTATATGTGCTGCTTGGATTAAATGTCACCATCCCAAAAGTTTTATCAGTCAGGGTTCGACCACAGAAGCAGAACCACTTTGAGTGATACAGAATAAGGGATTTATTGTAGGGATGAGACCTTTCATAATTGTGAGAGTTAAAACCTTAAAAGTGGTTCTAATGGAATGAATTCAGTTTTATGTATGAAAACTCACTTTAAACCAAGAAGTTTTAAATATGTCTACCATATTTTATACATATCACATGTTGGATTTGCTTAGCAAAATACAATTTTTTGATCACCAGGCAGGGGATCAATTAGATCAAAGACCAAATTCTGAACATTAAGTTTTAAAAAATTTAATTATGTAACCATATTTGAATCAATCATTAAAATTTCACAGATATTTTTCTGCTCCTAAATATATACCATGGGAAAAGGTGGTGAGATTATACTTGGTAGACCTGGAAATGCTCTGTCTTCCACAATACCCATGGCTCACATGTGATATTATTATTATCTGCATAATGCTCATATTCAGGACTTCTGCAGTTGTGTTTCATGAATAGATTGTCATTTTAATTCATGACCTCTTTTTTACCAATCCCAGCGCATTATGCTTATGAGCGGGCCCCATAAAATTCAGAATTCTTACATTGCTCCTTTGGCTTCTTTTAGAACATTTGACCTTATTTATGACCTTCTTTTGTCCATATAGTCATCATAATTGTCTTGATATGTCTTTCCACATATTAGGGTGATCTTATCCCCAGCATCATGCTCTGAGCACGAATTGGTTACCTCTGTATTTAGGGCCGTTATAGTAACCAAATTTTCGTCATATACTGGTGAAAAATCTACAATGTAGACTTTCTGTATCTGCTGCCTTTGGGTGAATTTCCAGGTAGTATTTATTAGAGTGATCTTTCCACCTATTTCTTGACTCTGACTGTGATATTAACCTTTTGTAATTAAGACGCTCTGTCTCTTTGACACATAGTGTACCCTTTTAGATCGTCTTAATTTTTTTTTTACCTCCAACCATTTTTTAAAATTTTATCCATTTACTCGTGTACCACTTCGTTGGTACCTTTCAAATGTTAAATGCTGTCCCATTTATCCTTAGTAACCATGCTGAATTTTTCTGTCCTTTTTAATATTTAGGTTTTATTGGATGAATGTAGATTGCACCTTCTCTAAGTGTGTCTTAAATAATTGCCACTTAAGGGAATTAAGAACTACAAGGGAAGGAAAATGCTGACCCATAGACTAAAGCAGAGGGAGAAAACGTTCCCACTGGGTCCAATTTTCTAAGAAGGACCATCAGGATAGTGGCTAGGGCCTGAAATTATGGTCTGAATGACCTCTAGAAAATGATCTGTTCACAAAGGAACTTGCCTGTGTTTGCAGGAAGCAAATAGGGATAGGTAGCAGTCACCCCACTGAAGACAGACAGCTCACTCTCTTGTCCTTGGTTAGGTTATAAAAGCTCAAGAAGAGAAAACAGTCATTAAGAGCATAGAGATAGAGTTGACATTGCAGGGTAAGACATAATCTAAGGTGTGAGGCGACCTTTTTGATTCAGAAAGAGAGGGTAATAAAGTATCTTAAATTCTAAAGGCGGATTTTTTGATCACATATATTTATAATTTTAGGGCATGATTTCTATTGCTTGTAATATGTATTCCTTTATCTAAACATGCATACCTACAATATCCTCTAGACATTTACATTCCACTTTACTCTTACTTTGTTTTGTATTCGGAAATCTCAAGAATAGAAATATTGAAATATTACACCTGAAATACAAGAAAATTGATCATTATTTTAGTGAAGTCTTTATATATTGACAGATAATCACTGTGTTTTCTGTTTAGAAACAAAACATGAGATAACAAATTTTTATATATGAATATATTCAGCAATGCAATAATTTGAGATCAGAAGTGAAATGTAAAAATTTATAACATGTAAGACAGATAACAGGATTAATATGTATTCCTTATGTATAGAAACCTCCTTTGATTTTTTAAAAGACGGATCTGAATAGGCAATTTAAAATGCAGATTACCAAAAGTATATGCAAAAATGCTTAACCTCATTAGTTGTCACTACATCAAAACAGTGAGATGCCCCTTTTTATCAATCGACAGAAATCTAAAAGGTTGACGGTACCCATTGATGAAGCCTATGGAGGAAAATTGGAACTCTCAACATATTAAGTGCAAGCTTTTCTATATCATCTACAGTGTGTTGCTTTTTGTAATCAAAAGAGAGAATAACAAATGCTGTTAAAACTATTCTCAAGACCTCACTGATAGAAATTAAAGACCTGCTCTTTTCCAGTTAAGATATTGAGATTGTTAGCATGGTGTGGCAGAAAAAACACTTGTCTTATGATGAGATAAACCCAATTTTGAACCAATTCTGACACTTTCTTGCTGTGTGATCTTGGGAAGCTTACACACCATGTCTCAGTTTTAGCTTTTTTAGGTAGAAAATGGATACAAAAACCTTTCTTGGTCATGGATTTCATGAGAATTAGCTTATTAAGTTACATATGAAGTCTCTGCCACAGTACCTTTCAAATATTACCTGCCCATTAAGTAATCAACTTTTATGAAAGATTCCGAGGATTAGAAGAAACAAGTAGGTTGACTTGCTCCATGTAGGGATCAACTTATGGACAGAACATATGTGATTGCAGTCATTGTGGAGCTTGTTGTAGCCAGAGAGGCAGACATTGTATGGGAGCCACCAGTAGAGCATGAGATGACACCTACTTGAGGCCAAAGTCACTTAGGATCAAACATAACAGAATAGGAGCTTTGCGGGGGCACTGAGGGCATGGAAACGCCTGCCCCTGCCCAGGGAAGGGGCGTGCAGCTGAGACCTGAAGGACTTGTCTGGGCACTGGGGTGGGGCTGGCCCAGGAGGACTTTGCTGGCCATTAGTATTATCTGGGGAGGAAGCTGGGCCCAGGAACCAGGGTTCTGTGCAGCTAGAGGGAGGGAGACACCAGAGGAAGCTGATGCGCTCAGGGCTAATAGGGGCCAGACTTGAAAGGTATGTTGAGGATTTTGAACCAAGAAGAAGGGGAAACCAGTGAAGGTTGTAGCAGAGAAGCGACATGGTAAGATTTGTGTCACTCTCTAGCTTTGTGCCTTGATAAAATGTTTAACTTTCCTATGCCTCTGTTTCCTTAAAAACACTGAAGTCATAAATCCTACTTTGCGGGGCTGTTGTAGAGAAAATGAAGGAAGCCTCTCTGCTCCTGTCTGCGGCGCACAGCTTGGTGAAGCGTCGCTCCCTCACTTACCTGGATCCTTTATTCACCTCAGCCCCCTGAGCCAACCCCAGGTCACGCTACGGAACCCTGTAGGTGGGCAGGGTGTGGAGGGGGAGCTCATAGTTCTTGGGTGTACTGCTCAGTTTTCTTTGGTTGTTTGTTCTATAATTGGGGTGGTAGAACAATGCACATAAAATGAACTTTCTTTCTAGACGCTTACACAGACATCCCCTTTGTTAGCTCGGGGTGACCTAACAAAGATGTGGAAGGGTGGGGTGAGTGCCCTAAGTGAATCCCAGTGGCGGAACCGGGCCCGTCCTTGCCTTGCCCTGCTGCCATCCCTCTTATTCTCTTGTGACTGCTTGACTCAAGACTTTCCTGTTGGAGCAGCTTCTTCCCATTGCCACAAAACTGACATCCAGTGGTTTCTGTAATGTACTTAGCAATAACAAAGGACTTTCACTGATCTCTCATGGCCTGCTGATCCAGATGCTGGATTTCTTGCCCTGTTATTTGAGGGTGTCTGAAGTCGGTGTAGCATGTGCATGTCACCACCCTTTTCTTGTGCTCTCTGGCCTCTTGCTCACTCTCCCTTGGCTGTTTGGGCCATGCTGCAGGAGGGGCATACTGGGTGGGCACATTTGCTCCACAGGAACCTGCTTTCATGTAGCTCCAGCTTGTAGTAGGTTTTCTCACCGATGGTTCATTAATTGAGGGATCATGATATTCCAGGCATAGAGCAAAAAGCAAAAACACATACACAACACATAATGTACTATAATGGGTTGCTAAGCAAATATTTGAATATAGCATTTCAAGTATAAATAGGGTTGTAATAAATCAGAGTTGCTGAGAATGGTATTACATGGGTTAAGCATGTATGTTATTCCTTTCTCAAGTAGCAAATGGAGTTGCTGGGTCCCCCTTCGTTTCTTTCCTGTGCCTATTGGTGCCAATATAGAGCTACAGAAAAATGCTTTCGTAGGCTAGGATACTTAGCTTTGAGGCTGAAGTCTCCAAAATAAAGGAAAAACTTTCGCAACAACGGTGATGATGTTATTCGTTGAGGATTGTTTTATTCCTTCATATAAGAGTTGACAAAGGTATTCCAGGGCTCGAGTTATTTCCCACCTCATATGCAGATTCTCCATATTCTCAGAGACTTCTGCAGGATGGCAGGATTGTGTTAGAATAAAATCGGTTAGACTAAAAATAGATGATCTTCATTTCCAGATTTGGATGCTCCATGTGTTGGGTTGAAGATCGCTGTGGTGTGGATCTGATGGCTGGATTAACTGCCATGCCCTCATTAAATTAGATCATGTGTGAAAGTTCTTTGCAAACCATTTAGTGCCATGCATTTCTAAGGTATTATTAATATAAACTAGAGGAAAGGAGCTTGTGATTCTTATGTCCACCAGAAACTTTTTTGCACGAATCTCCCCTGCAGCAGGGAAAGTGGCTTTTGAAGCTGTGAAGTGCGCTGCAGTCTCACAGGTGCTCGTTATCAGAGAAAAGTGAAGATCATCAGCCTTGGCTATAGGAGGTCTTCTTTATCTTGGATGATCTGGCAAGATTTTATATTTCTTCTGTTTGTTTTCTATCTGAGCTAAAGATTGATGCCAAACATGGAGGAAAGGCTGGGAAAGTACCTACCCCAGCATAGCTTGGGATCAGAGAGCTAAACAGGAAACCCAGTCTTGATGCGAATCAAGCATGACTGGAGAACAGAAACCCAAGACTTTCCCTACTTTGACCGGTTTGTAAGAAATCTTTTTAATCTTTCTGACCTGAAGTTTAACATTTTAAAGATGTTAGTCATTTCAGAAACGTGCTTTTTATAAGGCAGTTGGTGCCTGGGCCTCCAGTATGTTTTTATAGGGACCTGCTGGTCCACGGGGCGGCTGGAGCCCTGAGTCTGTCTGCCTTGGTGCCCATCTGGGGCGCTTCCTCTCCATGCTTGTCTGGCAGTCATGCTTTCACCCACAAAGCCTCAGTGGGGACCAGATACTCAGTAACGTACTTGGCTGATATGCATGTGTTTCTCATCTCCAGCATCTTATGAGAATCCACTTCTTTTCGAGGAATGAAAAAGTGTTAGATCATATTGCAATATCCGTATTATTTTGTTTTATTTATTTATTTTTTATTTTATCTTTTTTTTTTTGTTTGAGATGGGAGTCTCACTCTGTCGCCCAGGCTGCAGTGCAGTGGGACAATATTGGCTCACTGCAACCTCTGCCTCCTGGGTTCAAGCATTCTCCTGCTTCAGCCTTCCAGGTAACTGGGGCTACAGGCACATGCCACCATGCCTAGCTGATTTTTTTGTACTTTTAGTAGAGACGGGGTCTCACCACATTAGCCAGGATGGTCTCGATCTCCTGACCTTGCTATCCACCTGCCTTGGCCTCCCAAAGTGCTGAGATTACAGGTGTGAGCCACCATGCCCAGCCAAAAAATCCATTTTTTAAATTTACAGCCCAGAGAGATATAACTAATACATTTTTATTTTCCTGAGAATTCTGATTCTTCTTAGGCTGATATTACGTTAATAGTGATTTTAGCACATTGCAGTTCTCTTTCTTACAGCTGTTACTTTATGTGTGAAGCATTTATTTTCCATCTGAAGGATGAGTTATTTGTCTGAATTGCTGCCCTATTGAAATTTCACAGTATTTTTGAAGGGAACTGGACCATGAAAACACAGTTTGTTTGTCACCCATAAGGCGTAGAAATGCATATACTGAAAAGAGAATGCAAATAGCGATAGACTTTGCTATTTAAATTACCAGACTTAAGATATTAAGAGTTTAGTTTTGAATTTACATTATTAGTTGATCAATACGTTAGACTGTTTGGTGAAATTTTGTCACAGCTGCAAAGCTAAAAACTAATGTTGGAAGAACGAAGTCATGGACTATTTCCCGTGAAGTAACTAGAATGAAGCCCTTAGTGTGTCGGTTGTCGTAGTTCCAAACCTACAGTCTGTTCTCTTGCTGTGTACAGTATGTACCTCATGGACCGCGAGCCCAATAATTGGGACCCTGAGGATAGCGTGGGATTAGTGTTGAAGAGTCACTATTACAGTGACTATATGGAAAGTTTCCCAGCATAAAGTGACACTCTCGTTCTACTGAACAGTTTTCCCCTTCGAATTTCTACAAATTATGCTAGATATTACCTGTATCTCATCCAAAAGAATGTGGATTGCTACCAGAAATAAACTAGGGTGTTAGGAAGTAATATTTCCCCCCTTCTTAGTTAGCATGTCACCTGAAGTTCAAAAGTGGATTATATATAATCCATCTAATTATACGAGGCGCCTGTAGAAATGTGTTTAGTGTTTAGTTCTTTTGATTAAAGTGCTGCTTGATATTTACATCCCACCAAAGGCACCTACTCAAAATGTAAGTAAGCTTACTAGCTTTTATGTTCTTACAGGAAATAAAATCTGTTACTAATTTTTTTAATTTAAAAAGTCTGTTAATTTACACCGATTTATAATTTGTCTTGGATTCCTTAGCTGAGAAGTATAGTTCATCACTGACTGTTCTATTACCTGACAGCAATTGATAAAGTATCCATGCACAAAGTGTCAGAAAAGGTTAATATTTATTGATTTTTATGGTGCTACAACCAGTGTAGTTTTGCCATCAAAGATGTATGGCCACCAGCAATGGAATCTGTAGAATTGCAGGATGCACACTAGATTTTATTCTAACCTATGCCAGTATTCTAGATTTTTTTAAATGACAGATGTTTAACTAAATACAAAAAGCCCTAAATGTGCAGTGACTCTGAACCTGTGACTTGAATTCAGTATTTTAATATGAAACATAAGAACAGCACTTAAAATCTAAAAATTCATCCTTGCTTTGCAGACAGCAATCACATTTAGCTTTTTCTTCCACTTAACTCTATGCTGTTGATCCGAATAGATGCCCAAGCAAGTGATAGCTGAGATTATGAACAATAAAGAGCTTGCATCTTTATAAACAAACTATATAATTAGCAGAGAAGGGGGGAAGCCTCTGTTTACTTTTAAAGGAGTTCCAAAGAAGCAGTTTGAGTGCCACGTCACTATTCAAGTATCTGCAAACAAAAAACCTCAGGGCCCAGAATCATGCATTCATTCTCTGGTTGCAGACTGGGGATAGAAGTGAGGAGTGTGCATTTTTTTGTTGTTGTTGATTTCCACCTGTATTTCCCTGACAGAAATGTACTCCTTGGTTTACCCATAACAGCCAGCGACGACTCGTATGCATTTGCTTGCCTGAATATACCCACAGTTTGTATTAGTTGCCTATTTCCAGTAGTTAACAGGTGAGATAAGACAGTTTATGAATTACTTTTTTAACCCGGGTAGAAGTGTATCAAAACCTGTTGCCTTATCTTTAAGACCCTGGACTTGTAAGTGTGAATCAAAACTAAAACTCTCCACCTGCATTTGAGATTTTTAAAAGCGGGAGTTGGACTTTATTTCTGCAAAAGATCTAATGAAAAGTCTTATGCTAAAAAAAAATCTATTTGGACCAGCAGACTGGATTGCCGTGTGTCCTATAAATATATTTTAGGTTGCTTTTTGTCGGTATCACATTTTTCTGTTGATGTTTCTTCCAGCAATCTGTGCTGGTTTTTGTTTTTCCCTCCCTTGCAGACAGCTCGCCCATTTTATTGTGCTTATTTAGAGAAAAGACAGAGTTTGGCTTCTCAAAAAGGAGCATACATTGCCTGGAAAATTACTCTCAGAGCTGATTTTGTTTTAATATGTCGCAGTTAGAATTCTAAAATAGAAAAAATAAAAATTCCTGAACCATGTTTTAAAAGCCCTTGACAGTATGAAATATTTTCTGTAAAGATTTCATTTTCTCCTGATTTTATTTTACTTACAATATTTTTAAAGTTTTCTTCAGAAATATCAGTGTCGAATGAACCTAATTCTTTATACACATCTGCTTTCTTTATCTTTAACAGGTTTGTCCTTATTTTTTTCTTTTCTTTCCTCTTACCCAGGCAAGGTGTCATACAATAACATAGTAATTAGAAGTCTTTCTTAAGGAACGTTTCAAATGCCCTCTAGCACTATTGTTTTTCATTTCAGTACAACCTGGTTTTTGCAGTGTCATAACCTCAAAGCTGTCTCCCCGACATCTTCACTGATCACCCTTAAAACTGTGGGTGAAAACTAAGTGACAGGCCTCCGTAACGCTGCATTTCAATACTGCTGCCACAGCCATTCATTGCTGCCCATAGCACCGTCACCCCCAAAGTAGTCATTACCTCAGTTATGACTGATGTCTCAAGGTGGTTTGATGAGATTATGAATTAATTTATCATATGTGTAAGCTGTACTATCTAGAGGTACATAACAGAAAAGCAATGAATTACATATGCAAGAAAAACCTTTTATATAACAAACCAAAGTGGAAAAAGAACCATTTTAAACCATTTACTCCAATTTAGAGAATCATTTTCAGGTTTGTGACTAACAGTATGATTGAATATGGAATTTTCAAATTCCACAAAGCGAGATTTCCTGTGAGAATCAGGGAGGTTGTGTGATTCTAATAACCATGGCATTTGTTCTCTGCCCCATCCCCAGGAAAAGCTAACCACATTTTTCGCAGCACTCTCTTTGTGCTTTGAGATACTCTGTTTGTGCATGTTTGATTTTGATTTTTAGTAATCAAATTAACCCTTTTAAAATGTACTTTATTTTGTAAATTGTTAAAAAAATGAATCACAGGGGAGAAAATATTTTGACCACACTTTACAGTGATTCATTTGTCTGTTTACTTTGTGCATGTTTTAGTTCAAAATCAACAATTATAGTTGAAAACATTAATATATATTTTAGAACAATTTATATTTGTCTTTCTTTTTTCTTTCTTAGATTGAAACTGAAAACTGACCATGATTTGAATGATTTGATTTGCATTAAAAATTAAATATAAGAAAAAACTAAGCATAAATGTGGCAGATAAAACAGATTTTTTAAAGTAAATATAATGACAACATATCTTGGGAAATAATGATTAAAATAACATGACAGTCATAAGCTTTATCTTTGAACAGCTGATCATGCTGCTTTGAGGATGTGACTGTTTCAGTACATTTTACTGAATTCCTTTTAGAGGAGTTTAATCATATGAACTGATAGACTTTCTGGTTAATACTATTAGAGTTCTCAAATAAGATTTCTTTTTAATGGAAAAAAGCATTTTTCTTTTGGTCATTGAAGTGAGGGTTTCTAGTCTGTGTGGTTTATCTTGTCAATTTGACTAGTAGAAGAAACAGGTCATTGTGGAGAAACCTAACAGATGACCGCCTCCTGTTCCACACCAGACTATGCTGAAACCGTTCAGTTCACCAAGAAATTACCCTATTTTTTCTCCTTTTTATTTGCATAATCTTAGAAAAAGGACAAAAGCAATTTTGTGGGGTTTTCTAACAAGGCTCTTTTATGTAGTTTGCTTCCTCCCCTCCGCCCAGTGAATAGTATTACCTGATTTTAGCTGAAATGATTCCTGGTTTCATTTGACCTGGGAGAAATAAAAATATTATGAAGTAAGAGGGCCCAAGTTCATGATGTTTTCCATGCCACCTTCAGCTGAGCTGCTTCTTACTTGCACCTAAATTGGGAATTTCAAAGTATCATTTTTGGTAGTGCTGAATTTGGCAGGGTACATAAAGAACTTCAGTGGAGTGGGATGTGAAACGGCATCATTTAAATTAAAAAATAAATTTTAGGACGTGAAAGTAACGGAAGCTCAAGTCAGGCTGCAGCAGCAAAATGCAGGTTCTAGTGCACACTGAGCGCCTGCCAGAGAACAAAACATCGGCTGCTCTCTCCCCTCGGAGGGAGGAGGCATCACACTAGCGTCCCAGGTACCAGTGCTGTCATCCTGGCAACGGTGCCAAGATCAGAGTCAGCCTCACTCAACTGATAAAAGCCCTGTACAGACAAACAGGTAGGCAGGACCTGTGCGTGTAGCCCACCATTTTCCTTCAATGAAAGTGAAGCGCTAAGCCTCTGTCTTTCAAAGAACAGTGGGCTTTCTCCCTGCGCCTTTTGTTTCTACTTACTTCCTCTCATTTCTTTTCTCCATTTCTTATGACCTCTCAGCTCCCTCTCCTTTTTATTGTCTTTTACACAAGAACACAGAAAAGTGCTGTAAATTCACACCTTCAAAACCAAGGGTCAAAGAGAAAATGACTTCAGAGGTAAAATAATTAAGCATCAAACACAACAGCAGAACCCAGGATACTTGTCTCCGGGCCTTCATTGGGCAGGAGCCTGTGGAAAGTAGGAGCTGCTGATCACCATTTGAAAGAAGGTATCTTTGTCTCTTATAGAGGCTACTATTCTGTTCTGCTTGCTGCGTCTGTTAGCTTATATTGCTTTAACTACTCAGAAGAGCAAATTCTTTTCATCATCCTTTGTACAGCGATTGTCTTTAATGGGAGCTTTTGCTCAGTAGCGGCTTTTTTCACTTTATGTGCCATGGGAGTATCATATCTTACTGTTATTTATTGTAACCTGCTGCTCGTTAATACAAGTTGTCCACTGACATTCACCTGAGCTTAGTCTTCATTACTGAGACTGCTCCGTCTATTTGTAAAACAACATGTTCCAGATTGCTAGTTTTTAGCTGACTTTTTTCCCTCATTTCTTACACAAAGCTCTGTGTAAAAGACAATAAGTATCCATAGACATCAGCTTTGCAGTTTCGATTCTATGGAAATCATGAGTCTAGTTCTGAATTCTAATGCAGTAAATGTTGAATCCCCGACACTACCAAGTTAATTTATCATTTTTACATGTGATTCTGAAATATTTTTATCTGTATTGAAAATTATATTTCTTAAAAAAATAATTCTCTCTCATCACATCCATATGACATCAATCCTAAGGAAAGATCAAGTTTACCTTTTAGGAGAAAGAGGACAGATATTTAAGAAAATATGCTGGGAGTTTAAAATAAGCTTGTGTAAGAATGCTATGTAAAAATACAGATAACTAATTAGAAATTAGAGAAAACAACAGTTAGAATGTCTGGCCTTAAAATAAGATTTCAAATTAGAGTTAATGTATTCCAAAAATAAAAGTCAGAAATAAAGAAGAAATACTAGAACTTTTAAGGTGTTTTATATAAAGGTTTCATTTCAGTATGCAAATTAGACAGCACACTAGTGTGTAAAAAGAAAGGACAATCTAAAGCTTGGGAAGCAAACTGTGGAAAAATCAAGGAAGTCTACAGCCAGCCATGGTGTCCACTTACAAAAACAAACAGAGAAGAACGCGAAGAAAACTAGAAATGGAATTGTGTGGCTAATAGGGCAAGAAAATTTGAGATAGTACAGAAGAAACTATTTATGATATTTTCAGTAGGTACATTTCTTTCTGACAAACACACATTTGAAATAAATATTTATAATGAATGGTTGGAAATTTGTAAAAAGTAGAGGCATATTAGCAAATGAAAAGCCCTTCGAACTATGAGCTAGTGGGTCTGGAACCCAGGCATTTTGCTCATGGTCAGGATTCAGGGGAATCACTTAACCTCACTGTACTTAAGTTTCCTTGAATACGAAATGAAAGAAACAACTTTATATTAATAGATGAGCTTGCTGGCTCTTCCTGCTGTCATACACGATAATTCTGTAAAATTACAAATAATGCTAGATCACAACCCTAATCTCCTGGTAATCTCTTTCATGGTTTTCATTTGTTCACGTCTTTGAGATTATGAGGAAAGCAAAATCCCTGTTACTGAAATATCAATACTTTCCTCAAAATCCCTGTTAGTAAAATATCAGTACTTTTCTGAAAGGTGGCCCACACTTTTGAGGGAATTAGAGGGAGGGTTTCTGAATTCCCAGGTTAAGAAGACCTGATATAGACAAGTAAAGAACAAAGCCTGAATCCTTAAAGGTTATTTTTTACAGGAGATTGGGGGTGCTTCTGTGGATAAGCAGTGGTATTCCCTGCTGCTGAATAGATGGCATGACTCTGCCGAGGTGCCACAGTCTCCAGACCTCTCTGAAATAGGAAGGTCAACACAAGGGCAGGCACTCTCAGACCACAGCTGAAACCCACAGCCTGTTTGATATGACCTAGTCCCTCTTGGATTCAATTCAGAGAATTAAAATGTTCAAGAAAAAACAATACTGATAGATTCTTTTTAACCCCCCACTGGCTATGGTTAAGCTGATGGCTCCAGATGACCATCCTGGCTAATATTGCCTTCCCAGCAGCAGTAGAAGAGTGTTTGAGGCCAAATGGGAAATGGGTGGTGGAAGCACTGAATGGCCATAAGACATCCACTGAATGCCAGCTGCATACAGCAGGCAGGAGGACAGTGCTCCAGAGTCCTCTTCAGAAGCCAGTGGTGCCCAAGAAGGGCTGACTGACAATGATCTTGGAAATGTCCAGCTCACGTCTTCCAAAGCTGCCTGCTGCCGATCCAAACGCTTCAATATGTGGCTGCAAGAAAATGATTTAACTGCAACTTCCTTGATTCCTACCTACCACACTTAATGCTTACATATTTTAAAATAGTAAGCAATTAGGTAATTCACAAGATGGAAAAATCAATGCAGTCTTAGTAGGTCCTCAATGAATTGTGGCTCTTGTTTTCATTATTTCTGCTGCTCACATGGAGGTCAATGCCCTCTTGAACAGTAGCATAGACCTTATTTAGAAGTCTCATTTATCAAGGTATGAAAACTTACAAGCAGGGCTGAGGTAGAAAGAAAGTGTTGTTTTGATGCTGATTTCCTCTTATCCAAGGAAGGAGAAAGTTTGGGTCACTGATACAATTGTTCTACCGTTACAGATACCTAAAAATCTTGTTTGCTTTAATCTTCAACAAAATCATTACGATAACATTGCCACTTCTGTAAATGAAAGCTTCTGTAGGGCATTTCCTGCCTGTCTGTTTTGCTGCGCGTTAAGAAGCTTTGGAATTAAGTTCTCTCTAAACCCAGGGAGGTCTCCCATTTTCTTGCTAATGGGAATACTCCCAACACACATGCTTCATGCTCTCTCACCTGACTCTCCAGGGTTTTCATACTTTTAACAGGATATGGTTTTTAATGAGGCTTCTAGAAGCTTTAGAAACTTCTTTAATGATTTTGTTTTGACCTTTTGCTACTGCCTTTACTGGGACCGAATTGATTGTCTCAACTGAAAATTTGCTGCCAAAATTTGGATTTTAATATTTTCAGATGCAACTTTTTTTTTCCTTTTGTTGATTCTGGAATGGGCACATATTAAATATTACAATGAAGAATAATAGTCTTAGTTCCCTTCATGTGGTAGCAGGGCAGCACACAAGAGTCTAAATAACTTCTCTATTATGACCACTACTACTGTGATACCCCCAGTGCCTCCAAATGTTCAAATGTACTGAACTTTTCTTTTTTCTCTATGATACAGACATTTTAAATAGACGTAAGCAGAACATGTTCACTGCACCAATTACTTGTAAACAGTGGAAATCCCCACAAGGCAATGAGAAGGGAAGGCAGGAGTAACAAAGGCTTGCCCTTGGTGTGGGGCCAAGCCCTTCACTTTCTCTCCTCCCTGTTCTTGGTTTCTTGACTCATTAAGTCAACATTGTCCCTCTGTTGATTTGCCTAAACTGTTTTGCACAGAGATCTTGTAGAAAATTGGCAAACTGCAGAACACTGAGCGTGAGTTCTCAGTACGTTCATGTTGACCCTTCTGCCTCTCACTGCCTCGTCTTCTCATTGATTGCATGCCTTTGACACACTGCTTTGCTGCTGCTTCCTTGATCATCATCATAGCATCCCTAGATTGCTTAACTACCAGAAAATAACCTTAAACATGGCATTTTTATTTCAAAATTATTTTATTTCCTCTGTTGTTGAGCTTCATATTTGCAGATTTATTCCCTCTTTGTATGTAGGTTTTAATCTAAATCATTAACTTTGATTCATTTTCATAGTCTGTGTGTTTTTTATGGGTATTAATTTTTAGAAATAACTTACTTTCTAAATGAAAAGTAAAATAAGATAATTTCTAAGATTATGATTTTTGGAATATTTAACAGATACACCAAAGTTAATTGGAGAATAAAACCATCATACAGAACAGGATCTGACAAAAAAAAAAACAGTAATTCTAGGAAACTTCTGATCGTACTTCATAGAGCAGATGAAAACATACTAAGTTAGAAATTAGAAAATACATACAAAGTAGTGATCCCTGGCACAGCTCTATGAAGTATTGCTAGAATAACTGCAAAGGTGTTGCAAGCAGTTTTCTCAGCTTCTGTCATTCAAAAGTAAGACCCCTGCCCCTTATTACTAATGAGGCATCAACAGTTATTGATCAGGAGCTTGGGAGGCAAGGAGAAGAAAATACTTGATTATTGCAAAGCAGTGACTAACTCATTAAAAATAAAAGGACTAGATAACTTAGCAGTGAATTTCCTCAAATTTATGATACTCTCTATGAACCTTTGGTAGCTAATGAGTATCTTGCAATTGGCCTGTGCTGGGCACTGTGCTCTATGCCATCCCTGATATTATCCCTTTAATCCCAACCACAGCCCCTGGTGCTGCGCTGTCATGCTCATGGAGAAGCACTTGGGCACAGGGAGTTTAGGAACTGGCCCAAGTTACCCACCTGTTTACTGCCAAATACTTGTCGAGCGCTTTCTGGGTAGCAGCCACTGTTCTAGATCCTGGAGACAGAGGCTAACCCTCAGGGAAAGATAGATGATAAGTAAATAAACTAACTACTGTGCATGGTAATGCCATGTTGGGAAAAGAGGCAGAAAGAGGAAGACAACCAGAGAGAATGGGAGCAGGAAGGGGCTGGACGATTGTGCATACAAGGTTAGGGAAAATCTCTCTTAAGAATAAGACTTTTAAAAAACAGTTTTATTGAGGCATAATTAACATAAAATAAATTGCACATATTTAAAGTGTACAGTGTGATGTGTTTTGACAGAAGTATAAACCCTTGAAACCATGGCCATAATTAAAATAATGAACACATCCCATTTCTCCCAGAAGTTGTGAGGAAATGGCAGATATCTGAATGAAGGGAAGGCCAGGGCCGTGAAAATGTGTTGGGAAGAGCACTGCCTGGAATGGTTGACGGAACACGAGGCCAACATGGACTTGGCAGAGCCGTTGGTGATGGAGCAGTGGGAGTGGAATGGAATATGGTCATTTGGGCTTGGAGTGAAGAGAGAAGTAAGGTAGACCACACAGGGCATGTAGAGATGTTTCTTCTGACTCTGACGGAAAGCCATAGAATGACGGTGAGCAAGAGAGGAGCCTACGTTGATTTGTTTTTTGCAAAAAGTCACTCTGGCTTCTAGGTGGAGAAAGGACTGCGTGGAAATGAGACGTCTTGGCAAGAGAGAGTGATCACTTGAATGAGGGTAGTGGAGGTGATGAAAATGGTTGGATTCAGGATGTCCTTGTCAAGGGGACATTGCTTGAGAGCTGGGGTCCGTCCAGGCTATCTGACTCCTCAGCCTGTGCTCTCGTCAGCTTGGCATGCCGCCTTCTGTGGTGGATAAAGACCATCAGTGCTGCAGGAGCAGCAACCAACGCCTTAATGTGTAGATTTTGTTATCTGTTTTTTTCTACTTTAATTTGGTGGCTTTGTACATCTGCCGTGTATGTCTGCTTACGTTGTATCATGGCCATCTTTTCTCTGCAGGCATCCTTAGTCGCCTTAACTTGGATTTTTTTAAACTTCCAGATTGCTAATTTCCCTTGTATTACATTTCATTCCTGATAGACATGCAGCTTCCTTGAGGAGGAGCTCCCTGCCTCTGTGTCCTGCCCCACACTCCGTAACGCTAGGCTTCGTTTAGAGAGGAGCTTTTCAACTCTTGTTAGATGTCCTAAATTGTACTTAATTGAAAATATGTAAATATAGTTGCATATAGAAATATAGAGGATTTGTTTCACTTCTCCTGACAATATGACCACAGCGTATACCACTACCTTTTACCAGCTGGCTGCAGACAGCCCCTTACTCCGATGTCATTGTGTAGACGGGAAATTTGTTTTTGATAGGCTTCACCACACCAGCAGGAATCTGGTCCATTAGGGAACTGTGGCTGGGCTGCTTTATTCTGGGAGAAAAGTTGAGACCCTAATGGGAGGCGAGAAAAAACAAAAGATAGGCTCAAAGTAAGGAGAAAAAGGGATAGTGTATGTTTTGTGTGTGTGCATGTGCGTGCACGTGGACACACACTTTTACATACCCACATAAATGTATTTTACACATATTTTAGTCATTGTGGTACCTCAATTGACTTAATTTCTATTGACTTTTCCAATATTAATATGTTCAATATTTTATAACAAAATTTAATGCTTTCTAAAGGGAAAGAGGCCAGTTTCAATATTAATGCCAATTAGAAAAGCATTTTTTGATCATTTGGCTCACTTAAGATAATCTCAAAAACCAACTTACCCAGAAACAGTTACTTGGGAGAAACAGACAAAATGTTACTTCTGAGTAATTATTTTCAAAATAGATACTTGTGTTACTGTGATCTCTTTGTATACTATTGTTAATATATATCTTTAATCTATATCATAAATGACTATGATTAAATAGCTATATGATTATGTCAATACAGATATTATATTAAGCTTCTCTCCTTCCACTTAGGATATAAAATAAAAAATGTTGGGCAAAGGAGAAAATAATATGAAAGTTTTCATTGTTGTTTATTAGGAAATCAGTCCTTTAAGAAAGACTGGCATTATAATCATGCAATAATTATTAATGTTTTAGTTAATGAAACTAGTCATAATTTTTTTTCAAGTATTATATAACATAATTTTATCATTTGTTACTAAGCAGTGAAGTTATATTGGATTAGATGTCACTGCTTTTATATAACCCACATATTTTTATATTTACATTTTAGATTATGAGTGTATGAAACCGCAACACACAGGGGAAGGGGTATTCCTAAACTATTGTCCAATCCAATGTCTAACCTTAGCCCATTCCAGCCACCAGTGAACTTCATCAACACCATCATTGCCATCCTTTCGAGTGACCATTCTAGTCCAGTACTTGACGAAGGAAATAAATGACATTATCAGTAGGGAAAATAAGGACAGGTGTCACTGGATATATCCACTCTAAATGGAGCCCCAAGCATTGTAATTCAGTTTAATCCTAAAGGTGTTGTTATATGTTACAAGCCAGTCGTGCAGTCTACAGATGCTATTGATATAGTGATGCTGGAGGAGTGATAGTCCAGAGATAAGGACCTAAGTGTGGATCTCATGAAGTCAGTGTTTGAGGGGAGAGGAAGGAGTGAGTGAATCCAGTTAGGAGTTTGGAACCCTGAGGGTAGTGCTGAGGGGCCGTTTAGGGTCGTTTAGGGATGGGCTGAGCTGCAGAAGTTGTGGGGACCGCAAGTCCAGAGGAACTGGAGAGAAACTGAAGGAGAGTGTTTACACAGGCACATCTCGGGGAGCCACTGGGTCAGGAATCTGATGTATTTGGAGAGAGTAGTTTAATTCTGGGGCATGGGGTAAATTTGGTGCCAGTAGAGAAGGGACCTGGGAATTGAGAGAGTTCAACCTAGATTTGGTAGAGGACATAGCTGAAATCAAAGGAAAAGTTGCAAACCCCAGAATCAGCATTTAAGGATGAGCCAGTAGCCAACAGGGAGATGAATCAGGAAAATAGCTGATATATGGAGCTGGCGCTGGGCTAGCCTTGGTTGTAGGTTAATCAGTTTTCTAACTTTGGCACAATCAGTATGTCTTTACTCCAAAGCAAGTATTATTCTTCATAAGAGCTACATTGTGATGTACTGGGTAAGGAGAAATAAAAGGTTAAGTCCTGTTGGCAAAAATTTCAATGAAATAATGTTCCAAATACCCCAAGTAACCCTGTTTTCCAAGGTGGTGATAACTAAGTGGGTACCCGAGTCACATCAAGTCTCAGGACCTGACCAGCAGCAGATTTCTGGATCTGCACATTCTCGACACATCTTCCGATGTTTGTGAGGTCAGGGAAAGGACTTCATCAGGCTCGGCCAGCCATCCTCTCTCCCTGCACACACGGTGCACGTGTTCCTGTCTGTCTGTGCTGGCAGAGTCCACAGGAGACCATCAGTGGCAAGACCATACTTTTTTGTACATTACATGATTCCTACTTCAGAAAGCTCTAACTTAAGGAAGTTCATCTATAGGTTGAGCCAAAATATTCTTCCTTGTAACTTGCCTTGTTTCTGGTTCTTTTTTCTGAAGTTCCTCATTAGAAGTCAAATTCCTATTTTAAAGTATCCACCCCTTTTACTTCATCTTGAAAAGTTGCTTCTTTCCTAAACTTCAGGTCAAAAATGAATCCCCAGCCTCCAGCTTAATCCAGTTATAGACGTTCATTGTTTATCAAATTGAATAACTTTTTAGTATCCTCCTGTCTGTGTCACATCCCCACTTCCTCATCACATCCAGCTCTCCGTCCTGCTTGCATTCCTCCTGACATCCACCAGCCTGTCCTTGCTGGCCTCGGTGTGGCCCACGTGTGCCCACAACAGAGACCCTGCTCTTGACGTCCTCTATTCCAAGGGGATAATAAGGTTTTTGGCAGCCATTCTGTTTTATTGGTTTATATAAAACTTCATAAGCTAAAATCTCTTCATCCTTCTTCCCCAAACTGTACTCATTTTGTTTTTAAACCAAAATATAAGACTACAGTTGTCTTTCTCCAATGTCATGAGCTCCTTTGTCATTTTTCCATTCTAGTGTACACACACTGTGTCCTGACATAATATGTGCAGCAAGCATTACATTGCTGCTGATGTTGAGATGAAGGTTTGTATCAGTGGGTGTCGTGATGTGATGAAGGGACAGTGGTGAATTTAGTCAGGGTTGGTTTCATGGAGGAGAGGCGTGTTGAGCCGTGACTGGAAGGAAGGAAGGAATATGCCTGGGAGAAGGATGGGCTGCTGGGGTGGATGTAGTGTCTTGTCCAGGGCTTTCATGGCTGGACGGTGTGATCTCATCTGCATTCTCAGCATTGGTCTTCAGGTTGCAGTTCTTGAAACATGACTTCATCAATAGCTAGGGAGAATCTGACAAAGTCGTAATCACTAAATTTTGTGAGATAATTACATAGATCATAGTGTTTTTCCTTTAAATTGAGAAATATTGTCAAGCAGACTGGGATACTCATGTCAGCAGTCAACATATTTTCTTGTAGAAAAGCTACTTGTGAAGCCAAGTTATAATCAGAATGTTGCTTTCTGAGTTTAAAACCAGAAGAGAGTAAGTGAGTTGAACTTAAGAGAAAGTCCTGACTCTGATAGCCTGGGCCATAACCTGCAGCTTTAGGCCCCACCCAGTGGCCTAGGACTGTGGACGTGGGACTCCAGGATGCCTCCTACCCTGAGTGCAGCTGAAGGTTGCCTTTTCTCATGCCCCGTGAGGTTGTCGTTCTTCGCTTTCCCTATCCTACAATTGTCAGTTCTACCATGGGGGCAACCGGCACAGTCAGCCCACGCCCCTCAGCCAACCGTGAGTCAGTCCCGTCGCCCTTTCCATAGGCAGATGCTTCACTCGCGGCCAGCTTATTTGGGAGGTGTTGCATTTTTTAATTACGTTAACTTACGGGGTTTTTTGGAATAATTCACTCTCTCCTCTCTGTTGTCTTCCTAGTGGAGCATTCTAGATGAGGGATTGAATTTTGAAATTGTTCTAAGGAATAAACAGGAGAGGGTTACAATCTGTTATTCTTAATAGAGATTAGGAACTTGAAAATGTCAGTTTGTGTAAACATAAAGATATTTATGTAGTAAGTATCTAATTAGTGAATTCCCTGGATGTCAGCATTGACAGTTGCTATTTTATTCACTGAATAATTTCAAGGTGAGTTCTATTATGAGAGGAAGGAAGGTAGACAGTGCCGTAATGGGAAGCTCTTTACAGACTGGGCGGGGATTTTAAAACTCTCTGAGCCTGTTTTATTTCCATAGAATGTGTTATGGTACAGATCTTCAAGATGTAATGAGGTCATGTTTGTAAAGCTCCACCTCTGGCATATGCTGTGTACTCAACAAGCGGCAGCCCTCCAGGGTAAGAGTACTTCTAGGGGAAAGTGATGATTTGTGGTTTTTGATGAAGAGTTTAGAATGCCTTTCCCACCTCTGCTTCCTTGTTACCTGGCAGAGGGACACATGTTTTAAGATGAGCTGAAGCCATTGCCTGTTTTTTGAAGCCTTCTAGGAACTGCTCAGGTATTTGTGAGCTCTCCCTTGTTTGGAGAACCATAACCCACGTCTCACTTACACTGTGAAGTGGTCTAAAAATGTTCGTCTTCACCTACGAGACTCTGGACGTCTTTGAGTATTCATTCCTTCATTCTTTCATTATGTATTAAGGTCCTTATTATAGATGAGGCTGATGTAAGTGCCTGCGATAAAACAGTGGAAAAGATCAGCAAAAGAGAACACTGTCGTCGTTGTCATCATTTACTGAGTGTGGGTTAGGGATGTCAGAAAACACAAATAAATGAATTAGAAGGTTGTTTAAGATAAAGGTTAAGTAAGTGTTCTAAAGGTGAGAAAGCAGGATTTGGGTCTCAGGGTTGCAGGGAGATTATTTTGAGTTGCCTCCTCACAGTGGGCCTGTCGAGGAGGGAGCACCTGAGCTGCATTGGCCATGAGGAGGAGCCCCGTCATATACACACCTGAGCTGCATTGGGTTTGATGAGGAGCCCGCCGTGCACACACCTGAGCTGCATTGGCCATGACGAGGAGCTGGTCATATACACACCTGAGCTGCATTGGGTTTGACGAGGAGTCCGCCATGCATACACCTGAGACACAAGCTATGCAGGCAGAGGGTGAGTAAGCCGGGGCTCTCAGACATGAGCAAGCTTTGCCTGTCTAAGCCCTCACTGATGGTGTCATATAAACATTGGCATAAAGGGACTGAGTGAATAGAATCATAGCTAGCAAAAAGTGTTCTGCACTAATTTTGGCATGTGACAGTAGGGTCTGAAATCAAAGATTTTAGCAGAGGTCTTGGTTCCTCATCATTTTCAGTGAGGAAGTCACTGGGCATGTGACTTCTAAGAGGAAGGGGACACCCATGCGCACACAAAAACTCTTTCAATAATTGCAGGGTTGACAGGTGGATAGGATTTGAATGGAGAGGCGGAAGTTACTGGACACTTGGATGATGCCTTTAATAACTTTTCTTCTTCCACAATGCCAAGTTTATTTTGTTCTTCATTACATTTTACTTACTGAACATTTTCTGAGACCAGGACTTGAGAATGTTTGTATATAACCTACTTTTCATAAAGTCTAGTCTTTCATCTTTTCTGTGTAACCTCAAAGAGAGTCTTAAGACACAGTGTTTAATACTATAGGATAATATTTGTGTTTCTTACCTTGTCCTCCAGATAGATTTTCCATTTCAAAAGAACTGTTCAAGATCGCAATACTTCACAAATGTAGGTGCTAAATTTTGAATTTAAATTAGACCATCATCATCAGTATTGTCATGACAATCGTTGTTTAAGAGGCAGCAGGATAAAAACTTCCTTTCTACTGGGAAGTAGTGGTTTGAATTTGGACTCTGGCTCCTAAGTCTCCTTTTAGTCCTCCTGATTCTAACATCCACCCTTCTGCTTCTGGGACAATTTCCCCTTTTTAACTTGCATGCAACCATCATGCCATTGAACTTGTATGTGTCTGTCTTTCTGAGTTTATTCTTTGTAGCATCCTTTTGTTCTGTTGAGGTTGTGTTTCTATGTATCTTGAATTTTTTTCTATGCCCACTTAGAGAAAACTTGCCAATTTTGACATCTCTAAACGGAATACACTTGGGAACTTGGGAATGCCTTTGTTATCCTTCCAGGCAAGATCTTCCCAGCACACTTCTACTTTAATTAGCTTGATTTCAGCACAGTTTGTAATTCCTGGATTTAAGCACAAATCTGATAAATTATGTCATTTGATACATGAAGTGAAACGTATAAAGGTTGAAATTTTTAGGATTTGAGCCTTCTCCAAAAGTGAGAAATGATTAAAATCACAGACATGGTGACATTGAAGATGGCATAATGACCCTAAATAGTCATCCTATGTTGTTGAAATGAGTAGACATTTCTATGGGAGTTGCATCCAACAGTGTGGCTTCTTTATGCAAACTTCAGGGCCTATGCTTAGTGTGCATTTGTATAACTCATTTAACCAGTTACTAATATCACAAGTGCTTTCACCCCATTTTCTAGTGGCTTTATATTCTCTGATTTTGTATAATTGAAGATCAGTGGTTTTCTCTGAAGTTTGAAATCCTAACGCAAGTACCGTGTTCATTTAGGTAAAAGTGCCTCTTTTTGGCACTTTTAGGATTATTGTGAAGTGAAATGAGATGACAAATGTAGAGGACTGGGTGGAGGGATAGGAGAAGGTCCTGAGTGTGGACTGGGTGGAGGGATAGGAGAAGGTCCTGAGTGAGTGCTTGGTGGAGGGATAGGAGAAGGTCCTGAGTGAGTGCTTGGTGGAGGGATAGGAGAAGGTCCTGAGTGAGTGCTTGGTGGAGGGATAGGAGAAGGTCCTGAGTGAGTGCTTGGTGGAGGGATAGGAGAAGGTCCTGAGTGAGGACTGGGTGGAGGGATAGGAGAAGGTCCCGACTGAGTGCTTGGTGGAGGGATAGGAGAAGGTCCTGAGTCAGTGCTTGGTGGAGGCATAGGAGAAGGTCCTGAGTCAGTGCTTGGTGGAGGGATAGGAGAAGGTCCTGAGTCAGTGCTTGGTGGAGGGATAGGAGAAGGTCCTGAGTGTGGACTGGGTGGAGGGATAGGAGAAGGTCTTGAGTCAGTGCTGGGTGGAGGGATAGGAGAAGGTCCTGAGTCAGTGCTGGGTGGAGGGATAGGAGAAGGTCCTGAGTCAGTGCTGGGTGGAGGGATAGGAGAAGGTCCTGAGTGTGGACTGGGTGGAGGGATAGGAGAAGGTCCTGAGTGAGGACTGCATGGAGGGATAGGAGAAGGTCCTGAGTGAGTGCTTGGTGGAGGGATAGGAGAAGGTCCTGAGTCAGTGCTGGGTGGAGGGATAGGAGAAAGTCCTGAGTCAGTGCTGGGTGGAGGGATAGGAGAAGGTCCTGAGTGTGGACTGGGTGAAGGGATAGGAGAAGGTCCTGAGTGAGGACTGGGTGGAGGGATAGGAGAAAGTCCTGAGTGAGGACTGGGTGGAGGGATAGGAGAAGGTCCTGAGTGAGGACTGGGTGGAGGGATAGGAGAAGGTCCTGAGTGAGGACTGGGTGGAGGGATAGGAGAAGGTCCTGAGCGAGGACTGGGTGGAGGGATAGGAGAAGGTGCTGCTTTCCCATTTTACATCTTCTCTAGTTTATAGCCTCTTTTTGTAGATGGGAGTCTTTTAAATGCTTTCCATTCATTAACTTTTTAACTTTACATTTGTTATACTCCTTTAATTCTCACAGTAAGTCTTTGTTAAAGATACTGCCTCTATCTCCATATCACATATGAAGAAACAAAGTCATTGAGATTTGAGATCAGTTGTCCAAGATCACGGTGACCTAGCAGATCATGGTGACCTAGCAGATCATGTAGGGCCCCAGCCATCTAACTGTTGTGCTGTAAGACAGAAGTGGTATATGCCACAACACAAGTTTATAAAGCAGCCAGACGCAGTGGCTCACACCTGTAATTTCAGCACTTTGGGAGGCCAAGGCCGGGGGATCACTTGAGCCCAGGAGTTTGAGACCAGCCTGGGCAACATGATGAAACCCCATCTCTACAAAAAATACAAAAAATTAGCTGGGTGTGGTGACGCGTGCCAATAGTCCCAGCTACTCGGGAGGCTGAGGTGGAAGGATCATTTGAGCCCAGGAGACGGAAGCTGCAGTGAGCCAAAATCAAGCCATTGCATTCCAGCCTGGCGACAGAGACTGTCTCAATTAAAAAAAAAAAAAAAAGTTTGCAAAGTGCCCAGATAATTGCAGTAGAATGAGGTTTCTGTGGTTTTTAGCTGGGTTGAGAAATGTGTTCACCAATCTTGAACATGTGAATTACCCACCCACCCACTCCCTACATTCTCTTCCCAAGTCTGTAGTGCTTCGGATCAGACCCTAACTTGCACTATGAATCTCTCCTTCTGTGACGTTTTGGGAACAGCAGCAGTTGACTTTGGCCATGTGAAGGGTAACACAGAAAAATACGTTCATTAGGTTATGTATTTAATCAAAACTAGTTTTCATGGAAGTTTAGAAGGCCATTTCCTTTAGCCATTTCCTTTGTTTTCATTATTCATTTAATAAAGACTTTAGTAATGATGCTTGTTTTTTATTTTCTTTATTCCTTGCTTTTGACATGGTGTCAGTGGTGTGTTTGCTCATCACTATCTGTATCCTATACATCAGGGACATTTTCATGTCATTGAAATGGAAGCAACACAGAAACTTTCTTTTGAGTGTTTCCTAATGTATGAAAAATTCCCTTTGGTGGTTTTACTGTATTTACTCAGGGACACAATGATTTCCTCAAATACCCCAAACTGTAAGTATCTTCACAACAGCCCAAAACATTCAGCATGATATAATGTCATTTGGCATACTCTCTCATCTTAAACATCTGTCAGATGCATACTGACATGGCGTGGGCCCCTGTTTCTCCAGCACAGAGGACCCAGGGGCTAGAGCAGGATCTGGCCCACAATAGACATTTCCTAGGTGTCTCTGTGGGAATGGATGGGCCTAGGCCCTTTGTGAACTGACCCCCGCCACTCTTGGGCTCATTCCTCTTCATTCCTTCCCACATCCTGCGCCTCAGCCCTCTTGAACTACGGGTATACGCCAAATATGCCATGCCCAGTCCTCCATGTCTCGTCTCCTAAGGCCTTGGCCTTTGCACACATACAGCACCCTCTTCCCTCTCCTGGTGCTGGGAAGCTGAGCCGCTCTGATTCCAAGAGTCAATTCTGAAACCCTTCTGAGTGGACACAGTGCCCTACCTACCTCCCTTCAGCACTTACGTGCTCTGTTGAAATCACCTGGTTGGCTGTCCAGCTCTCCTACTGTAAACTCTTTGAAGGCCTGAGACTCGGCTGAGGGTTTTGATGAAAGAATTAACAAATGAATGAATGAATGCTGGCAGTGTCTATGTTCCTGGCTGGAAATCTTATTCACCTGAACAATAGATGCCTATCATTCTTGTATACAAAGAGATTATCCTGCTCTGACAGTTAATGCATGGTCTTCATCCCACATCAGCCCCTTCTTCCAGCAGCCACATAGAATCATTGGAGCTCCACAGTTCTCCCCGGTTTCTTTGTAAAATCCAATCGCACTTTCTTTAGCTCTAATTTTTCTCTCATTTCCATTGACTAACCTTCATTCCTTTTTTTTTTTTTTTTTGTCCTGAATGGAACATTCCCAAGTACTGCAACAAACCATTGGGTTATGCATTGCCTTTAAATATCCAGTTCACTCCATATCTGACTTTTCACATTATTTGTAATATGAGTAACAGTGAAAGCCAGTGAAGTATGGTCCTGTGTAATAATTCATTAATAACTTTGGAAGTGATTACTTATTTAATTGTCTCCTTACAACTGTACCCATTTGGTAGAGCTCACTGGACCTGCAGGTTATCGGGTGGTAATATTTTCAGAGCATCATGTTAGTAATCCTTACGCCCTTGTTACCTTTCTTGGTCAAACCCTGATACATTGTTAAGAACTACTCGATTTTTTTTTAATCCATGTTTTACATGTTACAAAACAATTTATAAAGAACTCTCAGTTTTCTGCATTGTAGTGGACCCAAATTTTATAGCAAAATCTCCTCATTTATGCAGCAATCTTAGAATTTGTTAAGAAGAGGAAATGTTCATTGAAAGCAAATTATTCCACATTTTATTGTTTTTACATTCAGCTTTTTAAACAACACTATTATAAAACAATATCTATGTTACTTTTTAAAATTTCAGATGGCTTATACTTTAATGGCTTTAGAATAATTCCATTTTGTTATACTTTGCAGATTTTTAACTAGAGAATTTAATATATGAAAAAAGTGTTGCAACAATTATCCCATCTTTTCGTGGAAAATTCTATGCCTGTAAACATATTAGCAAAGTGTCTATTTCTTAGTTGAGTTTGAATTGCTCTTCAGAAAGAGAAGCAGCTGCTATTAACAGGCCTCATTACAGCTGCCTCTTGACCTTGAGTGAATAGAAATATTTGTGGCGCCCTCTTGGGGAACAGTAATGTCTTTTCCAGCCATGGTCAAACTTGTCAGTGCCTGAAACCTCTATTGACCGCGCCTATCACGTGAAGCCTACTTGGACAGGCGTTAAGTGTAAGACTAGGAGGCAGAGCAGTTATATAACAGACTTTCATATGTAGCTCCCACTGTCGTGTACATGGATCCCTGGACCCCAAATGGATGGGATGTGGTATTCTAGTGTCTGGCCATGTACTAAGCACTGAAGTCACAGTCCTTGTGAGGGATCATGTTATAGGGGTAGGTAGCAATGCACACTGTACCCATATGCACATGCATCTCTTGCCACCTGATCTTTGAGTTTATCTTACAAACATCAGCTTTATGCCCTCTCAGGATTTGGGGTGGTTGGCAATAAAATCACTAAGCAAATGAATGAAGAAAAATCTGATGATAGTTTCAAAAGCACTTTTTTTGTTTGTAACCTTGGAATTTCTTGTATGTATAATACAATCAAAATTTATCCATCTTGCTTTGTCAAGTAAGAAAGTACTACAAATGAATCATCTGAAATGCTTGATTCAACAACCTATCATCCGGGTTTTTTTTTTTTTTTTTTTTGGGTCTTCTGAACCAATATTATAACCAAACTTTTAAATTGTTGTCTTTTTTCTTTTTCATTTCCTGGTTTTAAATATTTCATTGTTGACTTTTATTACATACATTTAATTTCATTTGCATTCTACAAACAAATGCTGAATGTTAATATTTTCTTGCTTTTTGATCCATAGGATTCATTTTTGTAACCAAGATTTCTCAAAGTGTTGCACAGAACAGACAGTTGATATCAGAAGCACCTGGGGTGGGTGTCTGCTCCCTACCCTCCCTTTAGATGTCTGCTAAAATTCAGAGCCTATGTGAAAAACTAGAATGGCTTCTTGTATGGCACAGAGATCTGCATTTTCGTGTGTATCTATATGATTGCCTTAGCAGTAGAAAGAACCTCTTCATTTTGGGTCTTAGATATAGTGTACGTGTAGTCCCATTTTTTATTTTAATTTTTGTGAGTACATAGTAGGTGTATGTATTTATGGCATACCTGAGATGTTTAGATACAGGCATGCAATCATGGAGAGTGAAGCATGCATCCCCTCAAGCATTTATCCTTTGTGTTACTAACAATCCAATTATACTCTTATTTTAAAATGTACAATTAAATTATTATGTACTATAGTTACCCTGTTGCACTACCAAATGGTAGGTCTTATTTATTCTTTCCAATTTTTTTATACACATTAACTATCTCTTTCTCTCCCCACCCTGCCATTACCCTTCTCAGCCCCAGGTAACCATCATTCTGTCAACTGTCTCCATGAGTTCAATTGTTTTAATTTTTAGATCCCACAAATAAATGAGAACATGTGATGTTCTCATTTATTTCTGTGTCTGGCTTATTTCACTTAACATAATGACCTCCAGTTCTATCCATGTTATTGCAGATAACAGGATTTCATTCTGTTTTATGGCTGTATAGTACTCCATTGTATATATCTACTGCATTTTCTTTATTCATTTGTCATCTGTTGATGGACACTTAGGTTGCTTCCAAATCCTGGCTATTGTGAACAGTGTTGCAACAAACATGGGAGCACAGATATCTTTTTGATGTATGGATTACCTTTATTTTGTGTATATACCCAGCAGTGGGATTGCTGGATTATATAGTAGCTCTACTTTTAGTTTCTTGAGGAAGTTCCAAACTGTTCTCTGTAGTGGTTATACTTATGTTCCCAACAACACTGTTTAAGGGCTCCTTCTCTCCACATTTTCTTTGGCATTTTTGTTGCTTGCCTTTTGAATATAAGCCATTTTAACTGGAGTGAGATGATGCAATATCTCATTGTAGTTTTGATTTACATTTTGATTGATGATCGATGATGTTGAGCACCTTTCCATATGCCTGTTTGCCATTTATGTCTTCTTTTGAGAAATGTCTATTCAAATCTTTTGCCCATTTTAAAATCAGATTATTAGATTTTTTTCCTTAAGAGTTGTTTGAGCTTCTCATATATTCTGGTTATTAATCCCTTGTCAGATAGGCAGCTTGCAGATATTTTCTCCCATTCTGTGCATTATTGCTTCACTTTGTTGATTGTTTTCTTTATTGTGCAGAAGCTTTTTAACTTGATGTGATCACATTTGTCCATTTTTGCTTTGGCAGGCTGTGCTGGTGGGGTATTTCGCAAGAAATTTTTGCCCAGACCAGTGTCCTAGAGAGTTTCCCCAGTGTTTTCTTGTAGTACTTTCATAGTTTGAGGTCTTAGATTTAAGTCTTTAATCCATTTTTATTTGATTTTTGTATATGGTGAGAAATAGGGGTCTAGTTTCATTCTTCTGCATGTGGATATCTAGTTTTCCCAGCACCATTTATTGAAGAGGCTGTCTTTTCCACAGTGAATGTTCTTGGAACCTTTATTGAAAATGGGTTCACCGTAGGTATGTGGATTTGTTTCTGGGTTCTGTATTCTGTTCCCTGGGTCTGTGTGTCTGTTTTTATGCCAATACCATGCTGTTTTGGTTACTGTAGCTCTGTAGTGTAATTTGAAGTCAGGTAATGTGATTCCTCCAGTTTTGTTATTTTTGCTTAGGATAGTTTTGGCTATTCTGGGTCTTTTCTGATTTCATATAAATTTTAGGATTTTGTGTTTCTGTGGAGAATGTCATTGGCATTTTGATAGAGATTGCATAGAATCTGTAGATTGTTTTGGGTGATATGGACATTATAACAATATTGATTTTTCCAATCCATGAATGTGGAATATGTTTTCATTTTTTGATGTCCTCTTCAATTTCTTTCATCAGTGTCTTAAAGTATTCATTATAGAGATCTTTTACTTCTTTGGTTAATTCTTAGATATTTAATTTTATTTGTGGCTATTGTAAATGGGATTACTTTTTAAATTTATTTTTTATGTCCCAAATTTTTAAAGAAAGGTAGAGGCCAGACACAGTGGCTCACACCTGTAATCTGAACACTTTGGGAGACTGAGGCAGGAGCATCACTTGAGCCCAGGAGTTTGAGACCAGCCTGGGCAACATAGGGAAACCTCGTCTCTACAAAATATTTAAAAAAGTATCCAAGCATATGCTTGTGATCCCAGCTACTCCGGAGGCTGAAGTGGGAGGATCACCTGAGCCTGGGAGGTTGAGGCTGCAGTAATTGTGCTGCTGCACTCCATCCTGGGCGACAGAGACCCTAACACGAAAAAAGAAAGAAAGAAAGACGGATTTGTTTTAATCTCTTATAAAGTATAAATCTTTCATAAAAATGCCTTCCATTTTTAAAATTTGAGTAAATGACATTAAAAATTCTAAATACTATCATTTAAATTGTTGTCAGTGGCCATATTAGTGTCAATATTATTGCCTCCATTATTTAACTGATCTATTTTTGTTGCAGTTTTAGTACTTAAAAATTGCCTCTTGTTTCTGACAGTGAATTATTGTATGGAAACGTGGGTCTTTTTTCTTTCTGTCTTGCCTCTTCAATCATTACCATCCATTTTCTTATTTCTTTTCTGATTCCAGAGAACATATCCCAGGCTGGTCAGCAGCTGTTCCTCTTCCTCCTGCCTTCAGGCAGGTCTTGTCTATGTGCATGCTCATTAGCAAACTAACTCTCACCTAATTTAACTCAATCAGCAAGTCAAGGAACATAGAAACTGAACTGTTTTAGAAGTGAAAGTCATGTTCAAATAACGTTGTTCAATGTTTTGCTAAAGGAAATAAGACACAAGTTATGAAGTGATTTGCGTGCTGTTTCTTAAAATTGACAATGGGAGGGTTATAACTCAAATTTCTGGGACCTAAAATTATAATTTGGTATTCTTTCCACTATACTGCAGACCTTTGAGCTCCAACCTACACAGTCTCTTGACTTAAATTTTATTGTCTTTCCCAGGGCTCCACTGCTACATTTGTTCAATTGTCTATGTTTTTTTGTGTGCTTGTTTTCATTTTGGTTTGTTCTGCTTGATCCTGACTACACTTAAATTATCTAGGGGTGGGAAGAAGTGACTTGAGGAGCAAGTCCTGGACATCAGTGACCCAATTTGGCCTCAGTATGATATATTATGTGGTCATCATAAAGGCTGGGGTGCTCCTTTTGGAGTATGTCTCTTTGTATAGTTTCCGTAGTGATTGCTTTAGGTATTAGCATATACATGCGTGACCTATCCCAGTCTCATATTCACCACTTTGAGTGAGGTATGGAAATCTCACTTCCATTTAGGGACCTTAACTTCCCAGCTTTTAAATATTGTAGCCTTGAATATAGTTTTTGCTTCAATCTCAAATGTGATTTATAAATCTCAAATGTCCATGAGGAGGACAGTGGGCCCCCATACTTCTGCTTCTCTTGTTTCTTTTCCTACCCTGATGACCCAAGATTTATTCTTTTGTCATTTCTTGTGTTCGAATAACTCCCTTTAACTAGAATTTTGCAGTAGGTCTAAAGCTTTTCTGGTTTTCCTTTATGTGAGGATATTTTTATTTCCTCTTCACACCTGAAATATAGTTTTGCCAGACAGGACTCACAGTTAACGGTTCTTTTCTCTTAGCAGGTGCCTCTTTCGTCTGATCTTCATATTTTCAGATGAGAAATCTGCTTTTGTTTGAATTGATGTTCCCACATGAGTAATACCTTGTTTCTTTCTGGTTGATTTCAAGATTTTTTTCTTTGTCTTTAAATTTCAAAAGTTTAATTATGAAGTGTCTTTACCTGGATTGGAGTTTTCCTTCTTCAGGTTCTCAGCTTCTTGATTGGCAGGTATTTGTCGTTCACCAAAGTTGGGAGGTTTGCAGCCTTTAAATACTTTTTTTGGTGCAGCCCCTCCTCCTCCTTTCGAGCTCCAAGATGTGAGTGATGGGGCTTTTGTCATTGTCCCCATGTTCCCTCGGGCTCTGTGCATTTTGTTCCAGCCGGCTTTTTCTCTCTGCCCCTCTGTTGGGGAATTGTCTTCTTCCCTCAGGTTTGCTGATGGTATCCTCTGTCATCGCCACTCCATTGTGGAGCCCAGCCAATGATTTTTAAGATTTTTATTGCATTTTTTCAGTTCTGTAAATTCCATTTGCTTCATTTTTGTAATTTCTGTTCATTTGCTGAGATTGACAAGTTTTCCATTTGTTTCACGAGAGTTTATAATTTATGGTGAAAGCATTTTTATGATGCCTGCTTTAAAATTCTTGTCGGCTTTCTCCAGCATCTGATTCACCTTGGTGTTAGCATCAGATGACTGTCTTTCCTCATTCATGTTGAGATTTTCCTGGTTCTTGGTGTGACAGGTGATTTTCATTGTATCCAGGACATTTTGTCTATTATGTCATGAGACTGTAGGTCATATTTAGATTTTTTTATTTTAGTAGACGTTTCCCTTGTTTAGATTTAGCATGTGGACCATAGCCTAATGTTATGGGCCATGGTTCCAGTGGTGGTTTAATTTTTTATGCTTTTGTGATATTTCAGTTTGCTTGTTTGATCTGAGGCTGCTGGAGCTCCCAGTGAACTCTGCTGTGGCTGCCTGAGGGGGCAGAAAGGGGTTCCCTGGCCAGGTCACCAGGTGTCTGTTGGTGGGGAAGGATGTAGTGGAGTCCCTGGCCTGTGCACCTGGCCACCTTCGTGTCACCTGCAAGGGGAAGAGGGTCTTGGGCCCTCAAGACCAAGGAGCTTCCCAGGCTAGGCTGCTTGTGGTAACTGGGTCTCTTTTCCACACGGACCTTGGGGTAGGAGTATACTGCTTATTTTTCAACCAGGCACTTGTTATTGATGGTTTGGTTAAGTGTTGTTAACTTGTTTGCATGAGAAACCAGGTTTTCCTAGATGTCCTTCTCTTTGAACTGTTCCACTCCCTTCCTTCCCCACTGTATTAGTCCGTTTGCACGCTGTTGATAAAGGCATACCCGAGACTGGGAAGAAAAGGAAGTTTAATTTGACTTACAGTCTGGGGAGGTCTCAGAATCTTATAAAACTGGCGGGGGTGAAAGGCACTTCTTTCATGGCGGCAGCAAGATAAAACAAGGAAGAAGCAAAAGTGGAAACCCCTGATAAACCCATCAGATTTCATGAGACTTAATCACGATCATGAGAATTAGCACAGGAAAGACTGGCCCCCATGATTCAATCACCCCCGCCCCCCTCCAGTCCCTCCCACAACACGTGGGAATTCTGGGAGATACAGTTCAAGTTAAGATTTGGATGGGGACACAGCCAAACCATATCATTCCTCCCCTGGGCCCTCCAAATCTCATGTCCTCACATTTCAAAACCAATCATGCCTTCCCAATGGTCCCGAAAGTCTTATTTCAGCATTAACCCAAAAGGCCACAGTCCAAAGTCTCATCTGAGACAAGGCAAGTCCCTTCCGCCTATGAGCCTGTAAAATCAAAAGCAAGCTAATTACTTCCTAGATACAATGGGGGTACAGGAATTGGGTAAATACAGCCATTCCAAATGGGAGAAATTGGCCAAAACAAAGGGGTTACAGGGCCCATTCCAATTCAAAATCCAGTAGCCAAGTTTTAAAGGTCCAAAATGATCTCCTTTGACTCCATGTCTCACATCCAGGTCATGCTGATGCAAGAGGTGGGTTCCCATGGTCTTGGGCAGCTCTGCCCCTGCCACTTTGCAGGGTATAGCCCCCCTCCTGGCTGCTTTCCTGGGCTGGTGTTGAGTGTCTGTGGCATTTCCAGGTGCACGGTTCAAGCTGTCAGTGGATCTGCCATTCTGGGGTCTGGAGGATGGTGGTCCTCTTCTCACAGCTCCGCTAGGTGGTGCCCCAGTGGGGACTCCATGTGGGGGCTCTGACCCCACATTTTCTTTGCACGCTGCCCTAGCAGAGGCTCTCCATGAGGGCCCTGCCCCTGCAGCAAACTTTTGCCTGGACATGCAGGCATTTCCATACATCTTCTGAAATCTAGGCAGAGGTTCCCAAACCTCAGTTCTTGACTTCTGTGCACTCGCAGGCTCAACACCACGTGGAAGCTGCCAAGGCTTGGGGTTTTCACCCTCTGAAGCCACAGCCTGAGCTGTACATTGGCCCCTTTCAGCCATGGCTGGAGTGGCTGGGACACAGGGCACCAAGTCCCTAGGCTGCACACAGCACAGGGACCCTGGCCCCAGCCCACAGAACCATTTTTTGCCTCTGGACCTCCAGGCCTGTGATGGGAAGGGCTGCCATGAGGATCTCTGACATGGCCTGGAGACATTTTCCCCATAGGTTTGGGGATTAACATTAGACTGTTTGCTACTTACGCAAATTTCTGCAGCCAGCTTGAATTTCTCCCAGAAAGTGGGTTTTTCTTTTCTATCATGTAGTCAGGCTGCAAGTTTTCCAAACTTTTGTGCTCTGCTTCCCTTATAAAACTGAATACCTTTAACAGTACTCAAGTCATCTCTTGAATGCTTTGCTGCTTAGAAATTTCTTCTGCCAGATACCCTAAATCATTTCTCTCAAGTTCAAAGTTCCACAAATCTCTAGGGCAGGGGCAAAATGCCAGGAGTCTCTGCTAAAACGTAACAAGAGTCACCTTTACTCCAGTTCTCAACAAGTTCCTCATCTCCATCTGAGACCAGCTCAGCTTGGACCTTATTTTCCTTATCGCTGTCAGCATTTTGGGCAAAGCCATTCAACAAGTCTCTAGGAAGTTCCAAACTTTCCCACGTTTTCCCGTCTTTTTCTGAGCTCTTCAAACTGTTCCAACTCTCTGCCTCTTACCCAGTTCCAAAGTTGCTTCCACATTTTCAGTATCTTTTCAGCAACACCCCACTCTACTGGTACCAATTTACTGTATTAGTTCATTTTCATGCTGCTGATAAAGACATACCTGAAACTGGGAAGAAAAAGAGGTTTAATCGGACTTGCAGTTCCACATGGCTGTGGAGGTCTCATAGTCATGGTAGAGGGTGGAAGGCACTTCTTATTACATGGTGGCAGCAAGAGAAAATGAGGAAGAAGCAAAAGTGGAAACTCCTGATAAACCCATCAGATCTTGTGAGACTTAATCACTGTCATGAGAATAGCACGGGAAAAACTGGCCCCCATGATTCAATTACCTCCCTCTGGGTCCCTCCCACAACATGTGGGAATTCTGGGAGATACAATTCAAGTTGAGATTTGGATGGGAACACAGACAAACCATATCACCTCCCTTTTCACTGTTGTGATTTCCAGCATCCCGAGGCCCACTCCCCTTCTCCTCCACCTCCTTCTCACTCCGATTTTACTTTACTAATTTTACTGTCTGAGCCAGTGGATCTACAACCGCCCTTCCCAGCTTCCCACCAACAGGAGATGTGTGAGGACAATTAGCTCAGTACTAGGAGAAAGTAGAGAGGTGTTCCCCACTCCCTTTCCCCTCTCACCTTAAATCTGCTCTTCCTCCTCTCCCTCAGCTTCCTGTCTCCTTTTAGGCTATCACTGCCCAAGTGTTGAAGCTGGAGGTTTTAGCTCCATCCCTCAGCCCTTTCTTTCACTCCCTGCTTTATCTGATCACGTCTAGTCTGCTCAGAGCTGCTCAAATCTGGACTGTTGCCACTGCCTGAGCTCACACCTTGATTTCCTTTGGCTTCATGTATTTTAAAGCTCTGTTGCTTGGTGAGTCCACATTTAAAATTAATGTATTATTTCAGTGAACTGACCCTTTATTTTTATGTAATGTCATTTCTGTCCCTATTGATTATATTTGCATTTGAGTAAACTTTATTTGAGAATAATATAGCCAATCCTGCTTTAAAAAAAATGTATGTTAGTATGGTATATCTCATTTTATCCTTTTACTTTCAAGCTACAAATATCATTATATTCTAAATGAGCTTCTTCTGTGCAGTATATAATTGGTCCACATATTTTTAAATCCTCTTTAACAATCTCTGTTATTAAGTTGGTATGTTTAACCACCTGCCCTTAGCATACCTATTGATACGCTAGGTCTTAAGTCTGCCATTTTATTTTTTCGTTTTGTTTGTTCTGTTTTTCATTTCTCAGTTTTCTTTTTCCTGCCTGCTTGCGGTTTACTTGAACTTTTTCTAGAAGTCAGTTTTCATTTTTGAGTATATCTCTTCTTAAAACTTTTTTAGTGATTATTCTAGGTTTTATATATATATGTGTGTGTGTGTGTATAAACATTATAAATACATAACTTATCACAGTCTGTTGGTGTCAGCATTTTACCAGTTTGAGCAAAGTGTAGAAACTTTGTTTCCATTTGCTCTCCTTGACCATCTCTCATTTATAAAATTATATAGAATAACTACATGCATTGAGACCATGTTAGACAGTGTTCTAATTTTTGCTTCAGTCACCAAACATAATTTAGAGAACTCAGGAGGAGACTGTGTGACATATACATACTAAGTAGTCGCCTTGAAGTAACCAGTAACAGGTTTTCTAGTGTTTATTTGATTATTTCTGTCAATGTAGGCTAGTGGTGTAGGCCAACACGCGTTTCCAGAAATGCAGCCCTGTTGGAGGCGATTACAACAAACATCAATGACTGAATATCCTTTTGCACATCTCCAGTTTTATAATTATTACATATGGCTAATATTATAAAAGTCATCATCATAACTGAAACAAACATGCGATATGTTTGTCTGCACAGGCCGCCATAACAAAATGAGGGCCTTAAGCAACAGAAATGTATTGTCTCACAGTTATAGAGGCCAGAAGTCTGCGATCAAGGTGTTGGTCAGGCCATGCTTCCTCTGAAGTCACTAGGATGGAACAGTTCCAGGCGTCTCTGCTCCTGGTGGGCCCTTGGCTTGTGGCAGCGTAACTCCAGTCTTCACATGGCATTCTTTGTGTGTGTCTGTATCTGTCCAAATTTTCCTGTCTTTAAAATGACACTAGACATGTTGAATTAGGGAGCTGCAGTACTCCAGTATGATTTCTTCTTAACTAATTAACATCTACAATGACCCTGTTCCCAAATACAGGTCATTTTCTGAGGTGGTGGGGATTAGAACTTTAACACATGAATTTTTGAGGGACACAATCAACCCATGACATATGGCAATTCAATTAATTTATCATAGTATATATAAGTATTCAGATGTATATTCTGATAGCTAATATGAAAGGAATTTGTAAGCTCTACAACTGTGCAGATGTGCGATGGACATTATGTCTCCCACCTCGAATCCTGTGTATCCTTCGAAGTAGACGATTTTTCTTGGTCCTGTCGTATTAAACAGCTGACCTCACAGCTATTCTGCCCTATGACTTGCTGCTGCTTAAATTCTTCCCATACAGTTCAATAAACGCATCTTTGTAGTGAGCATCAAGGTTTCAGCCTTTAGTTTTGAAAAATCTTAATACCCATATAAACCTTAGTATAAAGAGTTAAAAGAAATAACAGGAGGATCTTCAAATAATGGCATTGTCACTGTTTAATTGGCTGTTTGTTTGAAGATGGCTGTAATGACATCTCACTTTTTCCCCCCAAGTATCAAATTACGCTCGGCAACTTTACCTGATTATGTTAATCATGCTAAATATGAAACTGTCTTTCTTTGAGGCATTGGAATTTACAGAAGCTATATTTATGCCTTTCAGTAGCATTCACTACAGCTTACATAGTGAAAACTACCAATGATGAAGTAGATTATTTTTTTAAAAATTCTGTAAATTGTTTAGTACCCCACATGGAAGTTGGGGGATGGGGCATGAGGGGACACTAATTTGAGATCATCAGAGTTCTTCATGCAATGAAAGTTGTGCATCTCTGATATTATCACTTTAAGTATGGGGTAAATCATTATGACCTTAGTAACTCCCAAGGTCTATCCTATGTATACAGTACATATAGTGACAATTACAGCTCTCGAGATTCTTCCGCTCATCTCCTTCTTTGCTGTGTCTTTGGGAGGACAAGAATGAGAAATAGTTTCAAATGAAAATATTAGTGAAATCTTAGTTGATATCGATCTACTGATTTTTATGTACACTGTATAGAACTGCCAGCAGATTCTGGGACTGTGCCCATTAATACATACTTACGTCATGCAGGATTTTGTCTTAATATGCTCAGTCTTTATGTAAAGCGTAATTCTGAACTCATTTGAGTAATGTACATTTAGCATAAGCAGAGTTGTAGGCTGGCATTATTAAAATGCATAGAGCTGACATCCTGGGCTTCTGCTGAAATATGCTTTTAATTGAAGCAGAGTTATGGCGATATATTACCCACGTGAGTCTGATTATAGCTCAGCATTGGCTTGTACAGTAGCTCCTTGCTCCAGAAAACCTTGTAGTAGCCCATATGTTGTGGTTAGGCATTTAAATATTCTGTAGTATGTATATCTGAATTGTTTGATCGGTGTAATCTAAGCATATGTTATCTTGGGAAAGATGCATCTTGTAGCCAAGTCGGTTTGAAAATAATTTTTTAGTGATAATTGTATTTACCAGTGATTAAAGGTCATTCATAAAGATATAAGTTGTTTGATCGAAATTCTACTTCTATTTGAGCTTTGGGGATTAAAAAACTAGCAGGAATAAAGGCAATATTCATTGAAAGTATCTTTTGTTTATTTTTATAACCTTATGAAATTATAATTCACACTTTCCATACTAGGTCTAGGGAAAAAATAGCTCATAGAGACCACCATTTCTCTATAGATTACATCTCAGTGTTCAAAAATAGAGCCTAAAGTGATCAGCTTCAGTGAGTATACTAATGAAACCCTGATTTTTCTCATTTCAACCTGCAAAAGGGGGTCTTTGGGACATGATAATGGGATAACATACAGTATCTGTTTTAGTAAGTAAAGTTCAGACAAGAAATGGTTGCCTGATACTAATGCATTTGGAAGTCCTTGATAAGATTTCCTTTTCTATTGTATGTTGTTATATTTAATGTTCACAGAGATGAACTAGATGGTCATGACAGAGAGGTTTCTCCTCATGCCAATTTATTGTCTCTCGTTCAGCTAACTTAGGAGTTTTCTTTTTTTATTTATGTATTTTAATTAACTAAATTTAAAATATTTCCCATGTAAATGTATAATCTGGTCGTAATATTTTCAGTTTATGCTGCTTTTACAAAGATAGATGCTACTGAATTGTGTGTTTGGGGCTGGTTTTTATGGAAGTAGAGCAGCTTGCATTCTTATTCCATATTGGTTGACCCCAAATGTTGGATAGCCCCCTTGCAGTCAGGAATAACCACCCTGTGGAAGTGTGAATCCTGTGATCATTCACTGTTTTCTCATTAGTAGAGTAGTTTACGTGTTCTGTCACATTAAAAGCTTTTTTTAAAGGGATGAGTTTATGAGTGTTTACATGCCCCTTTTCCAGTTCATCTTTCTTATGCTGTTATTTACAGCAGTGATGTTTGCTTCTATACGAAGCTCCTTTGTGCTGCAAGGCGAGGGTTTCTCTGTACAGGTCCAGCCCTGCAGGTTGATCACAGACCTGCGACCTGTAATTCAATAGAGCTGGGCCCTGTTTACAAAGTCCAGATTTCCTGTGCTGTCAGTTAGGGCAATTGGCACAAAGACCGAGAGCTTTTGGAACTAAATAAACAATGAGAAAAACATTCAAGGCTGCCAATAACCCTTCACAGGTAATTTAACAGCCTTTGACTACAAGGCATCAGTTGTTGTAGATGTCTGCCGAGTATGAAATCTGACATTCTGCCTTGCCATGTTCTGCCAATAGCTTTCAGCGTAATCTCTCACTGAGGCCCACTGGAGCCCCTTCGGAGCACTGTGCTTTCACGTGGAGCCTAAGTGGTCCTGTTAAGACAGACATCCACACCTGCATTCTGTCACATGTTCGTGTCATGTGGGTTTCCGATATGGAACATCAGATTATTTAAAATTGGTGGATTAACTAAATCGAGAATTTTCCCCTGATCTATGAGGAAAACATCTCTACTGACAAGTTGAAGCCCTTTGAACTCTTCCAGATAGGCTTACATGCTAATGCATAGGCTTCTGTGTCTCTGAGGAGCAGTATAGGCTGGACAGGCAGAAAAGAGAAAAGGATTGCTGTATCCTATGGCATAGACTTTTAACCATTTAGTCAATTGTGATTTTGTTTAAATCTCCATGTTTATGTGTTTTTAATTTAACTTGTTTGCTTTCTGATGCATTTGATGGCTTTGCTGATGGTCTGGATAATACTTGCAGTAGCTCTTTATATGACTGTTTATGTTTCAAAGCCAACAAGAAACATCTGTGAGTTAAAATCAAGCAACTTGTATTCATGTAGATCAGCGTCAGCAATGCCTTCCTCTTACCTCAGCAGTCAGATGGTGGTGAGAGCCTAAAACCAACCAGTCATCAGCGAAGCTGTGCCTGCCTACAAATTCCACACTGCCACCACACACATCCTGGTAAGATGTTTGTATGGAACATCTCCTCAGAGAAGGGACCATGCAAGCAGGTCACATTCCATGTGAGTTTCCTTCTTGTATGTTTCATGGCGATGTTTAGTAGCCTATCTCACACACGTTTTCACATCAAAGATGGCTCATTTTAAGCCCCTTCTTGACTTTAAGTCTAAACAGATGTTAATAAAGAATAGGAGAGGAAGAAGATTAATCTTATAAGCCTGTGACTGAGTGGAAAGTATAGATGTCTCACATCTTGGCAGGCTCCACAGAAGGTGAGGCAGTAGAGGGAGCAGTGCCTGTTGATCGGCCACCGAAAGTGTTCCTCACTGGAGAGTCCCCTCTCTGCGAGATCCCCACAGTCAGAATACGTTCTTCTTCTTTTGATGTTTGTGCCAGTATGACTCGGAGTAAGTTACTAGTTTCATTGGCATTTGCCGACTACTTCTGGATCCATGACTCTTACTGTGGTTGCTAGGATTTGGGATTTGATTTTGTGAATTTTCTCTTTATACTTTCTCCATTTTTATTGGGGATTTTTAGTACTTTTCATGTAAACTTGCAAGTTTACATGAAATTTGCAATATTACAAATGTTAACATTTTAATGTGGTCTAACTTTCAACTATATATTTAAGATTTATCTATTTTTTTCTGCACTTATGGCACCTTTTGTCTTACAAGGTGCTTTTCATTTTTTATCAAATCAGGTTGTTTAACGTGGAGTCCTGAAAGAGAGGCAGTGCGCCTTTGGGACCTTCACGGATGCATGTAGTCACATTGAATTGAGTGAGAATTTGGTGAAACAGGGGTATGGAATAATGTGACCAAAGATTTGGATGCGAGAAAATAGCATTCCTTGCGTGGGGGACAGTGGGCAGTCATGTAGCTCTAGAGCTCAGAAGAGAGCAGTGTTGATTGTGGAAGATCTTGGAGTCCATGTTAAATGGTCTGGACCTCATCAAATAGGTCGTAAGGAGCCATTCCATGTGTGAAGACATAGAGGGGTAACGTAATTAGATATTGATTTTGGAAGATGATACTACTGTGATTAAGAAAGATTCAGAAAGACAAAGATGGAGGCAAGCATTCATTAAGAGGTGATGGAAATAAAAAATGGTGTTGATTGTGAACATTTTTAGAGACCAACTACAAGAGGCAGCACACTGTGTATGGAGCATGAGGAAGACGGGTTGCAGATGACTTCCAGATGTATGGCTTAATGATTGGATGATGAGGCTCTTTAGCGAGGAGGGACATACTGCCATCCTAGATTGAGAAAGGAGGGGTAGAGTACAGTTTTGGTTTAAAACATGGAAGTATGTGATACAGATGGAACATCCAGGCATCTAATAGTCTCCTGAAAGCGAAAAATTGAAGATGAAAAACTTAAGTGGGAATGGAGACACAAATTTAAGAGCTGTGGACATGGAGGTGGTCATTGAAGTGGTAGAAGGAAGTAGCTTCAGCCCGGGATTGAGTATATCATGTAAGAAGGAATCCAAGACTAAAGCCATAGGATGACAATGTGCAGGGAGCTGGGAAAACAGCAGGAACCATCGGGAGAGGCGTGAGGGCTGTGGGCGGCAAATGAGACCTGTGGAGGCTGCTGTGTAGTTTGAAGGGAGAGATGTGGGAAAGGCTCATCAAATGCTGAGAGAGAAGGGACGACTTCGCGGGCAGCACTGCTTTTGAACCTTCTCCAGTGCTCTGTCAGTGAGAGTAGAATTAGCGACACCTGGGTGTGGTACGACCGAGAAACTGATAAGGAAGGAAGAAGTAGAACCTGTACCCGCTTCCTACACACCTCTGTAGAGTCTACTTGGTGCAATAGCTTCGTGGCCCTTATACATTGTGAGCTTGGCAGAGTACAGGCATTCAAGTGCGGTTATCAACATTTAAAATTAAGCTACAAACTAGGTATCTGGAACAAACATCTACAAGAAATATATATATAGTCGCCCAGGTCGGAGTGCAGTGGTGCAATCTCAGCTCACTGCAACCTCTGCCTCCCGGGTTCGAGCAATTCTCCTACCTCAGCCTCCTGAGTAGCTGGGATTACAGGCATGCACCACCACGCCTGACTAATTTTTGTATTTTTAGTAAAGACGGGGTTTCGCCATGTTGGCCAGGCTGCTCTTGAACTGCTGACCTCAGGTAATCCACCCACCTCGGCCTCCCAAAGTGCTGGGATTACAGGCGTGAGCCACCGCACCTGGCTAAGAATTATATTTTTAATGTATGATGAATTCATATAAATCAAAATCATAGGAGAACTCTAAGATAGCAGTGGAAAAATGGAAAAAGGACATGATTGAAAGATTTATGAAGAACTGAAATACATCATGAAATAATGTTCGACCTTAATAGTAGCCAGAGAAGTATAAAATAAAATAAAAGGACCATTTATTATTAATGAAATAATCTATTTAAAAACACCACTTTACGTATCTGTGATGGTTTATTCCTAGTTTTCTCAAAAACTTGGATTTTTGGAGGGACCTCACAAAAAGCACTAATCCAGCTGAAAGATGAATCCAGTAGTTTTTAATGTATTTTGTTCAATCATTATTGTTTTAACTCTAAGTGTTAACTTAGGTAATCTGTGGTGTTTGCCAGTTGTCACGTGGGGTCGCAAAGGGAGAAATACTGCGAATATTATATTTTATTAAAATAACAGATTTTAATAAAGGGTCGTGTTCTTGCGTAAAAGCTGCTTCCACTGTTGGAAAAAAAAATGTGTTTCCCTCTATTCTGAAAGAAGGCTGTTTTTAACACTAAAATTATCCGAAATGCTACATAAGTAAATCCTTTGTAAACGATGACATAAAAACTAATTCCAAAACGGAAGACGAGTTGACATCTCTGTAACCCCTTCCCCATGCTTTTTTTTTTTTTTTTCTTTAAAGAGTCACTGGACACAGTGTTAATTGCTGAATTTCTTTTTGTTTTTTGAGACGGAGTTTCGCTCTTGTGGCCCAGGCTGGAGTGCAACGGCGTGACCTCAGCTCACTACATCAGCCTCCCAGGTTCAAGGGATTCCCCTGCCTCAGCCTCCCGAGTAGCTGGGATACAGGCACCCACTACCACGCCCGGCTAATTTTTTTGTATTTTAATAGAGACAGGGTTTCACCATTTTGATGAGGCTGGTCTCGAATTCCTGACCTCTCAGGTGATCCACCCGCCTCGGCCTCCTAAAGTGCTGAGATTACAGGCGTGAGCCACCCCACCCAGCCAATTGTTGAATTTCTAATTCTCTACTAAGAATTCTTTACTAAGAATTAGAAATCCTCCTTTCTCTATGAGGATGATAGTTTCCAACCTAAGAAGATTCATTTGCAGGCATGAGTGACATGATTTTTTTACATAAGAATATGTTGCCCACAAATATTTTGAGACATTTGCTGAGAAAATCCTGCATGAAAGGAAGCCAGGAACCCAGCAGAGGAAAGAAAGGGAGCACCAGTCCTGCCATCACCGGCTCCGCTGCGGCCACTTGGAGAGGAGCCCGGACAGCCTTCTCAGCCCCAGACACACTGGGGATTGGAGTATTTTTGCCATCTACGATATCAAGGCCTCTGGGCATTTGTGATTTCAGGGTATCACATCAATGTTGCTACTTGCCTGGCACCATCAAGATTTTGGTGTCAGGTGAGAGAATGGGTAAGGACGCCTCCAGGAGCCAGTATTCCCTGAAATGTCTAAGAGCTAGAAGCAGTGTTACTAATGCCGGGAAGCATCATTCCTGTCCATGGGGCTCTTGTCTCTGTAGTAACAGTGTCCAGCTGCAGGACAGTGTCTTGATACTCAACGCCCAAGGGCACAGAACAGCCACCTAGTGCAGAGGCACCCCCGTCAGTGGGTGCTGTGCAGGGTGAGGCGGGGCACGGGCAGCGGTTACATGCCACAGGTGTCCGCAGTGCCCTGGGCAGCCGGAAAGTGCGTCTAGGAGTGAGTCCCTGGAAAGCCGCAGCTCCAGGCCTCAGTTGAGTGACAGGTTCTGTCAAATGCTCATAACTCAATATCACTCTGCTCGAGACCCGAGGGCCACCAAGGAAAGTGTAATGGAGCATTTGGACTTCCAAGAAGCTTACGATCTGTTCCTGGTTCAGACAAGATTAAGTAACTTTGTGGAAGGCTAAGAACATGATGAGGTTCATAGAGTATGTTCAGTCATGTGACAGAGGGTAAATGTTCTCAAGTACTTACTTCAACAGAGAGGGAGACTATGAGGCTAGAGGGGTCCCGAAAGGCTTCCTACGGAGGGCACTGTCGCTCGGCCCTGGAGGAGCGCAGGATGTGACTGGGGAGGACGCGGCGTGGACCAGCCAAGCCACACACATGGAGACCCAAGCGTTGATCTCTGAGAAGAGTCCTGAGCATGGTGGTTTCATTTCAAATGTGGATTGTTTTCCAGTTACAATTTTACTTTGCTTTAAGCTATAAAAACTATAAACATATGCTACAAATTTATTCTAAAATATATGCCACATGAAATTGAAACTTACCCAAATGCTGGTATGAGGCTTGTAGGATTTAGTGGCTTTGTAACTGAACTCTGAAATAGCACATTTTCCCATATTCCACTTTTTCTGTTGGCTTAAAATGGGAATTCAGCACACAGCCAATAATTTGAGTGCTTATGATGGGCTTCTTCACAAGATTTATCTAAGAGAAAGGTGAGTACTTGGTTTTCAGAGAGCTACCAATACAGCAGGACACCTCCATTGTTAAAGGTGATCTAGGAGTAGTATTGAAAACATGTGCCTACAAATGTGCGGACTTTTTAGCATTCTCTAAGGTTTCCTTCTTTTGCGAACTTTTCAACATCATGTGTCTTTAAAGGTTTGGAAATTGCCTGCCTTTATGATGTGTTAACCTTTTCTACACAGCGTCCTATTGAAGACAATCTAACCTTAAAGCCCGTTATTGAAAATACCTCCACTGGTAAAACCCAGACATTCTATAGTCTCTTTCTCAAAGCACCACTGTTGAATCTTTGCTTTATATGAAATTAACTTACCTCCTTCAAAATAAGAAAATCCAATAATTATTATTGGCGATTATGGAATACTTACCGAGTTAATCTGTAATTAGCATTTTCCAGTGACTGTTGATTTGGATAAAGTTGCATTCAGTTCACCACAATCATTGGAAACTTACAAAGCTCAGACTTTATTACTGAGTTCCCTTGCTACTCATCAGGGATGCAGCTATCACTCATACTCCAGTGGCCAGTAATCAGGGCGTTGCCTGTTAAGGGAGGAACCTCTCGTCACTGTCTTAGGAGCGTCACCTCTGTTTCCTCTCTTCATCCCACAGCAGGTAGATAGATAAAAATATTGTAGCATCTAACAAGCAGACATTGAATTTTTGTTCTAAAACGGCAAATTAAATCTGTCTCTGGTGGTTCCAAATTATGTAAAATAAAAAAGAAACTTTTATCACTGATAGGTCTTGTCATTTCTATTCAGTAGCATTTTTAAAAAATTGATGAATTGGAACTTCTTTTCTTCCAAAGAAACTCATCAACCCTGTTCATTGTTATTCCTGAAAGGCTTACTTCCCAAGTGTAAAGTTGTCTGAAAAAAAATTTTTTTCCTTTTATCATCATTTAATTTTCCTAATAATGCTGCTACTGTAATAGCTTTTTATAAACCAAGAACATGATGTTTTTCAAAAACCAAGCCAACTAGTTATGCCATGTGGATCAAAGGGAGCAAAGTGTGGCAGAAAACACTTTCCTATTGTTTTAATAACTAATTCCATGATTGCATCATCTTCCCTTAAACTGCACTATTTTTTTTTTAAATCAGTTTTGCGATTTGAGTAGTACCCGGCTTTTGCTGTTTCACGCTTTATGGTCCCCTCATTCAGAGCTTGCTGCTAGAGGTCCCTTTTCCTGCCATTGTGTTCTCACTTGGGGGTATGGCCCCATTAAGGTAGGCACAGTCAGGTGTTATCTTAGGCTGTGTAAGCCATTCTACAGCATGCAGTGTTTGTTCCTAAAGAAGTGTTCACTTTGTAATTTCCCAAATGAAAATAGGAAGTGCTAGAATCACATGATAAACTTGCGTATAACAACCGTGATATTCTGTGAGTTTTTTTCTGTTTGTTTGCTCAGTTCCTAAGGCCCTAGCACATAATTAGTGGCTAGTATTGTTGCTTTTTTGAATGATTTATGAGTCAGTCGGTCTTTGGGTAGTCATGAAGAATATGACTTCTATACAGAGGAAATATTTGCCAGGCCCAAAGCTAAACAAAATTAAGTTATTTAGTTTTACAAACATAGCAATTAGAAGGAAAATGAACAGGAGTTGTGGCTTTGAATTTGGAGAAGCAGGATAGGCACTGGGACACGCCAGGAGCATCCATGGTGACCTCACCGTCTTTTCCTCAGCATGCTAGTGACAGAGAGAGGCCACACTGGCTGTGGAGCCTAAGAGGAGAAAGGAGTCCCACACCCGTCATGGCTCCTGGTGGCATTGCTGTTAGCCTGGCACCGAGCAGCTCAGCCTGTAGCTACTGGAGAGTTAGCAAAGATGAAGGGGAAAGAACTGGCAGGTCTATCTCATTTGATCTTCTTGTATAGATGTTTTTAATAATTATACATCAGTCTGTTGTAATAGTATTTGGCAGGTCATAGACAATTTCTGTCATATTACTTGATAACAGCCCTCTGAGGAGGGAAAACCATCTCTCTTCTTTTATAGAAAATCAAATTGACTTTAGAAAGGCTAGGGATTTGTCCACATTTCTATAACCAGTAGTTAACAGAACTAGCTCTCGGACTAGGGTTCTTCTCTGTGTACCTCGTTGTCCAGGTCGTTAGCCACTCCCAGCGAGCCTCGCCTAAGCCTGCGCTGCCCCTCACATACCTCAGGTGAGTGCTGCAAATGTTCCTGCCGCTGCTCACTGCAACTGAAGTTACCAGAGGAAAAAAAAAGTCATCACATCTTTTTTAAAAGTACCTGGGCCATCCAAATCATTCCTGCCAAAAACTATTCTAAAATTTAATAAGATCAGCAAGTTAAAAGTTTAATTTTTATTATGTTTACAATATATGACATATTGGTTTTATGTCCAATTTTTAATTCCATATCAAATTGTATGTAGTTTATGTTTAGAGTTCATTTAGGTTCAGCATGTAAGTTGTTATGACCTTTTATAGGTCTTAAAACATGATTTCAGTTCATTCTTAACTTTGTGTTACCTGCTCAACATCCAATAAATGGATGTTAATAACCAACTATGTGCCATAGTGCCCAAAACCTAAAAACTAAATGATGGTTAAGAAAATCCCGTATTGTTTCTGAGATTTATTTAATGCTATGTTTGGGCAGAAATGCCACCATTAATTATAAAATGGAAATTTGTTGAAGCAAAGACGATCCACTCTGCCAAAAAGTTTCCAGGGATCAAAGATGGTGAAGAGCTGGCCCTGCATTTGTGATTAACAAAGTATCACATAACTGGACTTCTCTAGTCCACTCAGGATCATTGGCTCTGATTCTGAATGTGCGTAGAGTCAAATTGTTTACCTTTTGAAGATCTGTTCATTTATTTTTAACTCTTGAGTCCAAATTTGAAAAATATATTACAGTATTTTTAGAATTTTGTAGTGTGCTAGCTCTCAGCAATATAAATTACCTTTTCTAATAATATATGCAGTGATACATTAGTGACCCCAAAGACCGAATGCATTGTCGATATTTGAGCACAGTTCTGATTAGTGCATCCTATATTCATAAAAGAATAGTCTTTTCTTTATACATTTTGTTGGTATTATTTTTACCTCTTTATTTGAATCACCCTGTTAAACAGTTTCAGCTTTAACTTTGTTCACTACTCTGGTAATTTTTACCTCCTTAAAATACCCTTTATACATTAATATGTTCCTGTGTAGGAAGAAAAATAAAACATGAAAAGGTGAATAAATATTGCTGATCATTCAATACAGAGAATTAGTTATTTTAGAGTTACAGTGTTTCCTATATCATATTAATTCAACTTCTTTTTGTTGATGTCGTTGACATGAGGAAAGTCTGGAGTCTACTAAGTGTTTATTAATAGGAACTATGAGAACAAACTTTAGACTAATCTTTGAGTTCCTGGCTAATTATTACAACCACCTAAATTAGTGTTATCCTTAGGGAAAGCAAACAAAAATAAGGAGGAAAGCCAGTCTTCCAACTAATAACCGATGTTAAAATTCGGAATTAAGAGAAAAAGAAATGTGTGGCTCTAAATCATTCCATTCTGGAGGCCTTTAGAGAGGATCGAGCAGAAGGGACCTTCTGGCGCTGTTCTGAGCTGCCACTCACTGCTGGGACAGGAGCCACACGTGGGGCCCAACTCTGCCTGTTGCTTTGGGCCATTGAACAGCCAGGGTAGTACAAAAAACTGTCATTGCTTGACAGTGAAACAGGAAGGAAGCAAATGGACCCCGTGGCCTTCCTAACCTTAGACCACACTTTTTCCAGGCAGAGCGTATGGAATTGTGACTGCCAACATCAGAGTTCTAGTCTAGCCCTGCCACCAGACTATGGACTGATATGTTTCCCTGATTGAACTTCAGTTATAATCTTTGTAAAATGAAAATAATTTCTTGTTGACTGGCTCATAGAATACTTATGAGGATGGAATATGAAAGCAGTGTGTGTACTGCAGCATCCTGTGTGAACATACAGCATTTTTGCCATCTCCATGTCACTGTGTGTCCTCAGCATTGGCACTCATTGTATGCAGACACATCCACTGCCCCTCACAGCACACAGCAGTTTCACCATAAGACAGACTTCGGCATACAAACTAATAAATACAAATGCAGTCTAGTGTTGATTTTTCTGCTGACGTTTGACAACTTACTGTGAAATAGGAATAAATGTGAGCTCTCGGTGGGAATAGTTAACATACTTTAGGATGCTAGATGCACTGCCAGAAAACTTTAACTACGTCATGTACTCTGTTACCAAAGGAAGTATTTTGACATATTATAGTGAAATGGCACTACTGTTAAATTAAGAATTGTCACCAAAATAAAATTTAAATACTCCAAAGAAGCCATTTAGCTAATACTGTTTCTCGGACCACATGAGTTTACAAATTACTAGTGTATTATATGAAAATTCAAGAAAGTCTAACCATTTCAGCCATTGAATAGTAGCCCCCATCCATGAATGTCATCCATTTTATACTTGGCATTCTCTCTCTCAGTTTCACTTTAAGCTTTTATTTAACAACTACAGTGTGGTTTCGAAAACATCTCCAATTTTTTCCCTCTCAGAGGAAACATGCAATCATATTATGTTACAATAAATGTAGATAGCTGGAAGTAAATTCAGATTGTCCTTAGTTCTTAAAAATATGGATTGAAAAACACACACAAACGCACACACACTTTTCGATGAGTATGTGAATGAAGAATATGCCGTATCCTGTATATTCCAGACAAAAATCCTGTTTATTCTTCTATTTTTTCTCTTAGTTATATTATTTCTAAGAAAAAGGGGGAGATTTTTTAAAATGTATTATGTTTATCTTTCTTATACATTCTTTAACATGTTAATGTATGTTCATATAGGATATTGTGTCTAGTATTTGTTTAAAATATTAGGACTAGTATCCTTCATGTAAAGGTATTTTTGAGCTTTTTAAAAATATTTTTTATTCTCGATGGGCAACCCCAACACCAGACATTTTGACTAAACATCATATAAGTGTTTCAGGAACAGACAAAATACATTAGCTGATACACATCGCGTGTGTTAGAAATGGCATACTCCGAAGTGCATTGAGCACTGGAAAGTTCATGCTGCTTAGAGGCGTGTCGTTGTGTCAGTACCGGGGAATTTTTTTCAAGCTTTTAATCCATACATAGATAAGTCCAAAGTTGTTAAGATCACATTGATTTTATAGCTCCTTTGATAGACGATAACATCATCAGTGTCTGTGAAATTTATTACAGCAATATGTAGAGAATGGTGCAATTATTATTATAGGTCTTACTGTATTACCAAACCCAGTAAGATTGTACGCGAGGAACGGTGAGCTCACGTGTGGTGTCCGTGTTCATCTCCTCCAACAAGAATGTGTGTTGAGAAAAGAGCCACCTTAGCAGGAAGCATCACAGGCTTCTCTATTGATCGGGCTCTGTTTAAGCAATAAGAGAATGTCTCCTTTCAGTGACAAATAAAATTCTTGAAGAGAGGAGAATATGATGTGAACTCTGAGGGGTTAGTGAAGCTGCCTGTCTTGTGTGCCTGTGGCCTAATTAAAAGTTAGAAAAATACAGCCAAGGAAATTAAATTTTAAAGCAAAACTAGAAAAAAAAAACTGGATTAGAATAATGTTCAAATACTTAGGGATACATTTTTTAAAATATATTCAAGACCTGTACAATAAAAACTACAAAACACCGCTTAGAGGAGTTAAAGAAGACCAAGATAGTAGAGATTCCACATTTATAGATGGGAGGACTCAGTGTTGTTAAATGTCAGGTATCCCCACATTGATCTATAGATTCAACACAATCCCAGCCAAATCCTAGGAGGCTTTTGGTAGAAATTGATGAGCTGCTTCTAAAATGTGTGTGGGAATGCAAAGAACCTGTAATAATCAAAACAGTTTTGGAAAAGAAAACAAACTTGGAAGACATGCATACTGGATTCCAATACCTACTCTAAAGATACAATAATGAAGACATATGGATGCAAGAAACATAGTCGGAAGGCCACAAATAGACCCACACAAGCGTGTGGTCAGTTGATTTTCAACAAGATGCCAAGGAGGAAGGAATGATCTTTTTAATTAACGGTTCTGAAATATTATATATCCATATAAAAAAATGAACCTTAACCCTTACACCATTCAAAAAATTGCCTCAAAATGGATCAAAAGCCTAAATATGAAAGTTAAACTTCTAAACCTTTTGGAACAAAACATAGGAGAAAATTTTTCTGACTTTGAGATATTCAGAGATTTCTTGGATAGGATGTAAAAAGCACAAATGGTGAAAGAAAAAGAACTGATAAATTGAACCATCAAAGTTGAAAGCTTTTGCTCTTCAAAAGATACTGTTAAGAAAATAAAGAGAAAAGATATATATATATAGATAGATATAAAATAGTTTTTATATATTTTTATATATATCTGGCCTAGTTCTTGATTCTAGAGTACTTAAAGAACAAATCACCACTCAAAAATAAGACAAAAACCCAACTAAGAAAAATAGCATTGTTCAATTCTGTAACCCTAAAACTTGAAGTATAATAATAATAAAAAAAATAAATAAACAAACAAAAAAAATAGCAGAAGACAATGTGCAAGTGGCCAGTAAGTAGATGAGATGGTGTTCAATGTCACCACCCTTCAGGACAATACAATTAAAGCCACGAGGAGATGCCACTACATACCCATCAAAATAGCTAACAATCAAAAGACAACCTATACCAAATGTTAGTGAGGATGTAGTCATCTAGAATTTTCAGACATCGCTGGGGAGAGTGTGAAATGGTACAGCCACTTTACAAAACAGTTTGATAAGTTCTTATAAAATTAAACATACACCTATCCACTATATAACCTAGCCATCCGACTCCTAGGTTTTTAACCAAAATAAATGAAAAGATGCATCCACCTGAAACCTTATCCATGAATGCTCATGGCAACTTTGTTCAAGTAATCGAAAGTTAGAAACAACTCAAATGTCTATCAAAAGATAAGTAAATAAACAAGTTATGGTCAATGGAATACTATTTAGTAAGAAAAAGGCCTGAACTAACAACATGGATGCGCCTCAGCAATGTTATCCTGAGAGAAAGAAGTGAGACCCAAGCAAATACTACTCTACGATTCAATTTATGAAGCTCTGGAAAAGACAGATCTCTAGGGACAGAAAGCAGATATTTGATTGACAGGATGTGGGAGGTTACTGACTACAGGAGGACACTGAGGAACATTTTGGTGTCCAGGATATGTACATTATCTTGATTGTGGTGGTGTAACCACAGGGCTGTATAGATTTGTCAAAACTCAGCACAATGTGCAAGCTACATGGGCACTGTTTATTGTATATCACACAGACCTCATAGAGCATTTAAGCGAGAAAGGGCACATGCCAAGAATTATCCTACTTCCTTTCGAAGATTCTATGAACTTAGCATTTTAGATATTGGAATTACATTTCTTGGCTGGGGGCGGTGGCTCACACCTGTAATCCCAGCATTTTGGGAGGCTGAGGCAGGCAGATCACCTGAGGTAAGGAGTTCGACACCAACCTGGCCAACATGGCGAGACCCCATCTCTACTAAAAACACAAAAAATTAGCCGGGCATGGTGGTGGGCACCTGTAATCCCAGCTACTCAGGAGGCCAAGGCAGGAGAATCGCTTGAACCCAGGAGGTGGAGGTTGCAGTGAGCCAAGATCCCACGACTGTACTCCAGCCTGGGCGACAGAGCGAAACTCTGTCTCAAAAAAAAAAAAAAAATTCTATTTCCTAATCATAAAAAAATGAAATTTTGATGCTTTTCTGTGATAATTATTTATATACTTTTCATTTACCATCTTATATGTTAAATCCATGAATTATGAAAATGATATTCTCTGAAAATCAAACATCTAATATTCAGCAGCTTGTACATGTCCTGTGCTGCCTAAAATTTTTAAACATCATTCTTTACCAAATTCAAAAGTATTATCTTTAGAAAAATTATTGGAGATTTCTATGACACATTATTGATGTATTTTTAAGGATAATTGCAGAAGTGGGGGAAAGGCAGTAAACATCAGTGAAACTTCAGGTACTCGGGGTAATAGAATATTAAGCATAGAAAAATTAAACGCTCTGTGCAGATGTCAATTAGTTCCTTCTGCGAATCTGATACCCATCAACAAATGGAGTACTTAGTAACTTACCCTAGCTCAACCAAGTTTACTGTGACTGGCTTTGGTTAAGTTGGACAATAGCCAAAGGAATCTAAAATGCTACAGCAAAATTGTGGTCATTAAAGTAAATTTTGTCTGAATTTTATCTTTTTTTCCCTTAAATTTCTGGATTTGATTCACTTTGACACTCTTCTGATTCTGTTCTATTTCTGCATGCTATTAAACAATTTGAAACTGTATATGACAACAGAAATCTCTTTCAAAAGTCAAAGAATTGACAGGGTTTCCTGAAAATTTCAACCAAAGTTTTTATAACTTCACAGATGATTCATACACAATGTAAAATGCTAAGTGTAGCTGAGTTCCTTTTGAACTTATTTTTGCAGAAGTGATTTTTGGGAAACTGTGAGCTTTCATAAATGCCACATTAACTCTTCTTACAGAAGCAAAACAAAACCTCACACTCAACTCTTGACTTTGGCATCCAGTCTTCAGACGACCTCTGATGTATATGGGTGGGATTTGTGCACCATACAGCTTTGCGAAATGTGAAATTGCCCTATGGATGAACTGCAATCTGTTCTTTTGTGTATTTTACTAAAGAATGTCAGCTGAACTCGTGGGGAAGGGGAAGTGCTGATATGTCCTCCCTTGTCTTCAAGACACAGATGGCCCAGATATGTTTGTGGCTGAGTGTAGGTGAAGGGGGTGCTGAGCTGCCATTCAACAAAGATGGATGAAATCGGAGAAGTTCAGAGGAAAAAACTGGCATACACCCAGGGGCATTAGCATATGAAACCATTGTCTGATGTGCTAGTTCAGCTTACTTGCACATTGAATTTTCAGTTAGGTTTTTTTCTAGTTTATTTAATTACCTGCTTATAACAATTCAAGCAAGTCATGAGAAAGTTATAACTTATGAAACTAAAAAGCTGATAGCACGCAGATAAAACCTGGAAACCAAAATCTGAGGGTAGTAGAAGGGACTCCTGTAGAAGCTTCACATAGCTGTTTGTGTGCACACACTTCGATTTGGGTTATGTTTAACAGCAGTGCCTTGCAAGATGAAACTGCTGTGGTTTTCAGTAGCTTTTACCTTCTGTATATCTTTGATTTCTAGAACTATATATTTTAAATGTTGTGGCACCAATAAAATTTTGAGAATTGTAAATCTAATAGCAATTAGGCCATTTTCTTTCTAAGATGAGTCATCTCTTTTACAATGAAGAGAAGGCAAGTCTTGTGTGGCAATTTTTCTATTTAAAATGGGCTGCTAGCATTATAGCATATACATATATATTCTTCTTTAAAATCAATACCTATTCGGTATTGGTCACTAAATTTAAACATGGTTATTCTTAACATTTCCTAAAATTTATTCTTACCTTAATGGGCTTTCCATATATATTATGAAATAGGTTGAGTTCTATGTTCAGATTTCTCTAACATTTCTGAGCCCACTGATTCTTCACTTGTGGCCATCACTACATCACTTAATCTAGTTCACCCACTTAAACTCTCAGATGTATCCCAGACTCAGCATTTGAAAACTAATGTTCAGCCAAGTCCCTTCAGGAGTATTCCTTGCTTCTAGTTAGCCTTCTCAAACAGTTTTGAGAGAAAATAATAGGTCCAAAACTTACTTTTCTACATGAACCTTGTAGGTCCAAAGCTTACTTTTTAGCATGAACCTTGTATAAATTTGAACTCTCCAGCTTCGCATGGCACCAGGAAAGCTGAAAGGATATCAGGGTTTTAGGACTTCCCCACTCCTCACAATGGAACTGCCACAGCCAGTGAGAACTGAGGTCATGCATCTTAGAGCAGTAGCATAGGGGAGGGATGAAGATGTATCCAGGCTGAAGCCAGCTGCTGTTCTGAGTGCCCACGATACATTCATGAGCAAAACGAGGAGTCTTGGCCTTCTGGAGTATTTATTCTAGCAGAAAGAGACAGACACTGAACAAAAGGCATAGTAAATAATTACATTCCTTTTTAAAAGATAAAGTACTATAAAGAAAAGACAGTGGAGAAAAATAGTGGGGGTTGGGAGTTCTGGAGATGGCCCTGGGTGGGGAGGAGACAGGCAGTTACCATAGTCGATTGGAAGGTCTGGGTAGGCCTTGTTGGGATGGAGACATAGGAGCAAGGAGTTGAAGGTAATTAGAGAACTCGTTGTGGGTCCGCCTGGCACAAGAGTGTTCTGGGTGGAAAGAAGAACCAGTGCAAAGTGAACTGAAACATCACTGGTGTGATGGGGCAGATTGAAGGTGGGGAAATCCGCATTTCCATGGTGAGCTGAGGATTCGTGGATAAGAGCTGGATGACATCAAGAAGGGCTGTGAGCGTCACGGAAGGTGGACCTTCAGACTTCTGTCGAAGAGAAAACTACAGTGAGGGGTCTCCCCTGGGACAGTTGGAGTTTGTTTATTTGCAATAAGGCAAGTGTTGTTGTTTGCAGAAAACTGTGACAAGGCCCTTTGCATAGAAGTCTCACAGTGATTTTTGGGATGGGCACAAAAGAGTGAACATTCTCACTTCAATTTTAAGAAGACAAAGATTCAAACAAAAAATAAGCAAAAGAAGATATTTAAGCAGCCAAAAAGCACATGAAATGATGCTAATCATCGCCAGTTTTTAGGAACGTGAAAATTAAAACTATAATAACATGCCACTGCACACCCACTAAGATGACTGAAATTAAAAAGACTTAAGAATGCCAAACATTAGTGAGGACATGGAGGAGCATCTGGAATTGTTGGGCATTGCTGGTAGTACTGTAAAAATGGTACAGCCAATTTGGAAAACAGTTTAGCCATTTCCTGTAAAACTAAACATATACTTACTTACCATATGACCCAACGATTCCACTCCTAGGAATTTACCCAAAAGGGATAAAAGCAAAAAGCATATATTCATGCAAAGATTTATATATGAATATTTATGATAGTTCTATATGTTTATAATAGCTATTTATAGTCAAAAGCTAAAAATAACTCTAGTGCCCATCAACAGCAGATGAATGGACAATTCATCCGTAACATGGAGTATTAGCAATAAAAATGAAGGCACTATGGATGCACTACATTATGGATGAGTCTCAAAAGTGTGCTAAGCAAAAGCGCAGACACAGAAGAGTGCACTCTGCAGTTCCACTCATTTCCCGAGCCGCAACAGGCAGTTCTCATCCATAGGGTTGTAAGCCAGAGCTGTGTTTTCCTGGGGCTGGGACAGGGGACCTCAGGAAAATTCTGAGGGTAATGAAATTATTCTATATCTTATTTGTGGTGGTGGTTACAAGGGTGAGTAGATGTGTCAAAACTCATTGAGCTATACACTTAGAAGTGTATCCAATTAACTGACTATAAATTACACTTCAGTAAGGTTGGTTTTAAAAAATGTTTGAAGCTAAACTGTTAAGAAACAAAAAAATACGCAGCGATTAAGTAATAGTTAACAGTGTTCCCTAATCTAAGGAAAGCTCGTCAGAAAACTGTATTTAGGGCTGGGCTTTAAATGGTTCAAATGGTGAACACTCCTTTGGGTATAGGATATGGAAAAATACTTTGTAATTTAAGATGCAGAAAAACAATTTGAATCAGGTAAGCTCTCATTTAGGAACATTCTTCTAAATGACTGGCGTGTATTTTAATAAGTGACTGAAGTGTGAGAGACAAAGACTGGTGCACTATTCCAGAATAAAGGAGATTCACAGACACGCCACATAATGCTGTGGTCCGGTTTGGACCCTGCGCCAGAATTTCTTCTTCTTTTATCTGTTTTGCTATAAACCACATTGTTGGAACATCTAATGAAATTAGAATAAGGTCTGTAGATTGGAGAATATTAGTGTATCATTTTTAAATCCCACAGTTTTGTGCATTGTTCTGTGGCTGTGTAAGAGAAGGTCCTTGTTCATAGGAAGCTCACAAGTATTCATGAGTAAAAGAGCATCAGTTCTTCAGCTTACTCCCAAATGGCTCATAAAAAAAAAATGTGTATATATAGAAAGAGTAGATAAATGCTGTAAAACATTTACAATGAGATAAAAGTATAAGAGAGTAGTTCTTTGTGCCATCCTTGCAACTTGTAAATTTGACATTATTTCCGCTTAAAAAGTTACAAAAAATAAGATCAAGATCCAGGTTGTGTCAAAGGGCTGTTTGCTGAAAAGCATGCAAATTTCCTGTGAGGAAATAACTGGGAAGAGCCACAGAAGTGATGAAAATGAACATTTCCAGAGAAATTGTGTCTGGAAAGTCTGCATCCTTGTTTAAAGCAAACAGTCAGGAAGGAGGCCAGTGGCAGAAGGGGAGGCAGTTCGACCCTGAATGTGGACTGTCCCTGCTGGTGTGTGTCCATCTGTGCAGAGAGCAGGGCTCATGTTTAGATTCTCAAACGGTAGGGAGTATTACAGTGCAGTTCACTTTGGACACGTGTCCTATGACCAGGAAACCATATGCAAAAGACGGCAGCGGCACTCAGGACCCAGCGACAGGAAGAATAGATGATGGAAAGGGCCGGGGAGGGCACTCGTGGGCAGTGAGCGGCCACAGCACAGTGTGGACAGAATTCTGGGAGTGACTTTGAAGACAGAGTTGAGATTTTTTTCTACAATTGATGAGGGTGGAAGAAGTTTATTATTGATTTATCAACTATCTAGACATAAAAGCAACGAAATTTCAAGGAGACGAAATGGTGTCCAAATGTTAGAGAAGTGACAAGCCGTGGTTCTGCAGCTGTATTCATTTTAAGCAGGCTAGAAATCTTTACTCAATGTATGTATTTTCTTTCTCTGACTTCCTGTGTGAAAAAACAGTTTGACACCCTGAAATGACTCACATCCTGAATATGTTGCTAATTGAATATTTATCGAAGGCTGACTTATATTTGCAAATTCATGGAATGTAAAGGACAGTGGAGCTAGATCTGCGTGACTGCAGGGGCAAGTGTGAACGGCAGGGCCTGGCTTGGGCGATTTGAGTGTGCCAGGAGCCGTGGCACCTTAGGGCTAAAGGAGACCACATCCATGGTAAACAGCATTCTGGATGCTGTGTGGAGAGTGGCCAGAGGGTCACAAAAGGGGCAGCCAAGAGACAGGTTCAGAGACTACTGCAGTAACCGAGCTGAGGGTGATTCGATCCTACACTGGGTTGCAGTGTGGGTGGACCAGTTGTGAAGTGGGCAGGTTCTAAAAAAAGCATTAGGCTATCAAAGAAACCTTAACACTGATCCTCACAGAAAATAGTATTTTATTCGCTTCCTAAATTATTTTGCTGACCGTGCTGTTTGTAGCTCTGGGTCAGCTCTGTCTCACTGTGCATTTGTTATATTTCTTTTTTCTTTCTGTTTTCTAGATTATTATCAATGAAGTCTTAATCTTTTTTAATGAAATCATTTGGAAGAGGCTTTGGTGGGAGAGGCAGAAGGGAGGGTGACAATGCTGGGCCCTTCCTCTGTCTTTTTCTGGGCAGTTCATTCGGCTGTGCTCTGAGGCTACCATTTCTTGTTTAAGAGATACCGAGGGACTTGTGCTTGGCTCTGCTTTTTTCCTTAGACAACTTTGTGTTAGATCAGGGAAATCTATATGCATTCAGAGTGAGTGGTTTTGTTATTTTTACTTTGAGAATTTTTAGAATTGTTAGAAGCTTGGGATTATAAGGCCATGTATTCTTAATATATTAAAATTCAGTTTTAACCACTGTGATGTGAATACATGGTCTTTGGAAGCTTTTAAAGTAAATTCTTTCAAAATACATGATAAACTCAGCATTAGGTATCATATCTAGAAAACTACTCAAGTTTGGTTTTAATACTAAACAAATAGTGTTCAGTATTGAAATGTTTACAAATTGAATAGTAGGATTTTATGTTAATCAGCCCGCTGAAAACGGAGGCAGGACTTTATGAAACAGAGAAGGCAGCTTCCGTAAGGTAAATCCTACTAGATGAGGCAGGCGCCAACAAGCATTTTCTTAGTTTTTCACAGCGGTGGCTTTTGAGGCTGTAAAATGATGACTCTGGCCTCCTGTGTGAATAAGAGCATTTAAGGTGGACAGTTTGGGGTTTCAGTTAGTCACCTTCCTTGATTTGAGAAACGCTTATCACTTATTATGGCAGTAAAAATGATTGGTTACTTACAGTCTTAGGACATATTTTAACTGTGTTACTTGGGCATTCTGGATGTGTTTTTATTTTAAAATGTATTTAGAAAAAGGAAATGAAGTCAGGAGGTGAACGGCAATAAGTGTTTAATAGTCGCAGATGCACAAAAGGCAGGGCTCTGATTTCGTTATTCAACCTTTGTGCACAGGCAGAGAGCAGCTCAGAAAGTGATTCTTCGAATATGGGATGTAGAATTAGGTTACAACTTCTGCTGATGAAGAAAATGTGAGGTTCCGAATGGACATTAGACATTTTAGATTAGAAAGAGGAAAGGAAAGTAATGAGTCCTATTTCTAAATGAATTTAAAAAGCAATCTGATTTTAGTTCTTGCAAGGCAGAGAAAATAAAATAAAAACTATCGTACTTTATTTACTAACCAATGAATTGAATTGTCTGCCTTTTATTACAGATGTAAAGTAAAGACTATGAAGAGACAATCATTTTTGTAGCTATCAGACTTTCAGTAACATATCTCTTGTGGTTTAAATAACAGATAGTTTAAGTGTTTTTCCATTACCTTTGTGTAAATGAAAAATGCATAAAATATTTTAGCAAGGCAAAGTAATCCAAGGAGATTGTTATTTTGTGTTACAAATTAGGTTATTTCTGTCATAAAATTAAAGAAAAAAATCAACGTTAGGACATTTCAGCTTAATATCATTTACCAGAAGGCATGTGTAACAGATTTAATGAGCTAGCAGGTCACCTGAATCCAGCTGTTCCCGACCAGCTTTATGAAACAGAGAATGCAGCTAGCAGTGGGAGGTAAGCATTATTACAAGCTCTCAAGGAGTTACAAAATCGATTTCTGCTTGAATGAATTAATTTAGATTATCAATTTATAACCAGCTACACGAATCCCATCAACTCAACAGTTCCGTGAATGATCAGGTTCAGTCCTTGTAAGGGCTTCACAATTAGGGGCCTCTCGCAGCTCTGCAGTTAGCACCTGCCTGATGGCTCTCCTGACAAAGTTACTGGGCCCAGCAAAAGGAAAAGGGAACTGCTTGTTCAGGCCCATCGCAGACGTAAAATACAGCCTCTTGAAAAAATAGACATAACAAAAACTTAAGTAAAAAAAATAAATAAAAAGACTAAATGTGCATGTTTGAGATTTTTGTCCTTGTGCCCTTTTTGTGTCCATGGGCCCATGTGTCCGTGGAGTGGTTCTGACCATTCCAGGTGAACTTTAAAATCACCCCTCTGCACTTTGGAATGTTGGGGACAGAGCTGTTTCCTTCAGACTCATTAGAAAATGACCAGCCAACTGTGGCCATTTTCTTCTCCTATAAAGGCTGGGGTTCTAAGCATTTGTTTCATGGTGAAAAGTGGATTCAACCTGCTCTTCTTCTTCCTGCGTAGTCACTTTTTTTTACTTCTACCTCTGCTTACCCAGCTGTCTAAAAACGAAAAATGCTCATTCTGATCCACAATACTAGCCATTTCTTGAAGACATTTTTTCTACTCAATCTTAAATTGATCACATGGCTCTGTTGTTCTTCACTTGTTTTCTGCAATCCTGATGCCTTACACTTGTACCCTGTGTGGAGATCACTCTCACAGCCATGATCTTGTGCAGCCTTTGCAGCACCTGCGGAATGTGCAAGTGATGTTCCTCATCTCCAAGATGAGGAGCCTGGTGCCAGCTGCCAGTGGGACCGCTGCACCCACGGGCTCACCAGTCATCCAAGGAGGGCTGGGATTTGAACACAGGCCTTCAGCTGCACAGTTAAGAATCCTTTTTTTCATGGGATGATGTTTCTTGTCAATAAGATTTAATTCCCTGAGGCAGAGAGAGTTTTAATTCCTTTTTCTTTAGTTTACTCAGCTTAGCTCAGTGAAGGGCAAAGCAAAAACACCAAGAAAAATTACTTTTTGAATTAAATGAATGTCTTCTTTGCCTAGCCCCATCCTTCCCAGGCTGTCTGTCAGCTCTTGCCTCCTTCAGTGTGGGAAGGTCCCCTGTCCTATCACTACAGGCCTTTGATGGGTCAAAATACCTGTCTGTGTTCTCCTCTAATCCACTTTTCCATATAATGCTTTCTTTCTTTCACATAGATCATACTTAGATCATCACTTCTATGTTGATGTACATATTTTTTTCAATTAACGAAGGACATGAACAGACACTTCTCAAAAGAAGACATTTATGCAGCCAAAAAACACATGAAGAAATGCTCATCATCACTGGCCATCAGAGAAATGCAAATCAAAACCACTATGAGATATCATCTCACACCAGTTAGAATGGCAATCATTAAAAAGTCAGGAAACAACAGGTGCTGGAGAGGATGCGGAGAAATAGGAACACTTTTACACTGTTGGTGGGACTGTAAACTAGTTCAACCATTGTGGAAGTCAGTGTGGCGATTCCTCAGGGATCTAGAACTAGAAATACCATTTGACCCAGCCATCCCATTACTGGGTATATACCCAAATGAGTATAAATCATGCTGCTATAAAGACACATGCACACGTATGTTTATTGCGGCACTATTCACAATAGCAAAGACTTGGAACCAACCCAAATGTCCAACAATGATAGACTGGATTAAGAAAATGTGGCACATATACACCATGGAATATTATGCAGCCATAAAAAATGATGAGTTCATATCCTTTGTAGGGACATGGATGAAATTGGAAACCATCATTCTCAGTAAACTATCGCAAGAACAAAAAACCAAACACCGCATATTCTCACTCATAGGTGGGAATTGAACAATGAGATCACATGGACACAGGAAGGGGAATATCACACTCTGGGGACTGTGGTGGGGTCGGGGGAGGGGGGAGGGATAGCATTGGGAGATATACCTAATGCTAGATGACACATTAGTGGGTGCAGCGCACCAGCATGGCACATGTATACATATGTAACTAACCTGCACAATGTGCACATGTACCCTAAAACTTAGAGTATAATAAAAAAAAAAAAAAAAAAAAAAAAAAACAAAGGTAAAACTTAAGTATTTTGTTTGAAAGTTGTAGGTTTATTTATACAAACTGTGATTCGTGTCTGCTTTCCCCTGGCTTAACCCTTTGGACATCTTTTCATTGCTACCATAGCCACATGGCAGAACATATTTCTGAGAAAGAAAATAATTTAGAGTCTACTCCAGGAATATAGGAATATTGCTCACGAATGTGCCAGACTTTTAATTTCTTATTTTTGAATCATTGTATTGAAGAATAACAGTGAACTCAAATCTCATAAAGATTGCTGATAGTGTAAAAGAGAATGATTCTTATACTTTGATGCCCACAAAAAGAATAAATTTATATGAATATGAGTCACTTTAGGAAATACGTCTTGATTATTCTTCCATTATTGAAGAAATTGGCCTGATCAATGTAGCCAAGATGACTGCATTTCAACATTGTCACTTTATTTTGCAACTTTAATTTTCAATGATGTTTTGACACAATGTGTTACATGAAAAAAAGTAACCTAGGTCTGAGGGCATGAATCTGAACAGCCAGTGGCTAACATGATAGCTTGTGATTTCCCTGAGAGAACATAAATAGAATATCATGTAATCTTAGAAAATCATAAGAAAGTTCTTTATGGATTGATACCTGATATATTTAAATAAGCAGAAAAGGCAATGTAAAGAACTCTGGGTGCTGGTGCTGTGGATTTGTATTACAAGGAAAGAGTACGCATAAATGTATCTGCTCTTATTTCCATAAAATATCTGTGGGCGGGTCCACAGGAAACCGATATGGCAGGTTTGTTCTGGACAGGGAAACCCAGTGTCAGGGGGACGTGAGTTGGAGAGCGATGTTTTTACTGGATGCTCATTTGTACCTTTTGAGTTTTGAACCAGTTGAATGTATTATCTATTCAAGACAGATTAATTTTTAAATAACATGCTACAGTCCTAGCACAGAGGATTCTTTTGAGACGTAAAACAACGGTTGTGAAAGTGTTTTGTAATTTGTAAATATACTAATATTATAATTGCAAAGAGTTAATGTTATTCAGCTGTCACAGTTGATTCTGTTACAAAGGCTGAAATGGTCATATCCGTCAGGGCGTGATCTCTTTTTCTTGGTGCTCCTCAAACATCATCAGCCTAGTAAAATTTAGACCAGTGTGATCCTCTGAAATAAATCTGTCAAAGTTGACAATAGAAAATGTTTTCCTTGATATGGCATCTCTTCAGATGGCTAAAGCAATAACTATGCAAAAAAATAGCTATCTGGTTTAAGTTTTAAGATAAAAGATGCATCTATTTTTAATCTTTCATCATTACTCTTTTTTTCTGCATCATTTTTATATATTTTATTAATGCAAATTTTATTGTATTCACTATTAAGTTGTAATTAATATTTACCTGCCTATGTGCTCAACCTTATACTAAGAGCATTGTGGAATATAAACTAGGATGAAGTAATTGTGCTTCACCTGAAAGATCATACATATGTGCATCGAATGCTTGGAGAATGATTATAATAATCAGAATGATGGCATCAACGTCACATTAAGGTGCGTAGATAGCCTTTAGTAGGGTGCAGTGAAATATCCTCACAGACCCTGTCTCCCTGCACCCTCCTCCCCATTTGATTTATTACTCATTTCCAGAATTCTCTTTTTGAGGGCCCCTACCAGAAATTGGTCATTTCTGTTCAGACTCATCAGTGCCTATCACATGATGTCCCACCAGAAGCTGAGCTTTCAGGGCCGGAGCCCAGCCTCCGCAGTGTTTGTTTCTCCAGGGCCTGGCAGGGTTTCTAGCACAGACTGGGGAAAATGGGTGGGGAAGATAGATATCTTTGAAGTGCCGACTGTAACAATAGGAGTTCAACACAGGGAGGGACATCATGGGTTGGAAAAATTAGTAAATGGGACAAATAATATTATAAATAGAATGATATCTTTTTATGAAATGTTTCTAATTTGGCATTGGACTGAAAACCTTAAGGTTTTATTTTGAGCCAGAAAGTTATATGATAAACGATATCTATTAGGGGGAGAAGACCTTTCTCTGTAATTTTTATCATCACAAACCATTATTAGACAACAGTTAACAGTCCTCTCTGGGCAAAGAGCACATTTTTAGGTTAAGTGAAAATGAAAAATGCCAGTTGTTAAGGTACTGAAGAGTAGTGAAGTACTATGAGAAATAAACATAGAACCATAGGAATAGAGCAAAAGGAAACAGAATGCGTTCAACCCAGCACACATGATGGAATCTTTCCTCAAAAGTTGTCTGAAATGCCAAATATCTCCAACCCTGTATTTCTGTCAATTCGCATGTGAAAATCAGGAGAGACATTAGCAGTAGCAACAGAGAATTCAGAGTTTTGCAAGCATATTTTATAAAGATGGAGTACAGAATAGAAATTGAAATATAGTAGGTTGTATGTGGAATCTGTGATTAGACAGGTCGTTCTCACCTGGAGGAGATTCTGTCCCCCGTGAATATTTGGCAATATTTGGAGACATTTTGGGTTGTCCCACCTTGGGCAAGGGCAGTTTTGGGAGAGGAGGCTACTGGCCTTTAGCGGGTGGAGACCAAGTGCTGCTGAACATTCTGCAATGCACAGGCAGCCCCCATACCAGAGTCACCCAGTCCAGAATGTCCAGGAGCCAGGGTCCAGAGAGCCCGGTCTCCACAGGTAAAGAAACAGGAGGAAACCAAGAGAGTGGGCCTATGAGGGCTGGCCAGCCATGTGAGCGCAACTGCAGCCTTCAGCCTTCTTCCCATTTTTCTCCTAAAAGGGCTTATGTGTTTTTAAAAAATGGATTTGTTCTTGCTGATATGGGATATTTTGTATAGTTTGACTGTTAGAGCTCCTCGTGATTGAATTAATAAATATTCTGACCACAAGTTTCTAAATGCAGGTTTTCTAAGAAGCCACTAGGGTAATAGACTTTCCTTTTTCTTTCTTTCCTCTTCCCCTCTCCCTCGCTAGGAGCCCTCTGTAGTCCCTAGGGCAGCTGTAATTGTTGGTAGGAGGAGATGAGAAGGAAAGAGTAGACTGGAACATTTACGTTCCAGTTCTCATTAAATCACCTAAGAGCAGCAGGACCCGGGATGACTCAGCCAGACTCTAAGCCCCATTTGCTCCTTTTCTTAGAAAGAGGTCAGGGCCGGGCGCGGTGGCTGACGCCTGTAATCCCAGCACTTTGGGAGGACAAGGCGGGTGGATCACGAGGTCAGGAGATCGAGACCATCCTGGCTAACACGGTGAAACCCCGTCTCTACTAAAAAAATACAAAAAAATTAACCGGGCGTGGTGACGGGCGCCTGTAGTCCCAGCTACTCGGGAGACTGAGGCAGGAGAATGGCGTGAACCCGGGAGGTGGAGCTTGCAGCGAGCCGAGATCGCGCCACTGCACTCCAGCCTGGGCAACAGAGCGAGACTCCGGCTCAAAAAAAAAAAAAAAAAGAGGTCAGGAATTCAGCCCACCTACCTCACAGGCTATGGTGTTTACTAAATGGAATAACAAACGAAAGTGTTTTACAAATAAAAGGTGGTATTGTGGCTTTCCCCTACTCCATTTCTCTTCAGGCAGCTTGTTGGAAATTCAGGTTTGCCATCTTAACATGTCTGCCTTAGCATCCATATCACACTTCATGCTTGGTTCTTAGGACACAGACCTCTAAATTCTGTTTTGTTTATATCTGAAAACAGTAGGCATAGTGCATTAATTAGGCAACATCAACTCATTATTTTTGAAAAAAGTAGGGCTTTCCTAACAAACATTTCAATTATTTCAGAATTATTTCGAAAACCTAAAGAGAGCTTATCATTGTATTTCTCATGTTGAAGGAGTGGCTTCCTGGCAAATGTGTTTGGTTTTATTTCTGAGTTACAATGTCCCTTCCTATTCACATGCACCACTGTGACTCAGTGTGTTTGACAGCTTTGGCCCATACACAGCATTTGCTAAATAGCTCTATTGCCCTCTTTCCTTCAAGGAGGCTATTTTTATATTATTAATGGATGGGAATCGTGTACATCCCTTGGACAAGTTCTTGTAGCCTTGCATAGAGTTCTGCATAGGGTTTAGGATTTGTTTCAAAAAAAATTGGGGAAGATCAGAGAAATGAATTTTTTAGGGCAGTCCCTTCTTTCTTCCCCTTCTTCCCTTTCTTATTCCTTGTCATGTTTCTGCATTTAAAAAAGTAGACTTCTTTCTCATTTAACCCATTTTTCTTAGTTTAATTTAAGCATTCCAGGAAAACAAACTTTTACGTGTCAAGATCAACGAATGTAAGCATGTTCAGGAGGTCACATAATACATTTCTAGTAGAACAAGACAAGCAAATTGCCTGACCTCTCACTTTGTATTGTCCACTCTAAGTACAGATACTGTGTTTTCTGTATTACACATTATTTTGTAGAATCAAATTCTTGTTAACACATGATATGGAGACACTCAACAAAAATTGTCAGGTCATTGGCTCTTAAGGGAAAGGGACCAGAGTTAGAACCTTCTACAGACACTTACACACTATTCCAGCTCTGGCCTGTAACACTTGAGCAAATGGCAGCAGGGCAGCAAATGATACCCTGGGGACCTGTAAGAATGCTGGCAGCTGCTTATCTCCCCTCTCCCCAAAGGCCGTGAAGTCCTAAAGCAGATTTCGCAAGTTTGTATTTCTATTTGTGTTGAGAAACTAAAAGTTTAACCAACCCTCTTTCTTGCTGCCTCACCTGCTACCACTGCAGTGTGGCCCTGGAGTGCCTGGTCTCACTGAGTCTTTCCTGCTCAGTTTGTGTGCGCCATGGCCTCTCCGCGGTGCACGTCGTAGCACCGGTGTTAAGTGGCAGTGAGAAAACACTTCTTCAGAGAATAAGAGCGTCTCTAGGACATACCTAGGCTTTTGCTGTATCTGATGCATTCTTGGGGCTAATTTAGGATAGGAGACTGGGTTCCATTGCCCACAGAGCTGAAAAATAATAATACATTTTCCCATTGCTATAAATTGTCGCAAGGGTCATTTACCACGTCTCTGATTCTCAGTGAGCAGGTGAGCACTGTTGCGGGGGAGACAAGCCAGAGCAGGACAGGCCCGTGCCACCGAAAGGAAAGGGCCATGCTGTTGCCTGCTGGTGCTTCCTCGGGAATAAAACGAGAGCGGCATTGGGTGCGCAGAGCCAGGGTCACTCAGCCTATCAAGCGAGTCTCTTGCTCGAGAGCCACCTGGTCCTGTCCGATTCATTCAATCAGACCCATCGTTGAGAACTGGAATTTCACCAGGGATGGGCTGTTTTCCGGATTTTCCAGGGTTTATCACACTTAGCTAATACTTGGTGTGCAAAATGAAAGATGAAATATCTTCTGATATCTTTGTTTTTCTTCAGCCGTCATCAACCATCATTTTTCAACCCTGTGTTTCTGTTTTACTTTATGTTGCAAAGTCTTTCAAAGTAGTCCCAAGTGCTTTCCTTAGCTACCCCTCACCGGGGTGGTAAATACGCCTCTCCTCGGCCCCACCGCACTTAGAGATGGCTTCTGGCAGCGCTGGGATGGGCAAATGACCTCAAGCTCCTGAGGGCCTCTATCAGCGGTGTTCCACATTATTGATAGCAGCAGAGATATTGACAGTCTGTGCTTGGAAGGAAAATAGGAGTTTGATATGACATATTGTGTGTCTCAGCAAGACTCATAAATAATTTTGACAAGTTTTTGTATGCATGGGAAAGTCCTTGATTCAGCCTCCCATAAAAATAAACTTCTATTATGGAATGTATTTGTCAAGTGACTGCTTGATGGATGGAGCTGCATTTACCCCTTGGCAGTTCGATGAGTTGTAGATGCACAGCTTACCAGAGAGGATTTACGGGCAGTACAGAAATAATTATTCAGTATGAAATGCATAGTTCCTCTACCTGAATTTTCATTTTTTATTATATTTCGTTTCTGTTGCATTTCTGGTCTAAAACAAAAGAACTTGCCTTTTTTTTCTCTAGAGCTATTGTTTGGTTGAGGGTTTATATTAAAGCCTGTGAAGAATCTGATTCAGCCCAGACCCTGTCCCAAACTTAGCTGGCGTATTTTCATTGAATGCAGAGTTTTAGGGTTATTTCTTGAGAGATTTACAAATATATATATATAAAATATGCTCTTTGGAAAATTCATTTCTATTGAGATTGAAAACCTTGGACATTGACTGCCTTATTTTTTTTCTGAGGTTATCACAGCTTATTTACTTACTTAAATGTAATTATTCATCCACATTTCTGCTACAGAAAGCAGAATTTGTACTTAAATTCTTGTCTCCTCACTCTGAAACCTTAAAACATGTCATCCCCGCCACCCCCCCCACCCACCCCCCGCCGCCAACTTAGAATTACTTTCTTATCATACACACTCTAAGTGAGTATCCTTCAGTAAGCTGGAAACTTAAGGAAGTATCAAATCCCCACCCTCCTGGGATGCTGCCCAGCTTATCGCACGAGAGCTCTTGCTGGTCATGTCTGGTCATCCTGCAACAAACCTCAGACTTGGGAATGTATGTTTGAGGAGACTAAAGTGAACAGCGGGTCTATGGGAGTTTTGATTCTTCGTTAGAACATAGTACTGACTTTTTAGAAGGATTTCCATTTGTTGAATCTCCGTTAAAATAAAGTCCTGGATCCAAACAAACTGCGGTGAAATCAGACACTGAGAGAGGCATGTCGGATGAACGGACCCTCCGTGCTGTCTTGGAGGAGGTGTCTTCAGGGATCAGCCTCAGAACTGATGGAGCTGCGACGTGCAGTCCTAATATTCTTCCTCTGCACTGCCGCTCCTATTTCTTGAGAATGGATTGTTACTTTCTTGAGAATGATTTGTTGTCCTTTCAAAATGACAGCTTTTAGATGTATTGATCTTTCCTATTATATCTTTGTTTTATGTTTGATCATTTCTACTCTTATGATTTATTTTCTGCCTTTTACTTTGTTTACTCTTATTCTTTTTTCTAACTTAAGTTGAATGCTTAATCAGTTAATTTCTTTTCTTATATAGGCATTAACACTAGAGGTCCTAAATTTCCCTCCAAGTAATGTCTTAGCTGCATCCTGTAAGTTTTTATATTTGAGAATTTGTGTAATCCTTTATCTAAATACATTTGATTTCTTCTTCAGTCTCAAGATATTTTAATTGTCCTCGTACCTCCTGATGTTGGTGGGTTTTAAAAAAATTTTCCTCCTTATTATTAATCTATAATATAATTGCACTGTAGCCACAGAAGGCAACTCTATGAGCCAGTTCTTTGAAATTTGTTGTAGCTTGCCTTTTGGTACAGCAGTGAGCCCTTTGATAAATGTTTCATCTGGGCTTCCATAGATTAAGCTTATTAATTGTGTCTTGCAATCATCTATATCCTCACTAATTTGTCTGCCATTTACCAAATACTGAGAGAGGCATGTTGAAGTTTTTTACTACAAGTGTGATTTTTTTTCTTTTTTTTTCTTTGCTTCTTAATAGTTTAAATCTATTGTTAGATACAACTATGTATAGAATTCTTATATGTTGCTGGTAAATTGAACTTTTTATCAATATGAAGTGAACTTTATCTAGAATGCTTTTTGCCTAAAAGTCTATTCTGTTGCAGACTACTAATTGCACTTCTTTTTTGATTAGTAGTCACATGATGCCTCTTTTTCATTTCAACTTTTTCAACTTTTTCTGGAGGTTAAAGTGGATCTTTGAAAGTTTCATAGAGCTGGATTTATTGTTTCATAATCCTGTCTGGAAAACTTGGTGTTTTGGCTGGAGCATTTGGGAACATTTAAGTCAATATACTTACTGTTAGTATTTTTTATTTATTTATTTATTTCTACCATATTTGTATTTCTATTTCTCTTTTCTGTTTCTTTTTTCCTGCTTTCTTGTATCCTTTGAGACTAAGGTTTTTTACCTCATTCCATCTTTTTTCTTCTGCACATTCTTTTTCTGTTCTTTTGGTGGTTAGCTTAGACATTTTAACACACATGTGACAAGTGTAAATGTTGCTAACACCTGTTATTTCCCTTGTCACACAACACAGGGCACCGCAGCGCCTTAGTCTAGTCCTCACGACCCTTTTGCGCTAACAAGTGTGCAGACCCACAACTCCTGGACATTCTCGCACACAATCACTCTGCTGCTCCTTTTTTCCTAATATTTGAAAATGAACCTCCACCAACATTTTTCTCTCTGTCAAGTGAGGTCTGAATGCAAAACGTTGTACAGTTTTCTTATATGCAAAGTATTTCATTTCTATGGTCTCTAATATGTTAGAATCGATATCTAAATAATTGGTTCAATTTTCTGATCAACTTTGTGTGTCAGGTGCTTTGCTCAGAGCCAAGGTCCATAGAATAAAGGAAATAGCTGCTGCCTTCACAGAGTTCTTAACCTAGCAGAAGAGGAAAATATGTTCACAGGTAATGACACTACTGTAACATGGGAAATCCTCCATGGGAAATTTACATCAGCTGCTTTGGGGTACACATAGAGGCAGCCCATCACTCACTCAGGTCCTTGCAGTCAGGATGTGCTGTTGAGTTACAAGCTAAATTTCGAAAGTGGTTTCTAGACAGGGAAAGGTAAATGGTTTTCTCGGCCAAAGGAATAACTCATTGAAATGCACAGGCTCAAGGGGAATAAGTTTAGTGTGGCTAGTCAAAGACCCTGTGTTTGGGAGTGACTAGAGATGAGGCTGGACAGTTGAATTGGGAGTGAATTGGGAAGTTCACTGAATGCCATGCCAAGGAGTTTAGACTTGATATCACCTGTGGGCAGCAGGGGACCCATGGAGGTTTTATTGCTGACCTCCGTGCAAGTCCCTTGAAGGATACACCAAATAATGAATGCCTACACTGTTCCAGGCACAGCACCAGGAAAAGTCAGGAGTGGCCATAGCCATTCCAGTCTAATGGAGATGGGCTCATGATGAATCATTATACAGATGATTCCAAATCACAGCTGTGAAGCTGCAAAGAAGGAAAAATGTCAGGGACCCTGAAAGGCTATATAGTTATGGGACATAACTAGCTTCAGTGGTCAGGAAAAGCTCCTCTGAAGAAACGACCTTGCAGCTGCTCTGCAGACCTCAAATGAGCTCCCAGGTGACAGAAATTGCAGAAAGTCATCCCCGGATAGTGGCGTTTTTCATAAATGTTTTCATTTTAACAGCGTTGCAAATATGGTTGCAAAAAAGCTCTAATGATTACTAGTGAGATTAAACATTCTTTCTTATTAGTCATTTGTACTTTTTACTTTGTGAATTCCTTGTTCATCTTTTAACTTAATCATTTGTTTTTAAGATGAATATATATGTGTGATTTCTGGTTTTAGATTCCTAACTTTGTAATGCAGGGTAATAGGAACATTTCCACTACCTTCTGATCTTTTGCGGTTTTACTTTTTATAAATCCAAACCTTTAGTTCATTTGGAGATATTTTGCTGTAAGGCGTGACATAAAGATATAATTTTTTTCCCAAATGGTTATTTTCCCCAGTGCATCTAGTGAATAGTTCATACTTTGAATCTTTGATTGACAATGCCACCTTTATCTCATGTTCAATTCTCATATATATTTTATTTTTCAATAAAGATTCTTCTGTTTCAAACACTTATCTTCTTCCATCCCAGGGACCCATTATCCTCCTTACAGCATTTCTATTCTGTTTTAATATTGAGTAGAATAGGCTCCCTTTCTCTTCTGTTTATTCCAGAATATACTTTCAGGGAATTGGCATCTTTGTAACATTAAAACTTCATTTACAAAAATACTATCTCTCACCAGTTACTCAAGTTTTATTGTTAAGTCTTTAAACCAGCTTTTCCTATGTAGTCAGTATTTTGTAGCAATTGTGAGTAGAATTTTTAAATTATATATTGCCTTCTTATTGGTATATAGGAAAGCTATTGACTTTTGTCTATTTTTCTTGTATCAAGCCACTGTACCCTGTCCTATTAATTCAAAACTGATTATTTTACATTTTATAAAAGGTAGCCCTTATATTTTAATCCACAAGCAATAAGTGATAGGCAGGGAAATAATCACACTATAAGGTCTTCAAATATTGGTGCCTCAGGGAAAATTAAACCAGGTATGAACTTGTGTGGATGACTTGATTTCTAGCTATGTGTTGATTAATGCAGTGAAGTAACCGTTCTTACAAGAGTAGATTAGGGGAGAGAGAAAAGGAATTTTATGAACAATGACAAGCAAAAATAATAGCTATCACTTGTTCAACGCTTACTATGCCAGGCACTGCTGTAAGCTTTCTACAAATATAAAATCATTTATTCTTCATAATGGCTCCTGTAGGAGTACTATTATTTTGCTTCATAGTAAAGTAAACCCGGACATAGATAGCTTCAGTAACTTATTCAAGATAAAAGTTACAGAGCCTGGATTTGAACCTATTCAGGTTGATTCCAGAACCCAAGTCTTAACCCCACTACACTACACTGCCAAGAAAATAGACACACCCTATTTCAATAGTCATAAGACTTTTGTTTTTGCATTTTATTATTTCTAAAATCAGAAATCCCAATTATTTGTTTTAACATAGAATTGCATTTTACAAGCAGTGCTGTCCTAGACTTAAGGAAACAGAGTAAGTAAAATATCTTGGATTGGAAAGGGTGTGAAAGTGTAGAAATGCTAAAAGTCACAAAGTGGGAAAAGAAAACATTATGCACATTTTGTTGTTTTGCTTAAGGCCTTCATGCCAGCCATTGTCCTGAAAATCACGCTAGTAGTCATCCAGTCCATTTCTTTTCTGATCGTGTGTTTGCTAATAAAGGACAACCGTGATCTGACTTCCCAGAATTCCCAACCACATATTTCCCCCTGTCTACATGAGATTTCATCTCATGAGATTTGCCGAGAGAAAGGCCAAGATGTATATTTCCAAAGAGCTCTCTGTGACTGGCCAGGTCGAGTGTGGGATGTTTTGGAGGTCCAGACAAGTGATATGGGATATGCAGAGATTTGTGTGAACTGTTAATAGAACAGTGAGACTGACAGCTCACTCCAGGGTCATGTGTACAACTAAATTCCCAAAAACAGCAACAGTCATGTGTCACCAAAATAATAAGTGGGTCACAGGCTGATTTTCTGCCACTTCCTTGTGACTGCTAAGCATATGCCAGGCACGTTATTTTTTGTATCCCAGCTGCTTACACAATCAGATATGGTAAATCGGGCATGCTGAAAATTTCAGTCACATTGGAATCAGCAGCAGTTGCATGAGCACAGCTGTATTTAAAAGCAGTGAGGATGCCCCAGACACTTTTACTATATAGCCATGGTGAAACCAGAAGGAACAACTCCTGCCGTTGTCTTGTTTTACTTGAGAACTTGGGAGTACTTTTTGGTGCATATGTCTCTCTCCTTTATGTTAGACTAATAACGGTTTTCACATGCCTCCTACTTGTGGATCTATGTAAATGAATGTTTTCCTAAAGGAAAAAGCATATATTTGAAGAGCAAACAACACTTAAGTCCATGAAATGCTGCCCTGTCATACTATCAAATAATGGCTCCTTGTCAAGTACAGTCAGATCTCCTTAAGAACAACAGAGGATGTGGCATCTCCAAATGGCCCACAAGAAAACTGTGCTTTATCCCCTGTGCTTTGTCAGGCAGTGAGTAGGAAGGGTGGTGGGAACACAGCACTTGGAAAACCTGTGTGGAATTAGTGGGTTGAAAAGCTGAGTCTTATTTATAAAATCTCTTTGTTACTCTTGGCTTGTGTTTAGTTTTCATTTTTCTTACTCGATATTTTAAATTTACCAAAGTAATAATGGACTTCTAGCAAGTAAAATAACACAAACACGAATAAAGAAAAACCTGAAGACCTCCTCAGATACCTGCAAATCACTGCTCATAGCACTGTGGACTACCTTTCTCTGCGAATAAAAAGCATGTGTCCCTTACACGTTTTTTGGAAGGTGTTTGAATACTATACATTTAATTCTGTAGTTTGCTTTTTTCCTCCGGATCAACAGATACAGATATAATTTTTCATCTGAATAACTGTATAACAAAATAGAGCAGACATACCTTAGTTGATTCAGCCATTCTCTTACAAATGAACATTTGGGGTTTTACTCATTACCACTACAAACAATGCTATATTAAATATTATTACACATAAAAAAAATCTTTGCTTACAAAGAATCCCAGTGATAAAAGTAAGTAGTAAGAAAATATTCATCCATTTAAGTTTTTTTCCCAAAATCAGAAAACACTTGTCAGTATTTAATAAATTTTTGTTGAACAAAAGAATGAATATTGGATTTATTTTGGTCTCAGTATTCTTATCATGTCAAAATAAGCTCTACTTAAGTAGTACCATTTTAATAAATTGAATGTATCTTAAACTCGCATTATAATTCCACTTTGAAAAGGCTTATAAGGAGAAATGAAAAATTATTGAGGCAAATTTGGTATATTTGTTTGAAATACTTCCAAGAAATATAATTTGTTGAAAGTATAAATTAGCCCAATGACAAATAGACTTTTTCTAGCAAGTGTTTAGGAAGATTTTTTTAATAGCCTAGTAAAATTTACATAGTCATTGAGAATAGGAGAATTTAAATTCCTGTTTTGTGTTTAAATATTTATCATGTGACATATTAAAACTCTTCTTTTTAAACCTGCAAAAACAAGTTTCACCTGGTTATTGATATATTTAAATATTAAAGTAAACCTGTAACACTAGCACTCTGTTACAGCTGTTTGACATGACAGTTGAGCTGTCACATTGTAGAATGTATCGTCAATACATTCTGTTTATGGTGTCCTTGGGCACCTGTGCTGAAATCCATTTTCCGACACTTTTTGAGTTAGCTGAATGAACATCACAGGGCTTGAAGCCCACCTGCTATACACATAGTGTATGTACACATAGTGTATGTACACATAGTGTATGTACACATAGTGTATGTACACATAGTGTATGTACACATAGTGTATGTACACATAGTGTATGTACACATAGTGTATGTACACATAGTGTATGTACACATAGTGTACGTACACATAGTGTATAGCAGGCTCTGGGGGTATCTACAGTGTACAATGCTGAAATGATTTGTAATCATTTTAACCCCAAATATTTTCTTTTCCAGTGTTACTACACTTTGCCAACGACTCATAGACATGACATCAAATAAAAGCATTTTTTTCCAAATTATTGAAAATCTGAATTAGACTAGCAATAATAGAAAGGTTGGAAGCAGTTCTGCCCCCGTAATTCAACCCATCACGCACCTTGGTAGAATTTGCCTATTCCAAAACCTCTGCTGTGGAACTTTCTTTTTTTCCCCAACTTTGTTGTAAATTTGCTATTAGGCAATTCCATTTTTTGTAGAAATGTTAACCTAATTTCATAATAGAAAAGAGATGATATAAATACCTTATTTCATGAATGGTTTATTCATTAAAATCTTGTAGTCATTTTAAATACATGCATTTTTCTAAATTCAGCTACTGGCTCCTTAGAGAGGTTTGTTTTTTTGTTTTGTTTTGTTTTTTCAAATTAACTCAGTATTACTAATGATAGAAAGGGTCCTTTTTTAAAAAAAAAAAAAAAAGGGTTTGTAGGAGGCACATAACGTGTGTCACTATGATAACAGACGTAGAACACCTAATTGTATCATGAAAAGGAGACCGTGCCTGATGCCCATAGAGTTTGAAACTTTTTTCCTTAATGTTTGCTATATTTATTTAGCCTATAATTGAATACACAGTCATTTTGCTGTGCTGCAGATCGCCTGCGTGGGAGTCAGGATGCATATTTAATGCCTGATTTAAAAAGAAAAAGAGATGCGGTGACATGTGGGCAATTGTAGGAAAGTGGGTTCTGTGCACATTCAAGTAAAGGTTTGAGAGAAACTCGTTTTTCTCTTTCTTAGAAAAGACATGATGTTTCACAGCAGGAATTGTTGTAGATCCGTATTTATTAAGTGATGGGTAGTTGTCCTTTTCCTTTGCACTTTTAATGACAAAATCAAATGGCAGCAAAGAAAAGAATCTCTACTTACTTGGGGCACACCTCTTTCTTTCTTCCTTTATCTTCCTCTAATAAAAAAGGCCCCTAAGAGGTTTTGTCTAAGAGAGAAAAAACATGTGGCTTGGTTACCAGAGGAAAGAAAGGCAGCAGAAATGTTCTCCAGATTTTGCCCATGAAGCAAGGTCAAAACAGAAGGATTCACATGTAGTGAAATGTGTGTTGATTGGAGAGGATTGCTATTGTGGTTTAAGGGAGCATAATTTATTCCATCAGAGTACAAAGGCAGCAAAGTTACGTATACCACCAGCCTGCTTGTGCCCGTGTTCTCTGCGGGACCACCATGGTACCCCTGAAGAGCTCTGAGGAACCTTTTTCTGAAGGGCATACAATTTCTAAAAATAAATTAAGCAAGTGTACTGCTTGCCTTATGTTTTTATCTGCTGTGTTTTCTTGATATTTGCCTTCTAGAATTACAAATAAATGACAGCCAGAACATCTTTAGGTTCAGTACCTCAGTGTATGCAGTACTGTTTCTGTTTCGCTTGAGTTGTGAGGAAATTCATTCACTACATTTCTGTCACCAAAAAGTCTTAAGATCCTATAGTCAAATCCTATAGAAGCTTTATATTTTCTAAGAAAAAAGCCTTCAACTTCATGTAACTGCTACCAAATGAATTGGGCAGTTTGGGGTAGCTTGGTCCCAGCTTATTGAGGATGTACTAGGGGTTAAAAACAGTGTGAACTAATCAGTAGGTTCACCCACTGTTTATCTACTCAATATTTTAAAGCTTTCCTTTCTTGAGAAAGTAGGCAAAGTGTTTACATTGGGATTTGGGGATCTTAAGAAATTAAAACTTTCATGTATCAATTAAGTACCTGGTCACCAATTTAATTTTTTATGGGGTTTGGTGTTCGAAATATAAAATCTTGTAATGTTTCTTCCCTTCTAAGATGGTCCTTTGTCCTTTTCTCAGTTTCTGGCTGACACCGAGTGCCCCCATGTTAATTTCTTCCAATCTAAGTCATCTCTACCCCTTCTTGAAGGTCAAGCCATTTTCCTCTTTCTTTTTTTGTCCTTTTATCTTCCTTCAAGTAACTCTGAGTTTGCTTTTGATAAACATGCACACAACTGCATATTCTTAACCAAATCAGGGCTTTTCCTGTCAGATAAGTGGTTTTTCTAATCTTGTCACCCTCGTAAGTGGTCAGATTCTTAACTTTTTTTCTTCACCATCTTAAAACCATCGACCAAAATAAAATATGTGACAAATGAATTTTAGTGCATTGAGGGTAAGGGACATGAGTCTCCGTTAGTCTTTTTCATTGATATTTCAAGTACATTTACGTGTTGTTTTTTTTATATACAAATTGAAAGTAAAATTTGAAAATAATTTGTATTACTTTTTTTCTTTAAAACACTTAAGAATTGAATAGGACTGTGCAGATGAATAGAAAGTCAGCTTGTAGATGCCATGTTCCAACAATAATAGCTATTCCATGCCAATGAGTTGGAAATTTCATAGTAATTTAAGAAACATACATCATGTTACTTAGTTCTAAGAACTGAAACAAATATTCTACAATGGAAGTTGATGGAACCTGAATGGATTAATTGTTTCAATTGAAACAGTAGATTATACATTCCTTTCCCCACCGCCATATTCGTATAGCCAGCTAATTTGGGGAGACTACTAATGTTTGCCTTTTGCTTTTGCTGTCATGCAGAATAGTGTGAAAGGGATATAATTTGTAGAATACTTTCATGTGATCTGAAGAAATGCTGAAGAATAGACTTTTAAAGTAGAAATATAAGGCAATAAATATTTTAGGGGAAAAGTCAATAATAAATTGGACCCAACAGTTATTAGTAATTTGATTAAGTCTGTACCATGTGTAAAATTACTCTCAGCAGTCAGGGTATCGATGCTTATTATACTTATTGAAATTTAACACTCATATACCATTTGAAAACAAGAAGACACATAACAAGCTATAAAAAATGAACTATTCCAAGATCTCCACTCTATGTATGAATAAGTGAGATGTACTCCGGTACAGCGGAAGAAAACAAAGCAACTCCAAGTTGTCTAAAGAATTATATGATGAGAATGGAGAATATATATATATAATATATATGTTTATATATAAATGATTAATATCATATAAAACATATAAACATTATATATATATATTTACATATATATATATATATTTCACAGAACTTCAGACTTCCTAGCTAGATTGACAGCTGAGTTATTTGCCCATCTCTAGTGACTGACAACAGGTAATGGAAAGGCTTTTTACCGTGATATAACGGCACAGAATATTTCCTAATTTACTGCTATAGTTCTCATCAAAAGTACCCTGGCAAAAAAATAACACTAGATTTATCACTTCAATTACTGGAATTTCACATTTAGTTTTAGGAGACATGTTTCTGTAATGTGACAGGCTTTACAGATTCTGGACTTCTTCTGACATTGCAGTTATCAGGTAATCAGAGAGAGATATAAATGCAAGCAATTGTTACAGTTTTATAACTTTTAATGGTATCTACTGGCAAGAAATAAAACAGACCATAAACTGATGGTCTTGGTTAGATGACAAAAAAAGCCTTTTTTGTCAGCTTAAAAAAATGTTCAACTGTCTGAAAATGGACAGGAACTACCTTTAAACCATCATAATGTTATAATTACAAATGGGTTTTTTGAGGTTATGATTGTGAGTAGTGCCGTCAATCCCATATAAGGACAAGTATTGGAAGGCATGTATTTATGAATGTTAGCGTGGTGGATGTTGATTTGTGTCCTCATGCAGAGCTAGCACACTATTCTGTGAGTCAAAAACCATGACCGTTTCCTGGTTCACTGCTTCATATCTGGAATCTTGCTTTTCTCATTTCCTTATTTGGGGCTAATTTTTGACTCCTTAAAATTAGTTAAATATATGGCAACAATTACTTGTTATTTTATAGCTATTTAAAACACTATGTAGTTTCAACTTATTTCACCATAAGAATCATCACAACTTTTACTATTTCTCTTAGTAATGTTATTGCTATATAATGAGCGTATTATAAGGTACACTTCAGATGTCAGATAGAACTATATTGGTGCCATATTGAACTGCACTGCACTGCTGCTGACTCATATGTGTAATCATGTTTCTTACACAGCAAGTGAAGTTTAATGCCGTGGTAAAAGTTCTTATGTTCCAACCTGTCCACCTAAGATACGGAATTTAAGATAAGGATATCGACAACAATAAAGTTTCAACTGAATGTGTTATCATTGTGAGTAATTTTAATAGTGAACTTTCTCTTGGTGTAGTTATAAAATTACACTTTTGTCATCTATTTCTGATTTTCTGCCCTAAAATTACATTGAGTTTATTTCATCCTAGCATCTTTTATCCAGTGCCACTGCTATTAATACCTCTATATTTATCAAAGTATGTCAGAAAAGTTGAAGCTAGAGAAGGAGTCCCAGCATTTGTAGCCACTGTTATCACAATTGCCCTGAAGGCCAAGTTGCAGGATTTTATCTTAGCTTACCCATTAGCTCACCATATTCCAGAAAAAGCAGGTGTCTAACACTTCCACCATCTGAAAACAGGACTCGAGTGTAAGCTGAAATATGTAAAACTGAGTGGCAGTGGGAATCAATTCAGCCATTTTTTTCTTTCCATAAATACTTATTGAGCATCTGCTTATGTTTCAGGTTCAGAAAAGAAAATGGATAGTTTTGTCTGAGATCTCAGTAAAATTACATGTAGGAAATTTACCATTACTATGACTAATTAAAACAAATAATAACAAGTATTTGTAAAGGTCTTTGCAATTTACAAAATGCTTTCAGATAACAGTACTCACATAATTAAGTGGCTATAATCACTTTACCCACATGTGCTATACCTGCTAGAAGGATACTTTGTAACCTCTCAGGTTAATTGCTCAGTTTTTAAAGGTTAATAATATATGTCAGCTTAAGGAAAGTGTGGAAAAATTTTTCCAATCCCCACATGACCCTGCCTGTCTTGTAGGAGGATTAGGGATCCACTGATGTTTTGGCAGGGAGGTTTATAGGGATGAAGTTTTCTGTATTTGTATGGAGTAGCCAAGATATCAGTGCTAGTCAGCAACCACCCAACCCTATGCCATTCCTCAAGGTGATTAACGGTGACTGATGAAATCAGGTTGGTGCATAACACTTCATTTTTGAAGAACTGAGTAGCTCATATCCAGGCTGTCAGCAAATGCTTACCACCAGTCTTCAAAATATATCTGGAATCAGATCACTTTTTCCTTCTTCCACCATGTGTTGTGGTCCAAGTAACTGTTTCTCTCATCCCTCTTATAATGGTAGCCTCCTCATTGCTCCTCCTGCTTCGACCTTGTGCTGCTCCTGTCTCTTTTTAGTATAGCCAAAGTTGTTCTTCTGAAAGAGCCCTGCCTGGTAGAATTACCTGTTTTCTATCTACACTGTCCAGTGGTGGGCACCTGCCCCATGTGGCAGCTGAGCACATGCCAGGACCTGAGTTTTTTTAACTAATTTCTAGCAAAAGGTCCACTAAGCAAACTGTAATTGAATTCAAAAAGAAAATATTCTTGGGTGGGAGAGTTTAATCCATAGTAATCTATGATAAATCAAAAAGAAGAAAAATCATTTTCTGTGAATAGTATAATTGATATTTGCACAATAGAATTATGTGAACAACGGAATTAATAGATTAATAGTTAATTTTGAAAAATTTGTAACACAGTGTTAACTTTATGATCGAGTATCTGTGGAAAATGCATGGAACTTATACTTGTCTTTAAAGGAAAATTTCTAAGCTTAGGAAACCATGATTTTCAAAATATAATAAAAATTTAAACAGGAAAGAAAAAACCCAAGCACCTATAAATATTGAAATACTTATATAATAGGAGGAGAAAAAAGTAAATGAAAAATACAGTTGCAGTCTAAATATTATGAAAAATTAAAAACTAAAAAATTAATGATAAAATATGTCATATTAGAACTGATTGGGATTTGTCTGAAGTTGAACTCCAAACTAAATTCACAGTCTTAAATAATTTTATAAATGAAAAAGAAGGGAGTAAAAGTAAATTGAATTATTTTGAATAACAATCCACAATGTCATAACAAAAAAGGAGAAATAAAGTCATTAAGTAACAGCTGAAATAAATGATGTAGAAAACAAGAAAAATAAAAAATAATAAATTTAAGATAACTTGGGTAGAAATTAGCAAACCTTACAAATCAAGAAAAAATCTGAAATAAAAATTTTAATATAACAGCTAAAAATGTAGTGCTTTAAAGAAGTTAAGCTATGTAATTTAAGGTATCAGTGAAATGCAGGAATAAATTGAGACCCTTTGTTTTACTTTTTTTAATTTCTGGAAAGTTTTATGTGGCAAAGAAATTGCAGATTTTGCAAATTTGGAAAACTTCAGGAGTAAATTTGTTGAGTCTACAGGCTTTGTGTGCCTGTAGAGAGCACACATATTAATAATGTATATTAACTCTTTAACTGCTCTCCATTATTTTCTATTACCAGTTTCATAAACCCCACTTAGAACATAGACCTGAAGGTCCTCAGCAAAACACAGGGAATAGAATAATCTGATCAAACCCATTTAAAAGACTATACAGTATTAGAAATCCCTCAATTAATCATCAGGTTAAATTAGAAGATCAAATAATTATCTCAAAGGATGCCAAAAGGAGATATTGGATACAAAATCATTTCCTATTGACCCTAAAAATGGAAGAAAATCAGTATGTTTATGTATTTTCTTTATCCCACAAAAAATTTGAGGTAGCTTATATAAAATACATAAATACATACAGAATACATAAAATAAAATTCAGATAATAGAAAATTAAGGTAAGATTTTGTGACCATAAGGAACCCAGCCAGGGACGAGAAAGTGACTTTCTTTACTCAGTGGCAATGCAAATTCAGCTGGCAGTGCGACTTGAAAGTGTGCGCAGTGGTCCTCCTCCCCATATCCATGGTTGTGATTTCTGCAGTTTCAGTTACCTGCAGTCACAGTGGTTCAAACATAGTAAATGGAAAATTCCAGAAACAGTTATTTAAATTGCTTTTTAAATTATTTTAAATTGCAAGCCATTCCTAGTAGTGTGATGATAGCTCTCTTAGTCCCACTCTTTCCCACTCAGGGTGCGAATCATCCCTTTGTCCAGAATATCCCCGCTGTAAGGGCTCCCCACCTGTTAGTCACCTATTTTCTGTATTAGTCTCTTCTCACACTGCTATAAAGAAATACCTGAACCTGGGTAATTTATGGGGAAAAGAGGTTTAATTGACTCACAGTTCCACAGGCTGCACAGGAGGCATGGCTGGGGAGGCCTCAGGAAACTTACAATCATGGTGAAAAGGCAAAGGGGAAACTAACACCTTCCCATGGTGGCAGGAGAGAGAGAGAGAAGGGGGAGGTGATACACACTTTTGAACAACCAGGTCTCATGAGAACTTACTCATCACAAGAACAGCAAGGGGGAAATCTGCCCCCATGATCCAGTCACCTCCCACCAGGTCCCTCCCCCAACATTGGGAATTGAAGTTTGACTTGAAATTTGGGTGGGGACACAGAGCCAAACCATACCACCTAGTATCCATCCTGGTCATCAGATTGACTGGTAACAGTGTCACAGTGCTTGTGTTCAAGTAAAACTTATTTTACTTCGTAATAGCCCCAAAGTGCAAGAGTGATGATGCTGGTGTATTGTAATAATTGTTCTATTTTATTAGTTATTGCTAACCTCCTCATGTGCGTAATTTATAAATTAAACTTTATCATAGGTATGTGTATGTAGGAAAAAGCATATAGTGTGTATGTGTATGTATATATAGATATGTGTGTGTATATGTGTGTGTATGTGTATATGTGTGTGTATGTGCATGTGTGTGTGTGTGTGTGTGTGTGTATATATATATAGGATCTGGTACTATCTGTGATTTCAGGCATCCACTTAGGCTCACGGAAGGTGTTCCCTGCACATAAGGGCACTACAATGTGAAACTTTTTCCTGGAAATCAAGAACAAGATTGTATGTGATGACCAATATTATTTTTCTCCTATCGGAAGAAGGAAAGTTATCTGCTGCTCATAATTTCTTCTATGCCTAGAAGATTCTGTGAGAATTTAAACTATTAAATGAATAGCCCAGTAAAATGGCTGAATATAAGACTAATATACAAAACTGAAGAGTCTTTCTATATTAGAGCTATAATCAATTAGAAAAATACTAATGGGAAAATCCCATTCACAATTGTAACAAAGATAAATAATAACTTTGTCCATACCCATTTAAAAAAATTTATTCCTGTATTTGAAAAAATAAGTTTTGGAATATGGACAGTGAATTAAAGTGTTCAGCATTTTAGAATGAGAAGACAGACTCCTTCCTAATCTAATCTGTGGATGTCATCCTAGTGAAACCTGAACAGAGGAACTGAAGTTAGAAGATATGAAAACAAATGTACAATAATGAGACAGTGGGCCGTGGCTGGAGGAGAGCAATCTGTGTGTCATTACTGATTGCTCACTGTGCTCCAGACCAGACACTGAGCCCGGAGGCTTTCTGTATTTCACCTCATTTCATTTTCACACCAGCCATAGGAGGTAGATACCATCCTCCCCTTTTAAGAGGAGAAAACTGAGTCTTGCCTGAGTTCTATTAAATGACAGAACCAAGATTCAAAGCTAAATACATCTGATTTCAAAGCTCTAAAAAGGTACAAAAAAGCAACACATCACATAGATTGACCTCAGGCAGAGTCCATTATATGTAATCTATGAATATATATGTATTTATATTTGTGTGTTTTATATAATACATTATACATTCTTTTTAAAAAAAAAAATAATAAAGACAGGGTCCTGCTCTGTCACCCAGGCTGGAGTACAGTGGTGCAATCATGGCTCATTGCAGCCTCAAATTCCTTGGGCTCAAGTGATCCTCCCTCCTCAGCCTCCTGAGTAGCTGGTACCACAGGCACTCACCACAGCACCTGGCTAATTTTTTATTTTTTTTTAGAGACAGGGTCTCACTGCGTTAGCCAGGCTGGTCTCAAACTCCTGACATCAAGGTATCCTCCTGCTTCCACCTCCCAAAGTGCTGGAATTACAGGCATGAGCCGTCATGCCTGGCCCATTATACATTCTTAAAGAGGACTCACAAGTCAATGTAAAAGGGAAATATTATTTAATATTTAATAAATTTTGTGAGACTTACTAGGATAGCAGTTTGACAGAGTCTATTTAGAACCTTATTGGATATAGTTCACAAAGATAAAAGTTGATGCACTAAAGAGTTAAATTTTTTTAATTATAAAATTCTATACGGAAATAAAATTAAACCAAATTCTGATGAGAGAACTTTCTCATAATTTGAATAAAAGAACTAACAAAATAACTGATTAATAGATATAACTATATAAGCTACATTCTGTATGTCAGAAGTTCCCAGAATAAAAAGGCAACTAGAATACTGAGAAAGTATTTTGTCCTCAAACAACACATTAAAATTTTATATATTTTTATATAAAGAGCTCATTATCATTAAATCAATAGGAAAAACACTACAAACTCAATAAAAACAGGTAGAAAAGATGGCAGATCAATCATAAAATAGAAAATAGAAATTTTATAAACAAATGTCTGGAAAGGTATTTATTATAACTAGTAACTTAACAAATGCAAACTTTTTTAAAAGAAAAAAATGATATACCCTTTTGTCTATCAAAGTCACAATAAAAGATACATAAACACTTGGTGTAACGTGCATCTGCTGCAGGTAATGGTGCTCATTGGTTCCTAGTTTTTGGACATTAACTTGATGATGTGAATCAGGTGCCTTAAATTTTTTCTTTTAATGAGAGCAAGAGAAAGAAAGTGAGAGAACTATTTTCACAGTGCTATTTACTGAAAGTAGCCCAAATATCAAGGGGTTGGGGCCACACAGTCACTTTGACTGTCATTCACCTGTGAGTCTGCTGTATCACATAGTGGCTTAGAGCACTCCTCAGACAGAGCTGGGTTTAAATTCTGGATATTGTTTCACATTGTACATGGCCTAAGGCAATAGCCTAACCTCTCTGCACTTGAATTTACTCATAATATTAGAGTGTACCACCTAAGACTATACGAGTGAAATAATGCATGTAAAAATTACCACTTAGCATGTGGTAATTTTAGCTATCTCATACCAGTCAGAATGGCGATTATCAAATGTCAGTTAATGGCGATTATTAGACAGTCAAGAAACAACAGATGCTGGTGAGGCTGTAGAGAGGAACACTTACACTATTGGCAGGAATGTAAATTAGTTCAACCACTGTGGAAGACAGTGTGGTGATTCTTCAGAGACCTAGAACCAGAAATACCATTTGATCCAGCAAGCCCATTACTAAATGTATACCCCAAAGAATATAAATTGTTCTATTGTAAAGATACCTGCATATGTATGTTCATTGCAGCACTATTAACAATAGCAAAGACACGGAGTTGACCCAGATGCTCATCAGTGATAGACTGGATTTTAAAAATGTGATGCACGTACACCGTGGAATACTATGCAGCCATGAAACGAACGAGATCATGTCCTTTGCTGGGACTTGGATGGAGCTGGAAGCCATTATCCTCAGCAAACTCTCGCAGGAACAGAAAACCAAACACCACATGTTCTCACTTACAAGTGAGAACTGAACAATGAGAACACATGGACACAGGAAGGAGAACAAGACACGCTGGGGTCTGAAGTAGGGGGGCAGGGAGAGCATCAGGATAAATAGCTACTACATACTGGGCTTAATACACCATGTTACCTGTGTAACAACCTGCACATCTTTCACATGTACCCTGGAACTTAAAATAAAATAAAATTACCACTTAGCATATGTCATATATTAATAAAAAGCCTTGAATTAACTATTCATATGCTACCATTAATTGTAATTAACAGACATAATTATTATAAACTGGTATTAGTGATATATCCTAATTATAATTAATAGTATGTATATTACATGTAATATAACTAATAATGTATCATATAAGTTAATTAGTAATTAATGGTAGCAAATTTTAATAACTACCTGTCTAAGTAAATCAGAGACTGAATCAGCCAAATTCTTGGGGGCTAACTAATCAAAGCTACCCTCTGATTTAACTGCCGACAGCTGACCACTTCATCGTGACCACCCACTCCTTCATCCCACAGTGGCAGGAAGTCAGCTTTCTCTAATTATAGTCGGCTTTCTCTAATTATAGTTGTGAATCGTCAGCTACTCTAGCTATCTGAGCACCTACATGAATGCAAGTATTGGTGGTATAGAGTAATTTAGTCATTCCCCACATTCAATAGAACCTACTTTAAAGTGGGAAACTCTTCTTTAGATTACTATATTTAGCTTATTTCATGTACTACTGTTGTAGTTGCACTTTGAAATAGTTCAGTTATTTACCATTGTAATTTTACTAGTTTGTGGTGCGTTGGTTTTGATCAATCTGCAACAAATATTGAGCTCCCTCTTCAGAACGCACTGTGCTAAGTTATGGGGCAAGTTTCGATCTAGAGGCCTGGGTTTGAGGAAGAAAACAAGAAGGAAAAAGGAGAGCATGTGGGAGTCTCAAGCTTATCCTCAAAATGTATGTGAGTTCATGATTAAGTTTGAAACTAAGATTTTGTTTGTAGACTTTCAAGAGAAAAGCCAAAGAAGTTAGGCTATTTGGAGGATTTCAATTATGTTTTCAAGAACTCCTATTTGGGTTTCTGAAAAAGAGCCTAAAACTGGTGTGCTGGTTTCAGGGGTGTATTTGAAATTCTGTTCATTTGTTAAGAGGGAGAATTCTGTTAGGACTGATTAACTTACTCGCAGATACTGTTCCTTTATCATCTATGTCTGTTGATTAATTCATTATGTAATCCTATCCTTTAATCACACCACACAGAAAATTTACCTAAAGAATACAGGAAAAAAATGTACTGAATTTCTCTCTCTGTTAAGACAGGGAAATAATGTGGTGTGAAATTCCAAGATAGGCTTTGCAAGTGAGACAACACTTTTTGTGACCTATTAACCGTGTTCATTTTCAAATGTGCTATCCTATTCCTATTTTCCTTTCTATTAAACATTTCAACTAGTAATTCTGAAAATTTAGTTTAAAGGGTGATGAATTTAAAGCTCTGTGTAATGGTGTATATTTTTAAAGGAATTATCTTGAATAATTTCATCTCATAGGCATGCACTGTGGCAGATGTTTGCAAATCTTGGTTTAAAACTGATTGAAGTATTTTAAGAAAACTGAAATAATGTCAGCGGTAAAATTTATTTTACCAAGTGCAGATGTAAGACATCAAGTTCTCAGACTGATGGCAGAATTAACAAAAAACACCATCTGGTTCAATAATTATCTGAAAATACCCATATTCTTGGATTTCTTTAATACCACTTAGTTCCCAGCTTTATTTTATCTGAGTTTGCACACCAACCAGACTAGGTTGTACAAAACGAAGACTATTTCCATCTGATCATTTAAAAAAATGTGTGTTTGCATGAATAATGAATCTTTGAATTGTTACTAAACAAGCAAATTATTTGCGTATGTGTCACATCGGTTATCAAGTTTGCACATGTGACAGCTTCAACAGCCGTCGCGCAAAATGCATAGAGCTTGTAACCATATGTTTTTGCTTGACAAAAAGCTAAAACTCAAGATCAATTTTCAATATGGAATGCACAAATTAACACTTTAAAATGCACCACAATATGTACAGCTTGGCAAAATTTGCAGAAATAGCACGTTTCTAGATATTAACTGATATCTTTGGATTCGACCTTAAGGTATTCAATCATTTTGATTAAAAGACTGATTTCTCATAAAACCACAGTCTGTTGGAGGCGCAAAGCCAATGACATTTGAGCATTCATATATTTTCATAAACTTTGAACAATGTCAGTGAGACACCTCTTCAATCTTGGCCACACAACAGCAGGGTATTCAATCTTTCTTTAGCTTAAGACAGAAAATTTGAATATCAGCATAGGGTTATAAATGTGGCAGCTCACGTGGTGTGCTCCATGTTGATTTTGGAGGAGCAGGTCTGTGCAATGTGTACAACATTTCACTTCACACTCTTCACCACTAGTTTCCTTTCCCTTCCCACCTTTTCCCCACCACCTCTCCCCAAAAGGCATTATATGAAAGCATTTTGTTTGTGTGTTATAAAAGCAGTTTCTTTGAAGAGTTTGTTTGGTATGGGGGAACAAAGAGCTGCTTTTAAAATTGGCTTCTCCTAATGCTACTTGTGGCACTTACTCAGAATAGTATGATGATACAGATGCCTTGATGTTTCTTCAGCTTTTTCACCCTTTGAACGTAGTAATTAGTCATTATGCTGCCAAGTGTGCGTGTTCCCCTTTGGCCTCCTAAATGAGATCTTAGCAAAACCTGGATGTTCTTCAAATACTTCTTTTTTTAGTTGTATTCAGTGAAGAGTGATTATCCTATATGGTTGGTGAGATCTGTAAGGTTTTCAGTTTGTTATAAATAACACGGCGTTAATTGAATCAACATCCACTACGTAGAAGGTGTCTCTCACTTTAGAGTGTTGTCTTGCAGGCAGCTTGGGCAAAAACCAGATGGGCTGTGAGGGGAAGATGAGCACTTCTGTCTTGCCTGAACAGAAAATGCGACAATATTCTGTTAAGTCAAGAGACGACGACAAAGGAACTTTTTAATATATTGTAATATACGACAGATGCCCAAAAATGTTTACCTAAAATCTCTTTAATCTTGCTAATCTCCACATTGAGTGTGTCCTAATATTAGAATGAAAAGCATTACTAGTACTCATAGACAAAGATAATAAACTATTGAAAACTTAGCATCAACTGGCATAATCCCACAGAATTCCTTTATAACAAAATCTTCTGAGTCATGGATAATAATCCAGATTTTTGAATTTCTTATTATTTGCACACATCTTATCCCCTGAAGAATGTCAAGTGAAAATTTTGCATTGGTAGGGTAGAATCCATTAGTAATACCATATCAGAAGACATAGCTGTTAATTGCATCCATAATTTCAATAAAATTTGTTATATGAAACACAAGAATAAACAATTCTGTAAATTTGGAACTCTTTCAAACTAGTACAGCTTGATTCAGTAACCCATTGATCCAAGATATTTTCAGTGACCAGCAACTCTTACAAACCATTTGGAAACGCAGTTCAAGAGGTAGTAATGTTGATTCTGCTACTGTTGTTTCCAAATAACTGCCGTGTTTATTAATGGTATGTGATTGGCCACATGCACACCTCACTAAATACTTTGAGCATAGATTATACCGGATGATGAAAGGATTTCCTTGCCTAAGTCGATGACTGCTTCTTCAGAACCTCGTGCCCTCAGCCCTGATCAAGTTGAGCTACAGTGGTTCATCCATTAACTCAACAGACATTTGTGGAGCATCAGCTGGGTGTCAGTCCCTGTGTGAAGTACAGGACTACATCAGTAAACACTGTCATCCTGCCCTCACAGAGCTTGCATTCTACATATGAATAGGTGTAAAATAACTGCAAGTTACGACAAGGCCATGAGTCAAAGAAAGCAGTATGTGGCCTGCGATGGAGAGTCACAGACACTCGTGCAGGAACTGGGGATTGTATTGTACCTTCATTCTGGAAGTGCTGTCTGAGGAAGACAGGGAACAAGCTGTTCACGGAGATGAGAGCTTGAAAGCATTTCAGACAAAAGACTGAGCACGGAGACCTTTGCAGAGTGAGCTGTGCGGCACATTCAAGGCAACAAGTGAGCCAACCAGTGTGGCCAAAAGGAGGCAAGGAAGAGGGTGGTGCATAGGCAATGGGAAGAGCTGTGGGTTTTCATCCCTGGGATTCCAAGAACAAATTTTAATTTTAAGAATTTACCCTTTTCTCCTTTATGGAGGATGGTTTGGGAGGACGGAAGGTAGAATTAGGAGACTAGTTAGGAGATATTGGCTGCGATCAGGAAGACAGAGATACAGGTGGTCTAGGCTAAGAGTGTAGCCATGGAGTTAGTGCAAATAGTAGGATGTAGGATACATTTTGGAGACAGAGGTGGTGGAACTTGTTAGTGGGTTGGATATGGAAGGTAGGGAGGGAGCATTGGTCAATGAGGAAGGACTACTAAGTTTCCATCTTGAGCTATGTGCAAGTGTTGTTGCCATCTGATCTCTAATTCTCTGATTTGGGGCAAACAGCAGATTTAGGAGGAGGTCATCTTAGGAGGGAGTGTGAGGAGAGACAAGAGAGGGTTCAGAGTTCAAGGTCAGACAGAGGCTGGTGGCAGCACAGGAGTACGAGAAGGAGTGGCCAGTGAGACAGAAGGAAATGAGAGGGAGCAGTATAAAAGAAGTGAAGGAAACAGTGGGCTTCCAGAAGAAAGAGATGGTCAGCTGTAGCTACTGCCCACGAGACATGGTCAGAATGAGCCTGTACTTTCCACACCTCCTTCCTGTAGAACCTGTGAGAGAACACGCTGCTGCACTGTGCCGTGGCAATGGTAATGTGAGCACAAGGCAGTGGTAGCAGAGACGTGATGAGCAGTTCTGTCTGTTCTGTCCTCTGCTGGGCCACTGCAGTCCTGGAAGATTCCAATTTTGAGTATTTACTCATTCAAAACTGTGTTTTCTTTATAAAACATGAACGCTCATTGAACTACATATTTCTAGGCCTCACTCTGGGAATTCTTAGGGCAGGGCCCTGTGTCAGTTTGCGAGGGCTGCCGTAACAAAGCACCATGGGCTGGGCGGCTTAAACAACAGACATTTATTTTCTCATCGTTTCGGAGGCTACCAGTTTGAGACCAAGGTGTTGGGCAGGACTGGCTTCTTCTGAGTCCTCTCTCCTTGGGTGGTGGATGACCGTCTTCCCTGTGTCTTCACGTGGCCTTCCCTCTTGTGTCCTATGTGTTGATCTCCACCTGTAAGGACCCTGGTCACATTCGATTAGGGCCCACTCAGAATGACCTCCATTTTACCTTAGTGACCTCTTTAAAGGCCCTGTCTTCAAAGACAGTTAAATTCTGAGGTACTGGGTGTTAGGACTTCAACACAGGAATTTGAGGGGACACATTTCAGCTCCTAACAGACTTAAAATATACGTTAAACAAATACCTCTAAGTGACTCTGATGCCACTGGGCCTCAGACCAACTTTTAGAAACACTGAACGTCAATGTGCGGGAATTCCGCTAGGTACTGAGATAGAAGGGCAGGGTGTGGGCCTGCCCTTGAGAGGCAAGTACTCCTACAGGAACAATGCGAGAACCCAAGAGATTACAAGCCTCTGTGCCTTCGAGGGTGTATGCTCCCGTGTCATATAGACATACGTTGTTAAAGCTGTCCCATCCTATCTTTTACATTTGTGTCTGTCTCCTGAAGTAGGCAGAAGGAGGGCTCTGCATCTGCGAACATGGATGATTTATACGTGATGCACCCATCTCTTACATTAGACTTCACTTTTAGATCAGACACTTTATTTTGTTAGAATAGCTGAAAATCTGTATCGGGATATTCTGCCCACAGAATATCCTTCTGCTGTATGTTCAGGTGCCTTTGTTGTAGTCACGAATAAAATTAGCACAGCTAACATCTCAGATATCAGAATAAAGACTGGCCCTTTTCTCAAAATGCACATAATATAGGGTTTCTTTTAGTTTGACCTGAAAATTCATTGCCAAAATTTTATGCTTTCCATGTTCTGCTTGTTTGTTCATACACAGACGTACAAATGCATGCAGGTGAATAAGGTAAAGTTCAGAAGATGCTTCCATAGAACTGTTGCCCTTCAAAAGATAGGAATTCTGAAACAATGTGTTATGTTATTACAGCTCAGTGCTATTTCTTGTGAGTGTTTTATATAGCCTGGTTAACCTCTTTCTACGTTAACCCAGAAGCAGTGGCATGTGCAGTTTTGTTCCAGAGAGCAGGAGTTACCAAGACTCCTCTCATACTCCTGGATCTCTTCTCTCTCCACTAAGGAAGTGCTAGTAGCTGGTAGCTGTTTGTCAGGGCAGGATGGGTGTTCGTTCTCACTGCACAGTTTCCATGCCACCCTGGGCATGGGATGCGGGAGCACGCTCACCACCTTCATTCAGGGCGGAGTGTGTGTGCGTGCGTGTGTGTGCGTATGTGTGCATGGGTGTGTGTGCCTGGGTGTGCGTGGGTGTGCGTGCGTGTGCATGCGCAGGGCATGCGCAGGGGCAGGAAGTGCTTCGTTTCTTCAGCTCGTGCAGGTGCTAGTTGTAGCATGTGACTTATCACTGGTTTCTGTGGTTTGCTGCATTTTTTGTGCAAACCATTGTCAACATGCGTGAGTACAGTGAACGGATGTCTTAGAATGTCATACAGCTGCAACTGTGGTGACAAGAAATAGCTTCAAACTCAAAGTCCATAAGAAAACAGAAAAATCAAGGATGAATTCTTGCAACAGAGGCTGCTTCGCTTCAGAAACGTTATGAAGAACGTGTGTGATGACCAATCATGAGCATTACATTAAAAATATGGGGAAGAGGTTTCCTGTAAATGTGTGCAAATGGCAACAAGAAAATATTGAAGAGCTTTTTCTAAGTATATATAGTCCAATTAAGAGTTATATAAAACAAGTTTTCCTGGGAGGAAAGTTCATTTCAAAGGTCACATGATCTTTGGGGCTGGGTGGTCATAGAGTATTAAAAGAAAAAACATGATCATACCAAGTTTATTCATCTGCCTGAATTGTGAATCTTCACATTGGAAATTTAAAAATTTTGTCCATGAACTTCACTGGATTTAATAGCTCCCAGCAACAATCAGAGCTATACATTAGATTTCACTTCTATCAGTTGAAAGGTATTATACATTATTATTATACATTATTATCTAAAGGATTGAGATTATATCTCCATAAATCACACTGTGGATTAAATTATGGCTTTCACAGATTCTGTCTGAAATATAATTGAGAATTATCTGCAGAATTTGGTTTGCTTTTAAAATGTGAATTGTTGGAGAAATGAATTGTTAGCCAGGGAATTATTATACATGCCACATTTCTCAAATTTCTGCAGGCTGATAAAGTATTGAAAAAGAAATGCTTTAGAAGTATATTCAGTGCAGCAAACTTACCTTTGACTGTGTGCTGTTGGCCAGGTGACATACTAGAGGCCACATAAGTGCAAGGAAGAGCAGTCTTTGCCCTCGGGCTCGGCTGGAAGTAGTGGCCACAGAAGGCATTTAGGAGTGGCAGGACCCATGCTGGGCGTGCTTCTGAGACCCACTCTCATTTTAACAGAGTAGGGAAGGCCTTCCGAGAAGACAGTGGGGTAGGAAGAGCCCTGACTAACGGGCCCCAGCCCCCACCCTGCTGCTGTCTAAGGGAGATTTTACCACCCTCTCCATTCTCTACCCCCGTGTCGTGTTCCCAAACGTGACAACTCACCCACTGGAGTGACTGCATGCCAGAAAAGCAGGGCTTTCTACACCGAGTCCCACTAAAGCACAATGACTTCCCAGTCATTAATAAATCCTGTTTATTCAAGGTCAGTTTATAACCCTCTTGGGCCATGGGTGTTTGCAGACCTGAAAGGTGGCATGCCCCCACACACATAGCAGCAGGTGTCATTCCCCCATACACATAGCAGCAGTTCACTCACCTGCAAGACCTCACACTCATGTAATAACAACACAGATTGCAGACCTCATAATCACCTGTAAAGGGCCAGGGGAGCTGATTAATAAGGGGAGTTCAGCTTCCTGTGCTATTCAGTAATATAATGGTCATCATATTTAAAACAGCTTCAGGTAACAGGAAAACAGTCATTAAAGTGATAATGCAATGAGGTAATAGAATCACTGGATTTCAATAATATCCATTTTCTATTCTTTTGTTTAACTGATTTTTTGCATGAACTAATCCTATACTGGTTCTGAATAGTTTTCCTTACCTTTTACCCGTGAAAGAGAAAATGGGTCTTTTTTTTATGTAAAGGACATTGATAGTCTTTAGAGTGTGAGGAAAATTGATCAAAATATTAATTAGACTTTTGTTTTGCTAGTTTGCGTTAGACAGATGGAGTTCTGATCTTTAACAGCACTGTGACTCATGAAACTGCTTGTGTACTAAATGCCATTATTAACACAACAGTAGTTTTCAGCAGTTGGTAATTATTGGCATAATTAAACATTTATCAAGAAACGAGTATTTATCATTCATTAAACTTTCATTAAAAATCCATCTTAGCACAGGCTAGATTAGCCAGTGATTTTCAAGTCGTAACTTCTTAACTTCTGGCAGGAATATGGAGCATTTTCATAATAACCAAAGTTGTACACAAGGTAATGTTCCAGGAATTGTGGGCAATTACAGGATTTCAGATTCATTTTGTATTAAGTGTTTTTTGAGACTTGGACCCAGAGTGAGAAAGGTACTTGGCAATACTCTTTAGGGTTTACAGCACTTGGCAATTTTTAGCAGCTGATCCAGGAAAACATGTTACCCTTGGCAAAGAAAAGTTACTGCTAAGCAAGCTCTAAGATATTTACATAATTTAAATTCCCCAAAACATGGAGTGTTTACATAGTTTAGGGCATGAAACTTTCTATCGTAAGTAGAAGCCAGAATAGAAGTAGAGACCAGCGGAATCACACTCTAAACGCCTGGACCCGAGAGCTCCCCCCACACTGAGGGGTTGGTTTTCTTCTGGTTCCCCTGCCACACTAAGGCTGTCCGTCAAACAAGCTTTTCCGTGTCACACGGAATGTGTCACCTGATGCACAATGAGACTGCGATCTGGGGGCTGTTCCGATGTGTTGACTTGCTTAGATAACACAGTTGCTTCCCAGAATTAAGGGATAAATAGTGTCGAACTTGACACTCAGGGAATTTCACCTGCTGGCTGCCCTCAGCTCCTTCATCCCAAGTTCCCTGCTTTTCCATGTTGACTGTGCACTGCCCTCAGCTGTCCACTTTGACTCTCCACAGACCATTTGATGTTGTTATGCTTTTGTTGTGTTCAAAAGTTGAAATCTCTTGACATATTAACCTTATAGCCCACCAACCTTCTCTCTTCTCTCGACTCTAAGGTAGGTGTACAGTGCCCCAGCCTCTGGTTTGGACTGGCTGCACGATCAGAGTTTTCCCCCTGCCCACTAACTGGAAAGCTTCATACGCATTTAGCATACTGGGTGTCCTCGCCAGGAGGAGACATGGGGGAAGATAGTATTAGGTAACTAAGACTGCTCAGAATGGGGGGAAGATAGTATTAGATAACTAAGAGTGCTCGGAATGGGGGGAAGATAGCATTAGATAACTAAGAGTGCTCAGAATAGGGGGAAGACAGTATTAGATAACTAAGACTGCTCAGAATTGGGGGAAGACAGTATTAGATAACTAAGAGTGCTCGGAATGGGGGGAAGATAGTATTAGATAACTGAGAGTGCTCAGAATGGGGGGAAGATAGTATTAGATAACTAAGAGTGCTCGGAATGGGGGAAGATAGTATTAGTTAACTAAGAGTGCTCGGAATGGGGGGAAGATAGTATTAGATAACTGAGAGTGCTCGGAATGGGGGGAAGATAGTATTAGATAACTAAGACTGCTCGGAATGGGGGGAAGATAGTATTAGATAACTAAGAGTGCTCGGAATGGGGGGAAGATAGCATTAGATAACTAAGAGTGCTCAGAATAGGGGGAAGACAGTATTAGATAACTAAGACTGCTCAGAATGGGGGGAAGACAGTATTAGATAACTTAGAGTGCTCGGAATGGGGGGAAGATAGTATTAGATAACTGAGAGTGCTCGGAATGGGGGGAAGATAGTATTAGGTAACTAAGCGTGCTCAGAATGGGGGGAAGATAGTATTAGATAACTAAGAATGCTCGGAAAGCCTCTCCACATATATGCTAGTGCTTCAAATCTTGTTCTATATTCAGCAACTTCGTTTTTGTTTTCTCCTGGGCGAAAAATTTACTGTATCGGTGCTTTTATGTCACAAGAATGAATTGAATTTGTACCCTTTAGTACAAACAACAATAGACAGAGTGGTAACCTAGTGGAAAACAAATAGACACTCCGTCCCTTGTGGGGATTCAGAGAGGTTCAGAAAGATGGAGGTGACGGTGGAGAGGTGGCAGATAAAAAGAGGCCAAAGCAGGGAAGAATCCTGCGGTCATTTATTACCATGCCATCTTCATAGTGTTTGCTGAACCAAGGTGCAGAGTAATGATTCAGACAAATGACGTTAATCATCATAGCTGGCCCTTTGGCAAAAATGGAATACCTAGCATTGCAGCGGGAGACCTAATCAGATTCTCCAAAACTTGCTTCAGAAGGAGAGAATTTCCTGTCTTCAGTTTTTCTGTCAATGGCTTCCCGTGGGATATATCATCTTTAAAAGAAACAGTGATAAGAAATTGTGCCCTCTTCCCTTCTCCTTTCCCTGACCCTCTGAAAAATAATCGCATTAAACTTTATGATTAATATTTATAGTGAAAATGTATTATTTTTATATTTTCTTCATATTTATCTAATGTGATAAGATGGCAAGAGCTATAATGACTAGTCAAGTCGTATTTTCCATAATCCTGATAATCAGAGTTTATCTTTACTTTCTTGGAAACTATTTTAAATGGCCTTGTGCATCATGAAACCAAGCTGTGTTATACACACATATCAGCGTTCTGTAATTCTACTCTACACACTGTGAAAGCATATGTAGATCTGATCAGAGGTTGACTGATGGTTAAGCATATTCTCAGTACATTTGGTAAGTATCTATTCAAAGAGTATATTTAATGTCTTTCTTGGTCTTTGATCTATACCAAAATAACTTCATTTCTCTTTTCTCTGTGTTGGGTTTTTTTTTTTTTTTTTTTTTGAGACGTAGTTTCGCTCTGTCGCCCAGGCTGGAGTGCAGTGGCGCGACCTCGACTCACTGCAAGCTCCGCCTCCCGGGTTCATGCCATTCTCCTGCCTCAGCCTCCCGTGTAGCTGGGACTACAGGTGCGCGCCACCATGCCCGGCTAATTTTTGTATTTTTAGTGGAGACGGGGTTTCACCATGTTAGCCAGGATGGTCTCGATCTCCTGACCTCGTGATCCGCCCGTCTCGGCCTCCCAAAGTGCTGGGATTACAGGCGTGAGCCACTGCGCCCGGCGGGTTTTTTTTTTTTAAATCAGGCTTCATTGGTAGGATGTAGTGATTATTGTTTGTGGGTACAAGGTCATTAACAAAACCAAAAAATGGTTTAGTTCTAAATATTTTCAGATTTATTAATTAGGTACATTTTGTCATCATTTTATCCCACATACTTTGGTGCTTAGATACTTGGCACATAATGCTATTGTGTAGAAGAGAAAACAATTTAGAGTTTCAGTCATACATCATCTCTGGGGGAAACTAAGTTGACATGTGGGAGGTTAATGTATACACTTTAGATTCCTCGCTTGGTTTGCTGTTTTCTTCTTCATAACTCTAGGTAAACAGTTTGTGCTGCCATTTAATGCACAAGTTAAGTGTAGTTGCAGGCTATTATACATCATTAAAGTAAGTACATAATATTCACTCATGAAAGAAAGATGGAAGCTTTTCACTTGTAGCTGCTTGGACATTTCATTTGTCATCTAATACGGCACTGAAAAAATTAGTTGTGGCAGCTCTCATGTAATTTATAGCTGAATGCCATGAAATTAAGCAGTGAGCACACCGTTTTGGCTGATGAGTGTGCATGTGTTTTGCATCTTCCCATTCCAATGACAGATTTGGCAGAAACACAGTGCTGGCCATTCAAAAGTTTGTCTCTGTTACCCTGCTTTCATTACCCTTTCACCAAACACAGGATTCGTCTTTGAACACAGAGCTTCTTTTAACAATTATGAGAAAGTGAGATACCTGTTAGAGTCCAGAAATGACATCAGGGGCCTTCTCCCATCATTCCATCATTTTATTACGATACTTCTACCTGTCATATCAGGAAACAAAGCAAATAACGGTTTAGTGATGATGATTGACGTTCAGTATGGCAAATGGAATAGGTAGATACCAATAGAATGGACCTCAGGGTCTCGTTCTCTATATCTGGTCAATAACCAATATATTACTAATCACATCCAATAAACAGAATACCAGAAATGTGTATTTTTATCTGCCAGCCAGCAGTCATGGAATAATGTTTTTAAAGGTGAGAAACTGCCATGCACAGGAAGGAGCAGTGGCTGATACGTCCTGCAGCTAGAAGAGCTCCTGTGCATTACAGCTAGACAGCTCATCCCAGTGAAATCTCATGTGTATCTGATTACCAATGGGCATTGCGTCCGCCTCGCCTCTGGAATACATTGCAAATGCCAGTTCTTGACTTCTGAGGATTCCATTAGCTGAGATATCTTGTGATAGGGAGAGGTATCACAGTAGAATAGGATCTATAGGTATTAGTGTCAAGAAGAATAATGTCTTGCTTGCCCTTTCTCCTAGGTTATTGCATAGGTTATACAAAGATTGGGATGAGTTAATAGAAAACAAAGAAACCAGAGGTGGCAGGAATGGGTGAGAGGTGGGCGAAGCCACAACATTGCAGAAATACATGACTTCTGCTGGTGCCAAAAATAACGTGTCTTTTTTTTCTCCCAAAGCAGTTGAATGCATAAAAGCACCTGATGTAATCATTGTAGTCATCCTTCACTGTGTAAAGCTGAGGCTTAACAGAGGATATTTATGCAAAAGTGATACTGAGAGTTCTGAAAACCCATTCTAAGTTTTAGCAAGAGCTTTTCAACCTTTGCAGATGTATTGCAGTAGTGATGAGCAAAATAGTATAATTCTTTGATTTCATTTTCACTGTGATTTACAAAAATAAAACGATGTTCACAGGGAAAAAAAAAAAGTATGATTTAGGGATGGAGGGAAGTGTGACCTGACAGTCCCTGACTGAGCATGGTGCCCTCATTGGATGTCTCACAGGAGAGAATTCATACCATTTGTTGTGAAACAACATACCTGAAAGAATCAGACCTACCTTGTTCACACCCAAGATGAGGAAAATGATTTATTATCTGTCCCTTGAATTTCTCTGAGCATTCTGTCTAAACTTTAAAGGACGATTACATTTGCGATTAAATCTTAACAAATGTTGTTTTAACTAGACTGCAATATGTGTTATTGACAACAAGCGACTTTTCTTCTCAAAATAACATTGATACTTAGGCATGCAATGTACAAAAATGACAAGAAAGGGTGGTACTTTTTCCAAGGTGAATGTGAGTTGACTGATTAGCTGGTATTTTAACTTAGATTCTTGCAAATTACAGACATAAGAAACCCTGCAATTTATATGTACTTTAGAAGTGAAAGCTTTAATCCCGTGATTCATGAAAGCAAAGTGGTAATAATTTAAGTACCATATTTTATTTATCCCTCAGAGTTGTCAACTGATACCAGAAGTATTTCCACTCTTTTGGGGTTGCTGCCTTTGGCCATCTAATTGCTTCTTAGGAAGGAAGAGGGAAATTGCTTCTAGAACTACGCGGATTGTCTTTGGCAGCGTCGAGCTGAGGCATCAATCAGTCCATCTGGGTAAAATCACAAGCTGACTCCGATATTGCTAAATATTTATACTGTCAAATACACACAGACATCCAGATGAAAAGAGGCATTCATTAGGAATTCTCCAGCTTGTCAGTTTAAAGATGTAGATTAGAGCAAAGCCTCCCACTATGGTACTGAGTGCTCAAGAAAAGTCTATATTTAGCCATTCTGAGCAATAAATATCATCATATTGCCTCATTTAGGTAAATAGAGAATAAATATTGTCAAGATGATCTAGAGATAATGTAAACAGATCCCTGTTCAGAGTCTGTGTTGCAGGGGAAATTCCAGGACAGTGATGTGCCGATGATGCTTTTTGGTTTAACCCTTTTTCTTAATCACACACCCCTCCCCTTTTTGGTAGCAAAGATTGTGTTGCTGACAGACTAGGGGGAAAGATGAAGAAAAAAACTTTGTAACCGCAAAGGTGATTTCCAGTTCTATGAATTAGAACACTAATTAGTGCTGTGCTGCGGTCTTGTCTCGATGGCGCCAAAAGCTGCTGCCGCCGCCGAAAATAAAGATATCTGCAGCAACACTGAAGTTCATTTCAGAGTTCCACAGAGCTAATGAAGCCCGTCCGTCTCAAGGGAACATTACAGCTCAAAGGTTAAGACATTATTTTACAGTACACCAAGGTAATGCTCGCGCTGGAATTTCTTTCGTAGCACATTGTTCTGAGATAAGATTTTTCACACTGAGCATTTGCCATGAAAGACTGCGATCTGTGCCTTGACACAGTTCCATTTCTGTACAGAAACTCGGCAGGCCCCTTGCATGACAGTTTGGCTCAAGTGTGTTCTGTATGAGCAGAGAATGTGTCCCTTCTCAGGGGGGCACGTGCTCATTGCTCTTCCCTGGTAATTGATAATCTTAGAAGTTATACTCATTGGGAATTTTAACTGATGTCAAAGTTTTAGTTAATTACACTAGATGATTTTTTTGAGATTAATAATTAACATCTCTCTTTATAACTAAATATCCATAATTAATCAGCAAATCATAACGTGAAGACTAATTAACTTCAAACTCAAATCTTAACAGAAAATCCATATTACTCTCCAACATCATTAATTACCAGAGTAATCAAAGTTATCCCTCATGGGATAAAACATAAAGCTTTGTGGGTTTATCAGCTAAGCTGTTAGCACAGAAGAATTTCCAGAGTAACTTCAAATGGCATTACCGATTACAAAATTGTTAGATTATTTAAACCCATGTTCATTGGCCACATGTTACATTGTCAATAAGCTGCTCCCAGGAGCTGGATGGGTAACCAACAAAGCAGAAACTTCCCCATAGTGTCTGAGGTTTTTTTTTCCACGGGAGGTGAATACAGCGATTTCTGGCAAGCAGGTAATTGGATTGACTGTCTTTAAAACTACCTTGTACTCCTTTGTTTCTTAGCCTCACAGAATGCTAGTTAGCTAGTTTAAAATGGGTTAGCAGGAAGCCAAAGTGTACACCTGACATTGTTCATAAGGGGGAATATTTTATCAATAATAAAAAGTGTGAAATGTCATATCTAGCAATTATTAAGTGTTAGGGACAACGAAAAGGTGATACTGTGTAAAGGAAGGGAAGCACCATGCAAGAACAAAAAATTAACATGGACATCAAAAGACATGAAATGGGGCCAGTTTCTAAGAAACAGAATGACACCACCATTAACAATGGAGAAGTGCCTTTTCAGGGGTTCGCTTAGAAACTTAGGAGTTAAACGTGTATTTAAAATCCATGTTTCAATTACTGTATCACCTAATCTTCCAAGCATACACATGGAATACTGTTCCTTTGTGTGGCAGCTGTAAAAATCCTAAGCAGTTTTTACTGTCAAGAAAACTCTGAATAAACAGGGGCTGTTAACTTAGGCAGATATCTGAGGTTATTTGGTGGCAATCAAGAACTCGCAGCACTTCAACTAATGGGTTATGATCAGAAACTGTTCCTAATAGCCAGCTAGACGGATCTGAATATGAAGATTTCTATAATTTTGTTGTCAGCTTGTGATGTACTCTAGTGCTAATTATTTGGAACAATTATGTTTTCCTAATAACAAAAGAAGAAGCAGTGAATTAAGCAGGCTTACCTTCACATCTTTAGATAACAGTTTAAATGCACTTGCCATTAAGAAATAACATTTCTTTTTGCCTTACGGAGCCCTAATTATTTAAGATGCTTGTCTTTTAAAATCTACCGCTTCCACTTCTTCTAAACCTGTTCGATGTGTCAGTTTACACTGATGATTTCAGTAACTAGTATTTTCTCAGTCTTAGGTTTATGCCTGTACCTCCATAGACTGCTTACTTCATTTAGTTATTCAAAAACCATAATTAGTGCAGTAATTAACGTGTGGATCCTTCAAAGGAAGACTGCTAGAATCATGGGACGTGTCTCATCATTCTTACTGATGTGTGGATGATAAAGAGACTGAGGCTGCTGTGACAACAGGACTTGTATTACTGCACAGTAACGGTGCTGCAGGGAAATTCAGACAGGACCTTGGTCCACAGAGCCCCAACGTTTGAAAAAAGTAATTATCCACACTGTTTCCATAATTCAGCTAGGTGTTATCCTGCATTTGCAGCTGTCAAATCATTTGTTTTAAATGTTTTTTTAAATATCTTATGAATACTTGAAAGTTTTGAGTTTTGCAGATTATCTCTCAGCCTATTTCTAAGCACAGGGGCCAAGCTTTTTTTTTTTTTTTTTTTTAATCCATTACAGAGTCTTTCCTGACAATTTATTTCAGGCATTTGATAGTAATTTGAGTTAATGCAGGTTATAGTTTCAAAATCATAGTCATAAAGAAAAAGCTCAATTTTATACATTTCCCTAGAGAATTTTTTTTTTTGGTTCAATCTCAGTTTTCTCATAAGCGGAATTTCTTGTTTTCAAGCTATGGAAATGAGTTGTATGCAGTTGAATTTGGCTGGGTATGACAGAGAGAGGTGCCGATAATGGTTCTGCAGTGCTCACAGCTACCTTGTTGGTCTCTCTCTCTGGTTCTTTCATTTAGAACGTTTGGCCTTTAACTTCCTATAAACAGAGGCCCATTTTTCACACCATGTCATTCATTGACATCTGCCCCCAAAATTCTGTGCTGCATTTTATCCCTCAGATAGCTCATGTGAACTGGGATGAAGTAGCTTTGATCACGTGGAGTGATGTGCATTTCCTGCCTAAAGGAATTTTTGTCACAGTCATGAGAATGCTGCCAATTTGGGCTTCTTCGGAGCCTAAAGTCCAGGCTGAAGTGTGAGTAGGCTGTTGATATTAGATACTGGATATTGATAGGGAACAGTCATATAACGAGAACTTTATTTCAATTGAGTGGCTACGGGTTGATTCCCCATGTTTAATATACTAAAAAAAGATACTGGGTATTGATCTGTGTTCAAAATGGGGTGGAAGATTCTGTCTTCCTCTAAATTTTATCAAGTGGAATATACCTTTATATTCTTAATATCTTGTCAGTGTGTTCCGCATTTACAGTACATCTTTATGTATTATACTTGTTGAGGTTGAATTGGCTACACGTGGTTTCAGCCGCAACATAATCAAACCATTAGGCATTCTGAGCTCATTAATAACTTGTAGCTGAGTGTGTGTATGTGATACTCTGCAGATAGACCCTCTTTGCCAGTTGGAACACAAAGTTGCCCACTGCGTAACTCTTTTCCTAAAAGATAAACTATCTAAATTAGCCTATATGGATGCTGCTACAGTTAATTAACTAAAAATTCAGTAAGTTTTTTTTTACACTCTTTCTAATACTTCTAATCCAGACTTCTAAACAACATTCTAATTTGTGAAAAACAGCTTTGAAACATGCTGTGACAAAGCACATGGAGAACGGTAGAGCTCCACGTGTGATGCCGGCCAGCACTGTTACTAATGCTGTGTCCTGCTCGTGAAGTAGGAATTGTTTTTTCAGAAGCTGCAATTACTTTGGTGGCAAGCAGTTCTGAAGGGAAGGAAGAACAAGGGTTCTTCCCCGTGTTAAGCATTGCTACAGGCCAAGCATGCACTACGGGGCACTTGGTGCAGTCTGTTCCTAATACTCGCAGTATCCCGCAAGGTGTCAGTGCCCTGTGCAATGGACGTAGAAACTGAAGCTTAGAGAGGTGGACAAGCTGCCCAGGCATATGTAGCTAGTTAGTGGCTAAACGTAGATTTTAAGCTAGATCTGCCTGAGTCTTAATGTCTACATAAAATCACATTCTTAAAGAAAGGGTAGCATTATTGATAGTTAAAAGCCTTACCACGTTCCTAAGTGATTGCCAGTTATTATTATGAAAAAGAAGACACTAACGACCATAGGAAAAGCTGTAGGGTTTCCCCCCTTTCTTCAACCATAAAAGAGCTAGCACTGTTGTCCACACACATGCACTTTCCGTCTCTTCTTACCTCTCACACACACACTCTCTCTCTCACACACACACACTCACACACACAGAATCCATCTAAACAAGCAATACCTTGAAATCCACTCCTACGATGTCTTTTTAGCCATGAGATCACTCAGGCCTAGTGGAAAAGTATTGTAGGTCTCTCACATTCGGCTGATACTGTAGCGCATGTGTGTGCATGCACGTGCACACACACACACACACACACACACACACACACAAACTGAGCCAAAAACAAATGTGCAGCTCTAGTGTAACTGAAGGATAAGTAGAAACTAAGGAACAGTGTTGATTGACCACAATTACAGCCACCTAGTGGACGATCAGCATCCCCATTTTTATATAAAGCCACATTCATTCAAGAGGTAGCTTGTCCTTAAACACTGTGTAGCCTGCATTCACAAATGTCAATACAAACACCAGCGACCGCCTCCGATGTCACAAATGTCAATACAGACATCAGCGAGTGTCTCCCACAGATGTAACACTAAGCCCAGCCTGGTAGAAGCCCATCTTCAGCTTTAGATAATTTGCATTTCATTCTTTTTAGGTATCTGATTGATACATATTTGGCCTTTCTGAATATCCCTTGCCCTTTGAATTAGCCTTGCTCATTTCTTTCCTTTTTTTTTTTTTTTCTTATTAACTAGAGTCAGAGTCTCACTATGTTGCCCCAGCTAATCTGGAACTCCTGGGCTCCAGTGGTCCTCCCACCTTGGCCTCCCAAAGTGCTGGGATCATGGGTATGAACCACCACACCTGGCCAGCCTTCTCATTTCTGTAACAACAGTAAAAGTAAAATGTAGAAGTAAAAGACAGTTCAGCCTTATGATTTTTGTACTTATTATACTTCAGAAGATTATATAAACCATAAGGTTTATATTAGATATAATTTTCATTATATCTAGAAAATAAATATGACACTGGACAGATCAGGTTTGTTTTCAGATGTGAAAAATAAGTCACTGAATTGGTCTGAATACCTAAAGATGAAGAAAAGAGTCATAATATTGTATAATTAGAGTCCTAAGAGTCTGTAGAGAGAAAATGATGTAACTGCCCACTGAATTTAGGAGTGCTCCACAGCATTTTTGACAGGAAATGATTGGCACACTCTTCTGTGCTTATATGGAGTGCATTTACTTTTTCTAAATGGAGATTTAATTTACATGCAGTAAATTTCATCTTTTTTAGGTATACAGTTGGATGTGTTTTGTCAAATGTTTGCAATCATGCAAGCACAACCAAGTTAGAGAACGTTTCCATTACCCCAAAAAGTTGCCTAGTGCCACTCTTCAGTAAATCTCTTCTCCTAGCACTCAGGCCTTGGCTGTCCCTATAGTTTTGTCTTTTCCAGCATGTCACGTCAGTGGCAGGTACCCATCTATTTCACTTGGCACAATGCTTTTCAACTTCATTCCCATTGCTGCACATCCACTGCTCATGTTCCCTCCTGTCACCAAGTCCTGTTCCGTCGCATGCGTGTACCAGTATGTTTGCCTGTCTCCTGGTGATGGACATTAGGTTGCTTCCAGTTGTGGGTGATTAGGAATCACCCTACTGTCAATGTTTGGCAACAGGTCTTTGTATGGGCATGTGTTTTCATTTTCTTAGGAATGGGGTCATGGGATGATGTGGTGAGAAATTGCCAACAAACTGTTTTCCACCATGGCTGTGCCATTTCGCATCCCCACCAGCAGTTCATGAGAGCTCCAGGTGCTCCGCGTCCTCACCAGCACTTGGCATGATCGGTCTTTTTAAAATTTTAGCCATTCTAATGGGTGTGTTGTGTATCTCATCATGGTTTTAATTTGCATTTTCCTAGTGACTGATGATACCAAGCATCTTTTCATGTATCCATGTGTAAATTGTTCTCAGTTTTAGAAAAATTCTTCCTCATAATGAGCTAAAGCAGTCCTCCTATGCTCTGGACCTGCACAGGTCATGTGCATGCCCAGCTCTACATAACAGCCTGCCAGATATTTGGAGGCTGTTTTCCTGTCCTTATTTCCACCCCTCAAATCTATCTTTGCCAAGCCAGCCTGCTTAGTTCATTCCTTTCACCTGCCTGCCTCCCTCCATCCCTCCCATCACTGTCCGCTTGCTATGGCTTCTGCACCAACCCTCTGGTTTCTGTATCACATCATTGTGGATGTGCTCCCATTTCTGCATCTCTATTAAACATGTTTCCTGGCACTGAATGCAGTGTTCTGCTTTGCAAGTGCCGTGTTGTCTTAAAGCAGCAAAGTTTGGGTTTGCTTCTGTAGCAGCCATATCAGCTTTCCGTCATGGGCAAATTTAACAAGTTGACCCTGTGGCTTTATCCACAGTACTGATAAAAAGGCTTCACTTGCCAAGTAAAGAGTCCTGCATTACAGGGTTGACAACACCATGGTCCAACTGAGGACATATAATTGGCAGGTATCCGGATATAAAAATATTTACAGGGGAACCAGCTAGTTTGATAATCAATGATAGAGTTTTCTAAATTGCTAAACTGCTCCGTTTACTTTGAACACTGAGAGCTGCTGAGCAATTATGAATTATTCTAATTACCTTTAATTTTTGGTATCTACTATATGTTTCTGTAAAAAAGTACTGAGATATGCAAATATGGTCAGCGTAAGATTTTAAACCCTGGGGCCACGATATCAAACACCACTGAAAACCTCTGGAAGTGAGAGCAGTTGACCTCTTCCGACATCTTTAGAATCTTATGTAAGGTTTTCATAATTTACAGAACTGATATTAGATCCAGTGATAATCTCCCCCTCTCCCTTTTAGGAATATATAGCAGCACTTGGGGGAAAGTCTCGCCTGTTGAAAAAAAACACTATATTCATGTGTTTATCTATATGGAGCTTCATGAAAGCGTTTTGTTGGGTTTTTTTTCTTTCTTTTTTTTTAAAAAAAAAAACAGGTTTTTGTTTGTTTGTTTTCCTTTAATGGAATAAGGTCTTTAGAACTAGACTCCTTGGCGGTTCTAGCTTAGACTACAAGAAGCCACTAGAAGCCTCTGTATTGTTTCTGGATTCTGTTACCTTGGGCACCGTTCGTACTGATGTAGTGTTTGCTTTTGTTCTTTCGTTATGTCTTATTCCTCCAGTATTAGGAACAGCCCTAGGTAACGTTTCTGATCATGAAGTGAATCTGACCTTGAAATAACCCTGAACTATTCCCGTCACTATGGCCCGTGTCAAAAACTTGCGGATTGTTGTGATCATGAGGTTTCCATTGATATGTTTGATAAGTGGTTTAAAATAAATATATTTTATTGTAAGTATATTAATATGCAAGATATGACTAAAGCAATATGATGTTTGACTGGTTTATTAAAAAACTATTCACATTATTTTTATGTGTGTTGCTGTTTAAAATTTCTTTTCTGCTAAAGACCACCATGTACTTAATATTCTGACCAACACTGAAGACTTATTTGTACATCATAGTTCTTCCAGGTACTTCACCATACTCCACACTCAGTTTAAACACGTTGGTGCAAATTCCATTACAGCAAAGAATTTCTTCTAGGATGTTATTGTAAAGAAAAAGAGTGCATTGTCAGCAATATGTTTCTGAATAAGGAATGAAGTTTTTTTCAGCTTGATTGGGAAAAATCTGGGTGTGGGGGGGTGTGGGCATGTATGTGGGGGGTGTGGGTGGGGTGTGTGTGCTTGGGTGTGGGGGTGCGTGGGGCGGTGTGGGTGTGCACGCATGTACATAACATGTGCCTGTGTATGTGCATGCACACGTGTATGAAAAAATGTGCAGATGTGATCGTCTCAGCAGAAAGTTTTATAATATAACTGGAGATGAAAGAAAATATAATCTAACTGGTGGTAAGTTATTCATTTTAATTAAAATTCATGCTGATAACTGAACCATTCAATTTGCACTGTTTACATAAGATTATAAGCACTCAACTTGTCTGAGTGTTTAAATTCCTTTTTCAGGCTTAAGTTGGGGCATTCAGCAAAACAATTGTCAAGTCCCTGGCCTCCTGCACGTAGGCCCACTGCCTGCAAACAGTGGAAATGTTGCCCTGGAAATGTGGCTAAAGTTTCGTGAAATGAAACATGAAGCATGCCAGGCCCATCTGTGCCAGCCTTATGAAACAAAAGCACCCAATTTTATCATCATTGTCTTTTGTTCTCCACAGTGCTATTCATGTGGCTGTTTTATGAATGCCAGAGTCTGGGGGCATCCATTGATCCACCGCTTTCTTTGCTGCACCGTTTGTTCTCTGTTATAATACTTGTCACCCCGCACCCTCTTCTTTTTAAAAAATGGAAACTTCGATGTTGAGAGTCTTGAGTAACGCTGTAAGGTTTCGTGCTATGAGGCTATGAGGCTGGTGGGCTTTGTTTTTGGATTGCAGATCAAGTATGCATTGGGGGGAGGTAGATGACTATACTCTTAAGCAGAAGGATCAAATATGTTGCTGTGTAAGTCCCAGAATCTATAAACCACCTGTTCTATTATATTTGTGTCAGTTTTCATTATCTTCGTGAATAGGTATTTCCCATCTTAATGCAACAGTATTTGCATATGATGAACCAACCAGCTCCAACATGGCTTCTTTTGAGGATTCTGAATTTCCATTCAAATGATCCGAAGTCATTCTTATTTGAGATCACACTGGGCCAAATATGGTAACTGTAAATTCATTTGAACTATAATGCTACAATTAGCCCATTAATTTTTAGTCTGCATAACACAGTCAGCTGCTATATATTGTGGAGGTGGAGGTATGTTCCATTTTCATATCATAACAGAAAATTTAAAAATACAGCAACATGGGACCAATCACTGTATCATGTTTCCTATAGACTAAGCGGTGATCAGAGCCGGGCTGCCCAGCCCGTCTCTAAAGAGTATCAGCATGGCTGGGCATCAGCATTCTACAAGTTAGAGGGAGCTTGCAGACATCGAACCAATGGATTTAATCCACATCCTCAGAGGCTTAGGCTTTCTGAGAAAGATGAATAGGAAACCAAGTCACTGTGCATCCCTCCACTCATTTTAGCCAACGCTGCTTCACTTTTACTGCCTTATATTGTGAAGTTCTTGGGGAGATTTTTAATAGTCCTCATACTGAAAAATTAAAATCCACTCATAAGCCAGCAGTTAGAAAGTCGAGTCAGTACCCAGCTGAATCGTGACCACCCGAACCGAGGGGTCCTGCCCCCATGGAGCCAGGTCCATGCGGAATGAACAGCATCCTCCTTTACTTCACTCCCTGGAGCGGCTGTGCAGAGAATCTGTGAGAATCAATCTCCTCCCTTCTTTGGCTTTTTGTTTTCATAGAGTTGAATTGAAGACAATGAAAAAAAAAAAAAAAGCCTTACCTCACTCCCTCCTTGCATGTGTTTTCTATGTAGATTCAAGCCCAAAAGTCTCTTGTCAGAATTTGGCATTTGCCTCCCGGATGTCCCTTGACCTCTGTCCTTCAATATATACTAGTCGAATTTAAGTCAAATAAATTATGTTCATGGCAGTTACTCTGTAGGTTAAAAAGTATCTGAAGAAAAAGGGAAGGAAACCTTCTATATTAATAGGGCTATATCCAAAATCTAAGCTAATTTTGATTTATCTATTAGAATATTTGGGATTCTGATTTGTTTATTTATATACATCTTAAAAATTGGACAATAAACCCAAATATTGAATAATACAAGCATGTTTTAAGAAAGAACTGAGCCCAGTGTTACAGGAATCAGTTTTTTGCTTATATGACATATTGGGAAACGGATTATGTATGGTTGATCTGTGGGGGTTTAATGACTAGCAGGACGATGTCAAAAATAGGAACAAAAAAAGCAAGTAGCATTGTTCTAGCCAGTAGGAGTTACTAGTAAAAGGAAGGCATAGAAAACAGAAGGTACTCATAACACTAAAAAAAGCAGGGACGGCCCTTCCTCCAGGGCTGCCGTACGAGTGAGGGAGTTACAGCAGCACCCAGAGCCAGGGACCCTCTGCCTTCTGCCCTTCTGCGGCCTCACGTTGAAGGTGACTCTGCTGCCAGCACCCTGGCCCAGCATACTGCAGTCATGTGGCGGCTTTTTAAAGCAGGTTCTGTAATAGAGGCTTTTCCAAGAGGATTTTTTTTTCCCTTCACTTTCTGTGTGCAGTTTACCTACTGTACTTCCTGGAATTTCTGTTAAGACTTTCAGATATTTTAGTAATACTTTTCAAAGCCTAGCTCCTACTAATAGACACCTTGGCACTCTGTAAATTAAGTAAGACAACAACTGTTAGATCACCAGCGTAATGCAAACGTACAAGCACAGTAATCAAATGGACATATATAAAAGCTGAGATGTATAGTGTCACTCTCTCTGTTTTGCCCTTTGGCAATTCTGCTTTGAGTTTCTTTCAGCCAGCAAATGAGGAATTAATTCGGTACTGTCATTCTGATTGTCTGGCTGCTGCAGGAAAGAGTGGAGTATCTTTGTTGAGAAAAATACCTGATGACGTTTAATAGTGAGTAGAGACGAAGGTAAACACATGAATGTCTGTATTTCCGCACACATCATGCCAAGTTTCACCTGCCTTTCTTTTCTTCGTTATAGTAATGAAGCCACTAATCAGACAGCCTTATATTGGTTTTTATATAGAATATGGCACGTGTTGGTATTCATAACTCGTTAACCACGTGCTCAAGAGGAAAATGACCAGAATCATAGACTCAGATCCTAATGCAGCTGAAGCTGACACCTGTCAGCAGCACCAGGCCTGTGCCTCGTCTCCCGGTGACCTGTACAGACACCGCCCTTTTTGCTCTCAATGGTATTCTGATTTCACTGATTAATTTCGTGGTCTTTCTGGTATTATGCGTCAGAGGCCTAATTTTTGTCTACATGGTATTTCTTTTTGGCATTTGCCATGGTTGGTCCCTCTCTTCTTTCTTCCCTTCCATGACCTCAGGTCTTGACTTTTTGGCTTTCTTGACTGGCTCTGACTGTCCATTCTTTGCCAGTGTCTCCTGGAGCTCCTTTGCTCAGCTTGGTTCTCAGCCTCCCACGCAGCACCCAGGTGACTTCAACCCTCAGGTGTTTGGGACTACCACCTGTATTCTCATCATAGCCAGAAATTTCCAACCCAGCCTAGCCTTCCCCTGGCCTGAAGCATGTTGCCAGTAATAACTGACAGGACTCTAACTCTCAGCTCGATGTGAAAACAAGAGATGCTTTCATGAGCCAATGACTGGAATCCTGACACTTTCTGTCTTTAAAAAAATCAACTAGATTATTTTCATCAACTTTATAACTATGTTTAAAATGTTTGTTTTGTTTTAGAATGACAAGATATGAGGGCCTGCTATTTGCAAGCATATATTTGCAAATAACATATTTTGCTTGTGAACAGTTATGATTCCTAAAAACTGAAAAAATTAAATTGGAGGGTGGGAAGGGGCAGAAGGGGTGAGCAGGCAGTGTTCAGGCTGTAGGGCCACCAAGCCAGAGTCAGCCAGCGAGAGGCTCCCTGGCTGGCAGGAATGGGCCTGGAGGGGACCCTTTTGTGGAGTCACCCTTGGCTGGCCTGGATGCAGTGGGGGCAGTGCTGCCAGCCACGCTCCTTGACAGGAAATCTGAGTGGTGAGTGCTCATGGCCACCTCGTTGTTTTTCCAAATAACACTGGCCGGTAGTATTTTTTTTTTTTGGGTGGGGGGGGGGTGGGGGAGTTGTTCGTCATGATCTCACTGTCAGCTGGTGTGATATATAATTGCACACAGAACTAGGCAGATTCAAATATCTGGTAATTGCCCAGAAAGTTCATGTTGTTTGCATTTGGAGGAACTGAGTATCAGGTAGTATGTTGGGTGGCTAAGAGCTGAAGCCAGAGATTGGCATCATGGAGCTAGGATGAATCACTTGATGTCAAACAGCGCAGCCTCCTGCTCTGGCAGGGTTTCACTAACATAGCCTGGGATCATACTTATTTGTCCGGTTCCTGAAGACATGTGGGTCACCGGCACTGTCTGCTCTGATAGGCCCACGCGTATTCAGCAGAACTTCTGCTCCCTGCTTTGGGAGTTCTAGAATCATAATCTAAATATTAGCAAGGACATTGGAGCCCCTGATTTGAGTCCTCTTTGCAGCATCTCCAAAAAGTGGTCGTTCAGGTTTTTTTAATAGGAGTCTCAATGCTAAGGCATCGCGTTTCAGTTTCTGAATCAGTGTGATTAAGGCAAAGTTTTCTTCCTATAACTTCCCTCTGCTGTTCCCCATTTTGCCTTCTAGAGCCATGCAGAATGAACCTGTTCTCCCTTCCACATGATAGTCCTTTAAGTATTCGTAAACTGAAGCCATTCTTTATGCATTTTAAGTCCCCAGTTATTTTTGTTTCTTTTCTCTATATTCATGGCTATTTGTCAATGTTTCTGTTAAAACTTGGAGCTCAAGCTTCAACATGACACCCTAAGTATAGTCTGAGCAGCTTATCATCATATTATTACCGTTCTTTGCCTGAACTCTGTACTTGTATTGATGTAGCCACATCAGTGTATTGATCCTACCAGTGGCTAGAACTTGGAAGTCATTTTCTGTCATACTTTGGGCAATTTTTTACTACCGACTGCAGGACTTTACATTTATTTGCATTAAATTTAATTTTGCTGTATGTATAATGTGGTTCAAATATTTTAGTCATACAAGATTATTTTGTATATTCATAGATATTAGTTACATTACATACCAATTTCAGGTGATATGAACTGAACTATAATGCATTAAACTTAAAATAATAGTAATTATTATTACCATATAATATATTACTGTTAATATATTGAGCCCTTCCTGTGTGTCAAGCACAATGCTAAGTATTGTACATAGGCTGTCTCATTTACTCTTTAAGAAAATAAGTATTATGTTACATATTTTATTGATTAAGAAAACAAGATTTAATAAATTTAAGTGACTGTCTAGAATTATGAAAAGTCTAAAATTTTATCCAGCTTGCAAATATTCTGCCACAGTTTATGGATACTGGCAGAAGACATGAGATTCCTGGGTCAGAGATAAAGGACTTTATTAATCACAGCAACAGCTGTAGCCAAAGGGTCAGCATCTGACCCAGTTTCCTGAGTCCAAACTCCCACAGGCTGACATGAAGAGGCCAGTGACATCTGTACACACAGTGGGTTGTAGTATAGGCAATGAACGCAGAATTCAGGGAGCCCAAATCTTTTATTACAAGGAGTAAGCTTGCCTGTTCTCTGTCCAAGAGGAGTACTTATTTTTATTATAATGAACAACGGATCAGTTTGCCCTTTGCTCTGAAAGAAGACACCCTCTTTCTCTTCCAAGGCTGATTTCTCTAGAAACATCCACGAAAAGATAATCTACAGTAAAGGTAGTCAGTGCCTCAGCTCACAAAAAGCACCAAAACACAGAGATCTATGGAGATTTCTCTTTCTATAGTAACTTCCAGGTGTCCTGAGGAATCAAACCCAAGCATGCTGACACCAGAGCTCATGCTCTTTCTCTTACCTGGAGGATGTTTTAAAGAGTAGTCAATCCTTCCTTTTTAGATTTGTCTTCTTTTTAAAGCAATACTTATTACGGCCTATTATATGCCAAGCACTGAAGATGCCGTGGCAAATAATAGAGCCCTGCACTCAAGGAGCTCTCGGTGTAGCAGGAAAGATGAGCACACGTATGGATAATTAAGATTCAGTGTGATAGGCTGGAAGTATGTACGACAGGCTGTGTGGGTGTCTACCTAATGTCTCTAAAACCCAAAGTAACTTTCAAATTAAATAAATATATAATTAAGACATATGTAAGTATCCAGTTGCTTATGGACCCATGTTAATGCTGTCACTTAGGACCTAGGTTTTTCTGTTAGGTTTACCCAGAAACTCTTTAATAGATGGTAAATGTGACAAACTACAAAAGCACCCGAGTGCATTCTTCCTGTGCTCACTTACGGAACCTAAAAATTCTACTAGTAGTCATGCAACTGATTATCACAGTGGGTATTTATTCTTCTAATTATAGTACTAAGTGAAATAGATCATTGCCTTTCTCTCCCATTCCCTGACTGTCTCTAAGAGCTCAGGACTGTCAGCAGTGGGATTTCGTTTCCCATCACAGTCACTCTTCATGAAGCAGAGTGATAGCAACAGAACCACATGAGCAGTGAAAGAAACATATTCAGGGTTCTAGAGAAGAGAGAATTGATATGCAATGGAATCTCTGAACCTTGGAGGTTTTAAAACTGTTCCAGTTCTTAGATATCCTACCCTTTAAAAACTTTAACAGCTCTTAAAGAATTAACAAGTGTTGCTCAAACATTGTGTGTCGGGACTTATTCCAGCCATGCTGCTGCTAGTCTGGGGGTCGGTCATCAGGTAAGGAGCTATGTGAGACATGTCCGAGGGGCTTTTCTCCAGGGAACTCCCTAAAAAGCAGAGACCACCACATGTCATCAGAACTCAGGCACTCTCATAAGTGAAGGCCAGGTTCATTTGACACACAGCCAGCTGCCCATTTGACATAGTCCTGAACATAGTTTAGAAAGGCCCGCCTACTTAACTCATGTCTGTCCTCCACCCAGAATGCCATAGATTCGCACTCAGGAGAGGCTCTGGGGAAGACCTTTGGATAAGGAACGTGATGAGGAGAATGGAAATGGAAGGCTACCCTTGTCAAACACCGCTAGCAGTGCTTGCATACGTGTGCATGTCCACGAAGGCGTGTGCTTGGGTGTGCTTAATTTTATGTATGCATGTGTATGTATATATTTCAAGAAAACATGGAAATGTTACATTTGATTAAGCATATAAAGTGTTTAAATTTTAGAAAATGGTATTAATAATTAGCCTATTATGCCCCATTGTATAATTACATTACCTCGCTGTTATCTGCCACAGGAGTCGCGCGCTTATGCTAGATTGCCTTTGCCCCTTCAGAATATTACGATGAGCCATTTTTTGAACCACAGCAAAAAAAACAACAACAAAGAGTGGGACAGAATGCCACTGCTCTCCCTCCATGAAGGAGCTCAGGGAGCCCGTCTTCCGGTCCTCCCATGTCCCTTGAAGATCCTCCACCAGTGTCAGGCCTGTAGCTTTATTTTTGGGACTGGGAAGTTCCGGCAGAAGAAGTGGCCCTTAGACATTCCACCCGAAAGCATTCCAAGTCCTGCCTTTCTAACCCCTGTTGAAGATTATGTTAAGTGGGCAACTGGTTGTGTGCCAAGTGGACTCAGGCGTCAGCCGCCTGATAGAGCTCGTTTCTTAGGTACCTGAGTTTGGATTACACATAATGAATTCAGTTTTCCACTTGTTCACGTCACCATTCCCACACAAAGTGCCTTCTGGGGGTGCCTGTGCGGCACCCGGTACACAGCTTTGCTACTGCTTTCCTGCACGTGCACCCGGGTGGAAGGACACATGTGCGTGGATGTCACTCCCTGATCAGCGTTCGGACCCATACCGCATGCTTGTTGCTATGTGTGCCTGCCAGCCAGCTCCTTTCAAACAGGCTTTTAGTGAAAAGGCGAAATAGTGTTGCCTGTTTAACAAAGCCTTTAATTTCCCTGATAAACTGCTAATAATTTTTTTAAAAGATAGTTTTCCTGTTTACGCCCTCTTGGAACACAGTGGAATCGTGTGGTCCTGTAATTGGCCCCAGCCCCATGACACATGATTACCTTATTGGACTTACTACCCTATTTTAAAAATCTACTGTGGAAATTTTCTGGAGGACTTCAGTGTGCCGTGCATAGCTGCTGAGATAGAATGACGCACTGTTCCCTCTAGACACAGTGAGGCCTTAGTGCCGGCCGCACCCAGGTCCCGCCTCACCCCGTCCTGTGCATTTCAGATGTGCACAGTGCACCAGGTGGACAGGACCCCGTCAGGTCTGGGCTCAATATTCATTTGGATTGTGCTTTCTAAAAGGATCTCCCTCTGAACTTCCCTTGCTTCTCAGAAAAGCTAGGTCAGGTGTGTGGAGGGAAACCACGGATACTGCCTCACCAAGCTGCCTGACTGTGGGTTCCAACAGCTGCCACTTCACTCAGGGTTTCCATTTGAAAGTTAGTTTCTATTCATTCTGCTCATTCCAGAGTCAGGGTTCATGCCTCATAGTTTGTCTTTTGTTTGATTTTTGTTAAGCTTTATTATCCCAGGGGTATGTTATTCTGTAGAGCCCAAGCCACAGATACTCTGCAACTTTCAAGAGGAATTTAACTTAGATATTTAGGAAAATGTTGAAAATGAAGATAGTAGTTTCTACTGGTTAGGAAGAAAATGCGTTATCGTTTTCTACCTTGACAATGTCAGCGTCCAGTCCGCCCACTCGGTCCTGCCGTGTGTAGAAAAGGCTGAGGCTGGGTGTGGCCTGGCACAGAGGCTCTCCCAAGTCCATCCAGGTAGATCCAAGGAAGGACTGAGGGCCATCGTCCCCTCACCTTCATGGCCCTGTGTCCTCCCCTTGACTTGCTCCGCGGTGACAGCTCCTGAGGCTTTGCTTCCCCCGCACCTGGCAGCCTTGCCCAGCCAGTGGTGGCCTCCTGCACCCTTTCTCCTGCTTTCATTTCCTGGACTCAGGGATTTCTGCGGGTTTGGATCTCCTGCCTCAAAGAGCCCGGGCCTTCCCGAGTTGCTATCCACAGGGTGCTGGAGGTCTCCTGGCACACACCAACTCCGTTGGAAAGAGCAGCCATGTGCCCAGCACATATGATTCATTTTAAGGCATAGAGAAGAAATCCGCATTGTTTCAAGTGTACACAAGCAGCTGCTATCGTTTGGCTATGAGCAGATGTTAGACCTCCGAAAGCTTTGCTGATCATTAAAATACTAACAGTTAGTGTTTTACCCCAGCCGTCGGTTCTGTTTACTGTAAATTTGATTTTAATGATGCCTCTGTGCGGTTACTGAGAAGCAGTTTGCTTTCTACCTTCATATGAAAGTGTCTACAATGAAGACAAATGTCTGTTTCCTCTCATTTCCTTGGGAACAATATGAAGATACTATAATATAAAGGAAATATAAACATGACTACAAAAGTGAATGTGGGTTTTTTTATAGGGTTTTGCCAGAAAAAGAAAAAGGAAAAAGTTGAATCTGTCTTGTTAGCCTTTTAAAGTAGCCTTGTTAGATGCATGCCCTCCAGGAGGACCGGCTGGGCTTATTTGCATAATTTTACCTTTTAAGGTATGTATAATGTGTACAACTTTTGAAAAATAGGCCTTGTCTCCTGATACTGTTTATCTGCATTGGGAGTTCATAGACTATCAGAGGACATTTAGGAAAAGGTGGTTGGGATTCCTAATTTCCTGATTCCATAAGAATGCCTATTCCAGTTTGTTACGTCTTTAAGTCAAACAGAGGCAGCCTTACAGTAAGCAGGGGGGCGCTATTTGTCTGGTAGAGTTTGAAGGTCTTCTGGAAGCCTCACTCCTGAGGGACTGACATTCCACAGCTCTTTTCCAAGCATGGGCTCCCCCCCATACAAAGCCTGAAGGGCACTGTTACGTGTTCTCAGCCATTGTCACTAATGCTCACACACGTGTCGGCACACAGGAGCAGAAGGCTTGCACTGGAAGGAGAGGCCAGGGTGTCTCCAAGAGGGACACCCCCCTTCCCATTGGCCAGGGCTCTGACCTCAACACCCGGAAATGTGTGCAGAGTGAGAGACGCACCCTATGTTGATACTGCATGGGTTCCCCTCCACCACTCCTCCCCGTGCTTTATTTCAAATAGGACTGAAGACTTTTGAGCACTTTCTGCTGGCACATCAACTGGCTGTTCTGAAGAAGTACTATTCATGGGTAAATGACTAGATCAGAGCCCTTCCCAGCCTAATTTTAAAGTGCCATCTCATCGCCCTCCATGAAACTCAATGACACTGTTTCTGTCACCTGAGTTCGATTTCCAAAGGTACATGGTTGTGCACCACGATCTCTCTGTGTAGCTCACAGGCCTCTGCCCAGCAGAGAAACAGTTAACCTCTGCCCTTCCTCTCCACCCCACAAAGCCCGTCAAGATAACCTTAAAGCACGCATTCTCATCTTCCTGAGTGAGATTTGTGTGCATCACCTCTATTACTGTTAGATCTTCATGCATGAAAATGATAATATAGACCTAAGGGTCTGGTATAATACAACATTTCTTAGGGTTTGTGACTTTAAAGGTAAAATATTGTCTTTTGTTCTTTGTCACTCTTCAGTGGCCATGGAAATATCTAGGCCCATGGAGACTATTCTTGGTAAAGTTAGAAACCTGCATGATTATGTATTTCCAACTCGAGATAAAATTTAGTCTTCATTTTTTGTGAATTTCCAGAATTCTTTTCAGGGGTTTTATATGATCATCTTCAGTTGCTGCCAGTGTTAAATGTCGCACCCATGGCAATTAAGAAAAAGGGACTAAAACTTTTGGTACCTAAATTTTTGCCCTGGTTTATTGTAAATGTTCCTTCACTAAAAATTGCATGGTATATCCAAAGAAATTGTGTATTTGAATGTATGTGAAAGAATTTTTCGGAAATGGTGTGAATCTCAGCTAATTTTTACAGAAAAGCAATTTCCCCATCTCTTCTTATAAAACAGCAGCGTCATGAAATGCGGGGCATGGCGAAGACTTTATATACTGTCCTCCTTCAACATATTTTTATATGTTTATATGTGGTATACAGCAGATAGTTACCAAAACTCCTTTTAATTATTATGCTATGATATGTCTAACTTGTCCTTAGGCCAGCTCCTGTCAGCTGACCAAAACTGATCTGTACTCTGAGATAAATCTCACTAGTTTAGCTACCATGTTTAACATGCATGTCAAAGGCTAAAAATAATTCTTAATCTTGTATTTCAAGTAACCTTTCTGTTTCTGTTTTGTGTGTGAATTTTAGTAACGCTGACCAGAATGTGTTTCTAACCATTGAAAATAATGGAGAAACATGAGGTACTGACCAACCAACCTGTGTTCTTAAAAACTTTTTTAAAAAAGGAGAAATTGCCATTTGGTTACTGGAATATAAAACTAAGAGGTTACTCTGTCCCATGTTATACCAGATTCATACTCTTTCTTTGATCCTAGCGAAGTCCCTAAACCACTTGATTGGAGTTTTCCCTTCAGGAACTTGAGGAAGTTCACATTGTTTAGTACAAGAAGTAGCTCAAAGGCAGGGAGTCCCCCGTAATATGTACCAGTGTTAACATAGAAAGCATCACTTCTTCAAAACCAGAGTCCAGTGGGAGCTCTGTAACAGGACATCTTGCATAATGCCAGGGAATTATTATTGTCTATAAGATGAATAAATTCTGGAGCAATTATTGAGATCAGTTTGACTGGCCAAACTATCGGTGACTGCTATTGTAAGAATAATGTATTCCCTGCTTTGAAATTTCTAAAAGGTTATATTTCATTGAATTTTAATTTGTCATTTTTCCTGCTTTCACTTGAGAAACTTATAAGCTTTTGTGACATTAAAATATGGCTCTAATTTATTAGCATAATCTGTTAATATTGTTTCATTTTAATAGACATTAAGTATGATTTCTTAACATTCTTGTTAAAATTACATCTTAAAATTGAAGCCAAGAAAAATTATATGTGGCTTAAGAATTGCAATGTCATGTGTGTCCCAAATTTTTATGTGAAAATTTTTTTAATCGCATCGTATTCAAGGTGCTTTCATTACGACAAGGAACCATCCCAGCATTCTCAAGCTTACTGGGCCTACGAAAATATAAAATCTAAAGTACATCCAGTGTCTGAGATGTAACCTAGCAATGTATCAACATTTAGTACCATTTCAGGAGAAGCTTAGAAATTTAAAATAAATGCCAACTCACAGCAACAGAGTGGTTTACATAGGATATTAGCACAGGCTTTTGTAGGCATTAGGCATCTCACCCCACGACACGTCTTTTTAATGCCATCTTTATCTGCTACGTGATGCATGAAATCTACTTTCGGTTTTAGAACTGCTAACAACCTTTGACCCCTTTAGTGGAGACACAATGTGACCTTTCTATTGTCATCAGCTTTCATTCTCCTGAAAATTCTATGAATTTTTATTACAAGTTTTTTTTTAAACCAAGCTGAGGCTTCCACAAATTACTTGCCACAGATGAGATGAAGTTGTTGAAGTGGTGTTAGATAAGTTTTACAGCCAGCACGTGTGCGGCCGAGGAGCCCAAGCCTGTGTCCTACAGTGTCATACACCAGTAACTGCTGAGCCTACTATTGGATAAATACATCATTTTAGGGAACATTGATTGTTCTATAAACCCAATGGAGTATTATGCTCTATGATCAAACCATTTAGATTGTGTGTAGAGCACAGAAAATGCCATATTCAGGATGGTACTAAAAGTGCCATTCGTGTATTTTATGGATGTCATTACAGGGGAAACTTCTCTCTGTAGGCCCTGTTTACTGCAAAATTTTTTAGTCTGTAATGACATTTTTCATTCACAACGTATGCCTTCAAGAGAGGGGGCCCTTGTTTTATTTTTTTCATTCGGGTTTACTGCACAAATTCTGTACATTTTAATTAAATGTAAGCTTAACAAAAGCGTAAGGTATTTATTCTGTGGGAACAAATGATGACAGTAAGGAAGGAGCAGCACACACACAGAGGAAGGAGTCAGGTACGCAGCCCTGTGCTGCTTCCCAGAAGCACACCAGCCAGCAGAACTGAGCCCCTAGCACAGTTTTGGGGAGCAAAGTCTCTGCAGCTTAACCCCTCCACCCCCGCATAATGGAGCTTGTGTTTTTCCACGCTGGAGATGTTGGCTTCAAGCACGCAGAAGGAGCTGCAGCATCATAATGGCATCCCAGAGCAGCGAGCCGAACTCAAAATCCTCTCCCCAAAAGCAAATCCTCAGACACCCCAGTAACTACCTTTTTATTCCATCCAAGCTGTGAACTTTCAATGCATTCGGCTCTGAGAAGGGAGTAAAATATCTTTGTGCTCACGAACGCAAACGGGCAGAAAGTGAGGACTTTGTAGATGGGCACGAGGCTGCATTTTAATGTCACTGTGCCTTCTACGCAAAGCTGCTTATTGCCCTGTTGAAAACAGACCCAAAAAAGAATGATTTTAGGCACACTGTTTGGTTAACTACTGTTACTGTATTGAAATCTGACACTGTCTTTTTTAAAGGTACCGTAATACAAATACTACATTGAGCATCCATGCCCCATTAAGGCTTTGTGCGATTTTGGACACATAACAGTGACTAAGCAGTGAAGGATGCAACCTGTACCACGTGCCTGTTTCCCAAACGCTGTATCCATTTGGCCATTTGCATTTGGTGAGCTTTACAGTTCATATTTACTAGAAAGAGCTCAAAACTGGAGGTCGATGTACCCAGTACATTCTTGGTCATAGCCCAGTTAGGGTTTAAAGTTATAGAAGAGATTCACATTCGTTTAAATGACACTTGAACTTCTACATAGCTCAACATTAATTCATCATGGTTGAAATGGAAGAATCTTCAGTGGGTGAATCTTTTTCAATCTGATTGAGGCTGTTACATTTTATAGGTGCTATTTTTCAAAGCAGTACTGACAGCACTCGAAGTTATTAAATTGCTGAATCAAAAGATGGACCCGCGCTCGCATTTATGAACTGTGATGGACTCGCTGGGCCTGTGCGTGTGCGGAGGTGAGGACATTGGTGTTGCTAGGCTTCGTCACACCCCACACCGACAGCAGTATTTACCCATTTAGTTTACATTAATGGTCTGGAAGTGGCTTAACCCACCTCTGGATTAAAATACATTCAGTAAGTAGTTCAGAATAGCATAATTATCAGTGCTGCAAGGGATCCAAAGGATAATTCTATACCCAAGAGATTTCCTGTCCAGTTACAAAGTAAAGAACAATTGCTTGGACTCAAGCATGCACCATTTCTTCCTGAGACTACTGAAGAAGAGGATGTTTGTTCTTTCCTTCCCAACTACAGTAGTTTCTCCTCTCTCTTAATGTACTGGCAGTATGTCCTTTTCTGTAATTAAAATTAATGGGGGAGGGGAATGACCAGAAGGCTGCCTTCTTTGTTTTTGTGTCCTTATTTCCGTTTTTTTCAAATTCTGAATTAGACTAAAAATGACATTAAAATTAGAGAACGGACAGAAACAAATCAAGGTTGACATGTGAAGATGGCGCTGGGTAGAAAAGTAGGGTTGGGGAGAAATTGCAAGCATACCAGAGAAAGAATGTGTCAAATACAGGAGACAAAGATCTAGAGGTCCTAGCAGATGGCAAACTGACCGGGGATCAGCCACACGGGCCCGGCTTATGCTCAGGCGGAAAGGAAGCATGAATACAGGAGCTGTGGGCGCCACCCTCTTGAGGCTTCTGACCTCTCCGAGGAGAGAATATAGGAGGATCAAAGTTTACAAGACAACCATGAGACAGGCAGCGATTCGGCCCCTGCCCGTGGGACCTGCACGCCCACCCTCATTTCAGCTCAGCTTTTAAACTCTGATCTTCCCTCGGTCAAGGCACCAGGCGGGGATGGACGCGGGTTGTTTCTTCTGCAAATTGGGAGGAGGGAGAAAGGCAGGTAGTCAGGAGCTCTGTCCCCAGACACGTGCCCAGGCAGACCCTTTCCAACCCTCAAAACTCCTTTGGAAAGTCTCCAGGCATTCACACGGCATGAGTACCACAGCTTGAATACCTGTAACTGCTAGCACCAAACCTCAGGAAGAGGAAGTCGTGTTCCGGAAGTGCCTGCTACCCGAAGCACACGTTGGGGCCAGCCGGCAGCCCCGTTTAATGCTACCCAGTTGTTCTCTGTCCTTGGTCGGGTGTAACCATGAGAAAACAGGGTGCGCTATAATTAGGGAATTTGTTAAGCTAGACTTACGAACATTTTGGTCCCTCTTCCGGGAAGGGTGAGTTGCCCTTGAAGACGCAGTGCTTTCCTCTGCCTGGTGCGTGAGGGCCAGGCCAGGCCTGGCTCCCCCCTGCGGTTCACTAGCCCGGCGGCATCTGCTCATGCGAGGTTTCCGTGGACGCAGAGCGAGTACACAGGAGTATCTCCTGGTAGTGGAGCTAGTCCTGGCTGGCCCTGCAGCTCTTTTCTTTTTTTTCTTTTTTTCTTTTTTTTTTTTTTTTGCGACGGAGTCTCGCTCTGTCGCCCAGGCTGGAGTGCGATGGCGCGGTCTCGGCTCACTGCGAGCTCCGCCTCCCGGGTTCCCGCCATTCTCCTGCCTCAGCCTCCCGAGTAGCTGGGATTACAGGCACCCGCCACCGCGCCCGGCTAATTTTTTGTATTTTTAGTAGAGACGGGGTTTCACCGTGTTAGCCAGGATGGTCTCGATCTCCTGACCTCGTGATCCGTCCGCCTCGGCCTCCCAAAGTGCTGGGATGACAGGCGTCGGCCACCGCGCCCGGCCGCAGCTCTTTTCTTGACAAAATTCCATACCCTTTCTAAGATTCACACTTTACAGAGTTGCCTGAGAAAGAAGATATATTAATTAGTACTTATCAGTTAATTAATACTTTCAAATCCAGGACCGTGTTCCTCCAGCCTGAGTAAGAGCTGGGCCATGTCCCCTTGGTAAACGTGATTTAACAATTTCTGCTGATCCTGCCTGAGATGCACCCACTGGAAGACAGGCCCTGTCTGGGGTCTGTGCTCAGAATTAACTCGGTATTGAAAGAAATGCTTTCTTGCAGAACACCACCAACACGATAAGCAAAATGGTTGACTCTGTTTTTAAGAGATCCTAGCAATAAATAATCTTGAACAGTTCTTGATCCTTTTTTCCCTTTTGTTAAGGTTAAAAGACGCTGTTAAGAAACTGACCCCCTCAAGGAGATTAAAGCAGAATATCTCAAAAATGTGGTTGCTGTTGAACTATGGAAATGTTTGCTGTGGGTCACCTATCGATCATTCTCTTATTTAGGAGGGATGGAGTCGATTAGAAAACCGATGGAAAATTGGGATTTAAAGAAGAAAACAGGAAGTCTGTTTAAAGAGCCCATTTCTTTTTTATGAAAATAAAGTTTATCATTTCCAGCCCTGTTTTATCCAGCAAGGCAGGGAGCAGCAGGCGTTGCCCTGAGTCGCCAGTGACATTGAGGAGGGTGTGATGTGCGCCTGGCCGTGTGCCCTCGTGCAGCGCCTCCCATCCCCGCCGTACTTGTGCCCCGCCAGAGTTTTCTTTGTACAGGATAGATGACAGCCGAAGCCCCTGGCCCGAGAGCTCTGCGATGGGCTCAGCGCTCCTGCAGCAGCCCAGGCCTTTCAGAATCCCACTGCCCACCCAAGCCCTGTGCTCTGCCTGCCTGTCCTGGGTATCCCGTTGACAAAGGGCAGACAGTGAAGGGCACAAGATGGCTCCAGACCAGGGGATGCACCCAGCTCCGGCTCTCCCCTCCTCACTCTCGTCCTGCTCACCCCCTCTTTTCTCTCCTGGTCTCCCCTTATTGCCTCTGCCCGGGCACCACGGGGCTTATGGTATCTTCTACACACGTTGTTTTCACTAAGGCATTTGGGGCTGGCACTTCAGATCGTAAATTTCTTACCCTCTGTTACAGTCCTGTAGTTTTCCTGCTAAAAACATTCAGCACGCTCCTCCTCTCTGCAGCCCATAGCCCAGGTACCTTAGTGCAGGGTGGAGGAAGCCTTGGGCAACCTGCTCTGTGATGAGCAACCTATTCTCCTAACAGCCCGAGCCTTCCACCGCCCTGAGGCCTTGAAGCACCTTGGGGATGGCCTTCCTGCCTCTGCCTGGGCCCTCGCTGCTTCTGTCTGGAACTTCTCCTCCCAGTCCACGAGAGATGGCTTGAATCTTGTCCTGAAGACAGGGCTACAATGTTGTTTCGTTTTTACATCTTTCCCTGAATATTCTTTCCTGAATGTATGGCTTCTTTGTCTCTGTGTCTTGTCACCTTATGTTGTATCCAAGACGTTCGGCAAACACATCTTTGTTGATTACTTATTCAATCCAAGGCACTGTCCGGAAGATGGGACAGAGAAGAGGAAGGCTGAGTCTGTCCCCTCGAAGCCCGCTGCCCAGTTCTGCAGTATAGACTCCCCTCTCAGCCCCTGAGTGGCCAGGACCCTGTGTCTGCATGTGCCCAGCACCCTGCAGAGTGCCCTGCATGCTGCCAGGACACGGCGACTCACATGGCCGCACAGGCTGCCTGCCCAGGTTCAGCACCTGAAACGTCGATGTTCAATAAATATTTGTTGCATTAAACTTTTACAGCGGTGTTTATTGATGACATTTTTTAAAATTTAATATGCAAGGCTTTCATTCTTTTTGCTGAATAAACAAATATACCATATATAATATTTGGTCATTAAAAAAAGATTTTCCGTTGGGTTAGGAGATACTACTGCTGGCTGTTTGCTGAACTTTACTTAGCACCCGTGACGGAACGCATTGTTACAAAAGACATGATGGTGGTTGGGGGGAGGTATCCAGCCTCCTTCCCTGGGCATTGGAGAGGCGCACACCCCTGCAAAGAGTTGTATTGGACAGCTCACAGGGCTGTGGGGAAATGCACACCCAGTATTAACTGTGTGTGCCCTTGAGCCTAGAGCCTGCCTGCAGATGCCCACGGAGGCCTCTGGCCCTGCTGAAGCTTGCACTGTAGAGAGCTCTTCAGGGTTTGGAATAGGGGGTCGTGGTGACTCTGCTGAGGCCTGAGCGCTTCTGCAGAAGAAGTGTCTTACTTGTAAGCCTACGAGTACTTTTTCCAGGCTCTAACTGGTCCCTGTCTCCCTTAGGCATTGTTTCCAAGTCGTACGAGTGCCGTCTAAAGGGACAAGGAGCCACCTTCGTGGAGACAGACAGCCCCTTCACCGCGGCGGCCTTGGCAGAAGAGCCCCTCGTCAAGGAGAAGCCCCTCAGAAGCAGCAGGAGGCCAGCGCCGCCCCCTGAGCAGGTGCAGCAGGTCATCATCTTCCAGGGCTACGACGGGGAGTTTGCCCTGGACCCCTCGGTGGAGGAGACGGCCGCCGCCACGCTGCAGACGCTGGCCATGGCCGGCCAGGTGGCCCGGGTGGTGCATATCACGGAGGATGGCCAGGTCATCGCCACGAGTCAGAGCGGGGCACATGTAGGCAGCGTGGTGCCCGGACCCATCCTCCCCGAGCAGCTGGCTGATGGAGCCACCCAGGTGGTCGTCGTGGGGGGCTCCATGGAAGGCCACGGCATGGATGAGTCCCTCAGTCCAGGTGGCGCTGTGATACAACAGGTGACCAAGCAGGAGATTTTAAACCTCTCGGAGGCTGGAGTCGCTCCCCCCGAGGCATCCTCAGCCCTGGATGCATTGCTCTGTGCGGTCACTGAATTAGGGGAGGTGGAGGGCAGGGCTGGGCTCGAGGAGCAAGGCAGGCCCGGCGCCAAAGACGTGCTGATCCAGCTGCCCGGGCAGGAGGTCTCCCATGTGGCTGCCGACCCCGAGGCCCCCGAGATCCAGATGTTCCCACAGGCCCAGGAGAGCCCGGCCGCCGTGGAGGTGCTCACCCAGGTGGTCCATCCCTCAGCAGCCATGGCCTCTCAGGAGCGGGCACAGGTGGCCTTCAAGAAGATGGTCCAGGGCGTCCTCCAGTTTGCTGTGTGTGACACGGCCGCGGCCGGCCAGTTGGTCAAGGACGGTGTCACCCAGGTGGTGGTGAGCGAAGAGGGTGCCGTCCACATGGTCGCCGGGGAGGGTGCCCAGATCATCATGCAGGAGGCGCAGGGCGAGCACATGGATCTGGTGGAGTCCGACGGGGAGATCTCGCAGATCATCGTGACGGAGGAGCTGGTCCAGGCCATGGTGCAGGAGTCCAGTGGCGGCTTCTCCGAGGGCACCACGCACTACATCCTGACAGAGCTGCCCCCAGGGGTGCAGGACGAGCCGGGCCTGTACTCCCACACCGTGCTGGAGACTGCGGACTCGCAGGAACTCCTGCAGGCCGGGGCCACGCTAGGCACAGAGGCCGGGGCCCCAAGCAGGGCAGAGCAGCTGGCCAGCGTGGTCATCTACACCCAGGAGGGCTCCTCGGCCGCGGCGGCAATTCAGAGCCAAAGAGAAAGCAGCGAACTCCAGGAAGCATGAGACGCGCGGCACCTTTACTCAGCACAGGGCAGGTGTGGGAAGGTCCAGCTTCGGTGGGGGACCGTGTTCCCTGAGCTTCATCTGAAACCTTCAAAACCATGAGGACAAGGCTCCCGTGAGCTCTGAGCATGCCCTCCCAGCGAGAGTCACACTGGCCACCAGCCAGGCGCCCACAGAGGGTACCGTGGGCTGGGCCTCGGGGAGCAGGCTGCCAAGTGCAGGGGAGGGCCGGGCGCAGGCCGCACAGGGAGCTCCGGTCCACTGGGGGCCCTTCGATCAGTGGCCTCCCGCTTCGTCCTGGCCGCTGTGCTGAAGAGAAGCCAAGTGTTGTTGGTGTTTTTCTCTCCCAAGTGTTTTCCCATTTCAGTTATCAGAAGGTCATGGCCGTGGGGAAAGTGGTGAAGATACCCCTCCTGGCTTGGGGTGCACCTGCTTGTGCAGTCAGCATGTAGCTGCCTTTCCATTTCATTCTCTACTGGGCTAAAAATTGCAGCTACAAGTGTTACCATCTTGAAGCAGTCCACTTCCATTCAATTTTTTTTTTTTAATTTTAGAATAACAGTGTCCCCATACCAAAGGAAGCCTGCTAGCTCATTTCATGTATAAATTTCCCATCTTCAAACAGTTTAGGTGTATTTGTTGCTCTGGTCACATTCTGCATAAAAGAAATCCTCTTAAGCCTATGGTTAAGAAAAGCCTTGAAGTTTATATTCAGTTAAAATATATGTCGGTGGAGATAGCCAGTGCTTCTAATTTTGACTTAGTTTCATACAGTAAAGCCTAAATGTGAAACGCACACGCTGGAAGATATTGTTCCTATCAATATTTTGCTTTTTATAACAAGGGTTTGTTCATATTGATGCCATTTTTGCAGGATTTCTTCGTGATTTCTGTCCATATGAAAATGCTGACATTAAACATTAACACATGGAGACCGTGCCCTGTGGCCCTGCCGTGGCTGCCAGCATGGTCTGTGTTTCCTTGTGGATTCACCTGTGGCCCTGCTGTGGCCACCAGCATGGTCTGTGTCCTCGTGGATTCACTGCAGCTGTCGGATGCGAGTTTCTGTCATAATCATTTGTTTCCTGATACAATTGTTCTTATTCTTTTCCAAAACTGTAAAATAATCTCCTCCCTCAAATGCAAAGGTTGTTTTTGTTCTGTTTCTGTTTTCTTTGAAATAAAATTATAACGTTAAAAGATCACGATGGCATGTTATTTTCAGCAGCCAGTGGTGGGCAGCTGTGGCAACCGAGGGGGCACCCCGGCGCTTGTGGCTGCTGGCTTCTCCCTCCTTCGTGGCCTCCAGACGCGGAGCACTGCTGCACATCCCCTGCAGCCCGATACTGTTTCTCAGCATCTGGCAAATGGCCCAGATGCATTCTGGTGACAATAACGTATTCTATCATGGATAGCATCTAGAAATCGTGAAGAGCAGGCATGAGAGGAAAGGAGAGTGGTACCTTCTTTGTTTAAATACAAGTGCCGTTTAAAATCTCTTCCTGAGAGAGCATGGAGACCAGCTCACGCTTTGACCAGTTCAGAAGCGGAACCGGCCTCTTCCTAGCGCCCTTCTCACTGCTGAGCTCTGTCCACCTAGGGCCACCTCCCTTTAGACAGCCACTCCTCCAAAAAAATAAGAACTGAAGGTAAATTTCAAGGCTGACACTGAGATCCATAATTAGCTGAGTATGACTTGCTCATGTTTCTTAACAATGGCAGGGCTATTCAGGGCTTCTTAAACACTGTCTTCAGCAAACAGTGACAGGATCAAGGTGACCTTTACAAAGTGATGGCCCTCGCCAGGCTTCTCATACATGTTAAAAAAAAAAAAAAAAAAAAAAAAAAAAAAGGTTGGCGGGGGGATGTTTTTCAGTGGAAAGATTTCTTCTTGATCACTCCTCCCGTTAGCAGTAGCCCACGGCCCTCGGCTCGGATGCTAATTCCTAACCGTGCGTAGTCCTGTATGGCTAACCTTTCTGCTGCAGTCCAGGGTGTTGACACTGACATGCTGCAGTGTACCGTCGGTGATTTATTTAGGATAAATATGTCTCAGGTGGCATTTAATCCTTCATAAAACCAGTGTAGCCTGCAGTGTCAAACCAGCAATCACGTTGTATGCGCAATGAAAAGAGCAGGCCTTTGCATAAAAAAAAATTGTACAGAAGGTGTTTCTAGGCCCAGAAGGATTGCGGAGGCTTCACTAAGCCATTGTATCCTGTAATTACCCATAGAGCTAGGTTAATGTTACCTCTCTTTTTCTCTCTCATTACACAACTATTGGAATGTAAGGGGGTTTAAGAAGTACATACACGAATGTGTGCCTTAGAATAATGAGGCATAGCAGGTTTTGTGAGCAAGGGACATTCATTGTGGCATGGATTGTCTATAAAAAAGACAAGCAAGCTGATAGCTTTCCTTGTGACTTTTGCCAGAGAATATGACAGAACTTCAAAGTTTTTTTTTTTTTAAGGCAAATGAAATATTTACTTGGAGACTAATCCAGAAAGGCCACTTTTGTATTAAGCTGCAGCCAATTAAACGACAGAGCCTCAAGGACGTCTGGCATGCAAGGAAGACCAGACCGCCTGAGGCAGCAGATAGTAATGGTTTAGACCTCAGCTTCCATGGCGGAAGTCGAGCAGTGCTCTCTGTATATGCTGGAGAGTTACAAAGCAAGACAGCAGTTTCCAGAAAAAGGAAGTTGTAGCCACTTGAGGTCACGTTCATGAAACAGAATCAAACCTGCGTCGTTCCGGGATGCCCCAGGCCTCACCAAGCAGTGGATGTGGAAGAAGCAGGGGAAGATGCTCTCCTAAAATATGTCCCATGCACCGCAGAACAAGCAGGCAAGCTCACGTCACCTGATACAGAGATCCTTTTCGCCACGTGGTTTGCTTTGAAGTACCAAGTGAATGTGCCCAGGTTCTATGAGTGCAGCGCTGGAAGCTCCACTGCCCTTTACAAGGTTCTATGAGCGCGGGGCTGGAAGCTCCACTGCCCTTTACAAGGTTCTATGAGCGCGGGGCTGGAAGCTCCACTGCCCTTTACAAGGTTCTATGAGCGCGGGGCTGGAAGCTCCACTGCCCTTTACAAGGTTCTATGAGCGCGGGGCTGGAAGCTCCACTGCCCTTTACAAGGTTCTATGAGTGTGGAGCTGGAAACTCCACTGCCCTTTACAAGCTTCTATGAGTGCAGGGCTGGAAACTCCACTGCCATTTATAAGCTCTGTTCAGAAATGGGACCGCAGAGTATCACAGAAAAACCAGAGCTGGACAGTAGTTGCACAGGTAAAACCCAGATTTTATTCAGGAAAATGTCAGTAGGGGAAAAAAGACCTGGGCACAGAACTGGGCTCGGTTCTGAATACAGGAGCAAGCGAAGGTTTACAGCCAAGAAGTTGTGGGGGCAGGCACTGGTGGATGGAAGATGACTAAAAGGACGCAGGGGGAAGGGGAGCGGGCACTGGTGGATGGAAGATGGCTAAAGGGACGCACTGGTGGTTGGAAGATGACTAAAAGGGCGCACAGGGAAGGGGAGCGGGCACTGGTGGATAGAAGATGGCTAAAAGTACGCACAGGGAAGGGGAGCAGGCACTGGTGGATGGAAGATGGCTAAAAGGACGCACGGGGAAGGGGATTATGCCCAAGCCCACAGGACTGGATTCTTGCTGAAGCGAGGCCAGGGCCGTCAGATTCCACCTGAGGCGGAGGGGGCGTGATAGGATAAGGAACCTGGTTAGATCTTATGAGTGAGCAGACATGGAGGGTTAAGGTTAGAGTTCTCGCCAGGATTTCTGGCTAAACCGATTTGGCAGGGTTCTTGCTGAAACTAGATTTTACAAGGAAGTGCACAGATGGGAAAGTTCAGTCAACCAAAGCTCTGTCAAAAGTCCTAGGAGGTGGACGGGGAGGAATCCCGGTCATCTCTACCCAAGTCCCGGTCTCTCTACCCTATTCTCTCGTGGGGCACAGCAAGGCCTCCGCAGGGCCAGGCAGCCCCAGCCCACCTCTGCTGTAAGAAGCAAGGGGCTGCTCCCCACATGGCATTTGTGTCTCGGTCCTACCGAACTTCTTTTTCCTGAACAAAAGATAAAATGATGGCATAAGGAAAGCATCCAAGAACCAGCTTGGATTTCTAACCCAGAGCTGGTTCTAGGAAGAGAATTAGGGAACAAGAAAGGTCATTCATTTAGCAAACTAAAAATCTGTAAGTTTTCACTTCTTTGGCTGTTTAATATTAGCCCATAATTTAAGAGAGCACACAGCTCACTTAAGCAACCTCCTCCTGTTCCATCTTGTTGAAGAATACAATTCGTTTTCTCCTCCTCTAGGGTGATATCATTTTACATGAAGAAAAAAGTTCTCTCGGATGGCAGTTATACGTTTCGGAAGCACCTTCTAATCAGGGATGGGTGATTCATTATTAGCTTCAGCAGGCGATCCATCTGACATGTAAGGGGAAAAAATTAGCAGCTGTCACGGCATGATGAGTTAATTTCCTGATGGGCCTGACACCGAAAAGCCATTTGGAGACATGGCAGAGGCTGACAAGAAAACCTGGCGCTGCTTTATAATTGGAGATAAAGAAAGGGCAGAGAAACAGGCCGAGGATGGCCCCCAGGTCTGCAGGCTGGGGGGTGCCTGTGAGCTCTGCGTGGTCGTGGCTATGGCCTGAGGCCGTGGCCCTGGCTGGCTGTGTCCAGGTCCGGGGTGGTCGCCACTGCTCCCTCTGGGATGAGAGTGGCCCGGGGCCTGGCATTCTCCCCAAGAGGCAGAGCGTGCCTGCTGGCCTCCTTTCCATGGTCACCTTGGCGATTTTCATAACTGGAGCTCAGGATTCCCATTGTGGGATGACTTTTCATCACTATGAGAAAGTAACCCATTAAGTAAATACCATGGAAACCCAGGCAGGCGGGAGTGGTGGGCCTGGGGCAGCAGGCGGGATTCAGTCTGGCTTCCCTCGCCCCCCGCCTTCAGCTGCACCTCCACAGGGCATCCATTGCAAACCCAACAAGATGAAAAAAACACTGTAAGAAATATCCTGAAGATGGAAATTAGAGAAATCAGCATTATGAAGCCAGCTTTGAAATACCAGGCTGGATGTGCTGGTCTTCACTGGGTGAAGGAGGTATCTGCTGAAGGCTTAGCATGTGGGCTTCTAGAATCCAGGCCCCACGTCTGGACCCTGAAACCCTCTGGTGAGAAAACAAAGAGGCCCAGCCCGTTACAGGCTGGGACACGTCGATGACTCTTGGCTTTCTTGGACTCTGGATCTGTAAAATCGACAAGGCAGAGGTGGGTCTTGAACCTCATGTTTGAGAAGTAAGCATGAGGGAAAGAACCTTCCACCCAAATGCCTACACCCTGCAGTCAGGACACAACTCTGCTTTTCTCTAGGCTGGACTCGAAGGATGCCCCCCTAAAGAGCTCACCAGCTGGAGACAGAAGACAGCCGTGGTCACAAAGCCCATTACCAGAATTAAATAAATCCGTTCTAAATCTCCCAGGCAAAGAATCATTTACTTCCTCCATGGCCCTGCATTTTCAATACCTTTTAATAAATTCTTTTAAAATGACCTAATTTCAACATGGCTTTCAACTTCATAAAAAGACAATTTATAACCAGGATAAACATGAACCTAGGACATGCCATTTCAGTCCTCTCCAGGATCTCACGTTACGCTTCAAATAACTTTTTAAGTGGAAGAATAAAAACCAACACAAAGTCAAGGTTTGTTTTTTAATTTCCACATTGAGCTCTGGTTTGAGCCTGAGCTTTCCAAGGCTGATCTGGGCTCCCTGCTTGTCCCGCCGGCGTCGGGCCCCTCCTGTGCAGGAAGCCGTCAGGGAGCCCCAGTTAGGAAGGGATCTCCCAGAGCAGGGCCACCTCTGTCCTCGCCTCCACTGCGCCACAGAGCCCCAGCAAATCTGCAGAGCTATCATGACTGATCTGTAAATAGGGCCATAACCCACGAATACAGTCTACCCCCAGTCTGGGCTCCCCTCTTTCACCTGTGCTCCTGCCGCAGTTGAAGGAGATAGAAGACGTTTTCATATCAGGATTGCAACATACGGCCCGTGGGAGAGGATGGTGATCCTAACCTATGCCTGGAAACGACGCTGCGAGTGACTTTTCTGGTAAGGGTCGGGACTCACAGTGATTGTCCAACGCGCAGTCTCTCACCCGTATTCAGAATGTCCTGGGAAACAGGCGGGGCTCTGGCTACGAGGCCACATATGTCCCACCTCCCCTGACCCCCCGCATGTCACAGGGCTCAGGTGCCTTTTCCTTTATCTCTAATTCCAGCTGTAAGCTCATGCCCCTGCACACAGCCTCTGCGTGTTCATCTTCAGGCCCTGAGCTTCTTGTGCAGCTAGGTAGGCGCTCAGCAAGTTACTTTAAATGGGTGGATAAATACATGGATTGTCAATTCGTCATCAGTTTTTCCTGTTTGCTTACTCACCTTCCTCTCTGTTGGTTTAGTCATAATGTTCTCAAATAACAAAAGCCTTTGGCAGGAATTGAATCAGATGAATGCACCGTGAACACACTGTCTTTTGGTCACGCTGGTTCAGAGCACGTCCCTCTACCTACTTCCACCTTTTTCAAAAACATTTCTTGATGAGCAGGGCCCTGAGACCAAACTTCACGGCAGACGCTGGATCTGAGTCACACTGTCTTGTCATGTGTGGTCAGGTGACCTGCAGCTTCCACCAGCAGGAAGAGATGCTGGGAGAGGATTTCCTCTTCACTCGCAGTCATCGTCATCTGAAGGGAAGCCTGCAAGTTCGTTCTGTTTCTAGTAAGATTTGTCTTTGCTTATGTCCTGGCTTCTTCCTCGCCCTGCAGACTTGGGCCAGTGCTGTTCACTGCACAGTTATTCTTTCCTCGACGTGCCGTGCAGAGAAGGCTGGTGTTTTGGGTAGTCTTGAACAATGGGGACTTCCTCTTCTCTAGAGAGAGCTCTTTGACTATAGGCAGGAAATGCTGCACGGGAGCCTGGTTAGCAGGGGTGCTGTGGGCCCCGGGCTGCAGGGCCTGCTATGCATGCAGCAGCATCTCGTGACGGGTCATCTCCTGGTGCGTCCTGTGATGAAGCAGGTGCGCCACAAGCCAGAGAGGAGCACCAGAGGGGAAAATAACACCCTGTCCATCTGACTGCAGAAGGCATGCCCCTCACATCTCCGTGCCTCTGCAATCGAGACACAGCGAGAGTGTCTCAGATGTAACGAATACCATAAATCTGTGTAAAGCAAGTCCTGGGGGAAGAAGAAGTATGGGGTCTCCCTTGGAAAGGACAACAAATATGCCACAGAATGGCACCCAGCACCCCTGAGGTGAGCCCAGCAGGCTGTGGACGGTGCTGAATTTCCAGTTACTTCTTAAGGCCTAAAGAAGATGGCTCAGCATGCTCCTGGCCTCTAATGCATTTGGAGTGGGGCAAAACACACACCTTCTCAGTGAGAGGGACTCAAGAGGTCCCAGAGGTGCAATCCTAAAATGGACAGGCTGCTCTTGGAGAAAAGGCGCCCTCCAGGCCTGGAAGACTCTAGCAGAGGCTGGTGGGCTCGATAGAGACACACAGTCTAGAAGGGCGTCCTCGCCGGGCCCGCCTGGCCCTGGGGCCACCAGGGCGTGTTCTGCAGTTCTGGGAAGCGGATCTGCTGACTGGGTCCTGAGCTGAGAACCGTGACTTCATTCCAGGCCTTCGATTTTATGAATAAGAGCTGGCCTCGAACTGCTGTGATGTCAGAGGAGTCACCTGTGCATCCTGAGGCTAGTGGGTCCTCTACAGAGTGAAGGCTGAGAATAGATAGACCCTAATATTAACACCAGCTCTAAGCCCTTTGATGATGTGAACAAGTCTCAGCGAGTGTCCGTGAATTGTTGAAGGAGAGTATCAGAAAGACAACACGGTCTGGACGTGGCAGTGATGGCAAAGTGTCCCCAAAGAAGCTGAAATCCATATAAGGTGGCCTTCTGACAGGTGCGTAGCGAGTCTTAGTTACATTGAGGGCAGAACGTCTCCCAGAGCAGCGAGCGTGGACTGTAACCTGACTGAACACATTCAGGAACCTGGAGAGAGGACGCCAGAGCCCGTGGGTGGCCGTGGGAGGACAGGGGAAGGAAGGCTTAGAGAAGCAGCCGCAGACGCTCACGGCAGGGCCGTGCAGGCAGAGGCATGTGGCCGAGGCCCCCACACTCCCTGCACGGAGAGGCTCCCAGCAGCCCAGTCCTCTGCCCTGGGGGTCCTCAGCCAGGTGGCCTGGCCCCAGGGGACAAGTGGCCATGTCTGGGTTGCCACAACTAGATGTGTGGTGGGTGGAGGCCAGGCCACTGCTGAGCCCTACGGTGCCCGGGATGACACAGCCCCTGTGCACCAGAGTCCGGGGAGACCCGCCCCAGGTCCCTGCCGCCTATGTGCCCTCATCTGGGCTGGCTGTGTCACTGGGCGCCTCCAGTAAGAATGTGTGGCTCTATGTCTAATGCAGAAATCAGCTGGCCTGCTGGCATTAGCTCCACTCCTCTGAGGGAAGGAGAGAACTGGGATTCGCTGCACACCAGGGTAACGCATCCCCGCCTGGGCGCACTTGCACGGCCAGGTGAAACCCTGGATATGGGGAGGCTGGTGGGCCACATGCCGTCTCCTGGGGCCTTCAGGTCGCACCCTCTGGTGGTGGGAGGTGAAGGCGACCGCCCCACCCATGCCCAGGAGAAGCTGGGGAGCTGGGCTGCAGGACGAAGTGAGTCCAAGCTGTGCCCCAGCCCGGGCTGCTCGTTAGGGTTGTGACACACACCGCTGTCACTCCTGTTGAAGATGGAGCCTGGCAGAGGGAAGGGGAGTCCCTCCTGGAACCTGAGGGGACAGAGAATGAAGCAAGGGGTGAAGGCCCGACCTCCTCCCAGCAGCATGGAGCGTGGCAGGGTGGCCTTCGCAGGGTCCAGCCTGATGGGGCCAAGGCCCCAGGACCCTCTGTGGCTCATACCACATACATCTGTGTTTCGTTTCTGTTAAGCCAGTGACACATCCCAGCTCTTTATCCAGAGGAAACCCAAGCAGGCTACCAAGAAGGAGGAAGATCACTCGGTCCTGTGCCGTCAGGTTCCAAACATGACAGCACACAGCCATGAAGCCCTGCCCCATTCAGCCAGCCCTGTGCAAAGCTTTCCAGATACATGACCTTCCCTACTGCCTCCTGAACCCCACGGGACATGTGGCATTAGCCACACTTACAGAGCCTCAGAAAGGCTAAGCAGCTCGCCCAGTGACACACAGTGGAGGTGACAGGGCCCCATCCCCAGCTTTAGGTCACGGCTTCCCTCCTCACTCATACGAACAGCGGACACCACATAGAACAGAGGCGCCAGGCCCTGCCCGAAGTGCTTTAATGCATGATGTGCTTCAGCTCTGTGTCCCCACCCAAATCTCATCTGGAATTGTAATCCCCAGGTGTTGAGGGAGAGGCCTGGTGGGAGTGGAGGGAGAGGCCTGGTGGGAGGTGATTGACTCATGGGGGCGGTTTCCCCCATGCTGTTCTCGTGATAGTGAGTGAGCTCTCACAAGATCTGGTGGTTTTATAAGGGGCTCTTTCCCCTTTGCTTTCTCTTCTCTCTCTCCTGCCACCATGTGAAGATGGTCCTTGCTTCCCCTTTGCCTTCTGCCATAACTGTAAGTTTCCTGAGGCCTCCCCAGCCATGTGGAAATGTGAGTCAATTAAACCTTTTTCCCAGTCTTGGGTATTTCTTTATACCAGGGTGAAAATGGACTAATACAATGCACAACTCACTTCAGGCCCCAACAAGTTTCTGAGCTCAGCGCTGTGGATATGGACCCATTTTACAGATGAGTGGGACAGGGAGGCAGGCCCCTCACCGGGTCCCACATTCATAATGGCCAAAGAAGCCCTTGAGCCTGGTGGTCCTGCCCGAGACATCTCCCCATCTCTGTGCCAGAGGCCTTTCAGAACATGTGGCTCTCGGGTTCGTTGGTCGGTGATGAGGGCTCATCTCACTCTGAGCCTCGGCCACCCTCCAATGAGGTCTCCTTCCACTTCCTGCCACTATTTTCTCTTTTGTCTGGGACGTTCCCTGATTTCCTTTCCCATCTGGTGCATTTGCATGAGTCCTCAAGGCATCCTCCAGCCCTGGTGTTTGTGTGCAGTGAACTGACTGGGCTGTGTGCCTCCCACCCTGGGGGACAGGTCATGGTCACTAAAAGTGACAGAAGGATGAGCCTGAAAAATGTCCAGCCCTATTCAGAATAGAAGAGAAAGGCCTGTGACCACTTCTACAAACTCAAAATTGACACACAGATGTCAGGACAAGACTCACAGCTGGGGCTGAGTCCCCCAGGCCAGAAGGGAGGCCAGCGGAGGTCCTCCAGGCCAAGAGTGAGGATGGGTGAGTTCCCCCGGGCCAGGAGGAGTGAGGGTGGTGGAGGTCCCGGGGCCAGGACGGAGGCCAGCAGAGATCCCCCAGGCCAGGAAAGAGGCTGACAGAGATCCCCTGGGGTCAGGAGGGAGGCTAGTAGAGGTCTCTCCGGGCCAGAAGGGAGGCTGGCAGCGGTTGCCTTGGGGCCAGGAGGGAGGCTCAGCTGCTGTTTTCCTGTCAAGAGTCTAGGGTCTCCGAGGCCCAGCTGCCCACTATCACCACATGCTGTCACCCAGCATGAGACACTGTCTACTCCAGCCTCGGATCTGGGAGTCCAGATGTCTACACCCAGGCTGCACTCCTGGGGACAGTGGGGACAGCAGGGCATGGAAGCTGATGGCTCCTCTCAGCTTTCTCCTGATGCTGCTTCATTTATTTTTCCACCTGTGGATCCCAGAAGCCACCATCTACGTGTTTTCTGTCCATTGTTCTCTCAACACCACCTGATGTCACAGTCCTGGGAGCTCCTCCCTGCAGAGGGCAGGGCTGGGCCAGTGCCTGCCCTCGTGGATGCCGAAGCAAGAAATGCCCTTCGTGGGGAGGATGGAGGGTGGGAGGGCAGTACCTGGCAGGTGCTTCCCTTCCTTGGAGGGGTTCCCTCGGGGGACAGGCTGGAGACCCGCAGCCCCTCCCTGAACCCTCAGGTTGCGTCCCCCAGCGGCTCCCTGCAGCCAGGGCTTGGCTTCCTCTCCCCGTGGTCCCCTCTGCTCCTGGACATGCTGCTCTGAGGACAGCGTCCACTGGACCCCAGGCACTAAGGCCTGGGTTTTGCTCCTCGCATCTTTGCAGAGGCTGTGGTTTGGTTTTGGGCTCAGCCGCCTGCACCCCTGAATGTGGAACAACGTGCCCAGGGCCTGAGCATCTTTGGAGGTCTCCATGCCGGCTGGGCCATGGTTCCTGGTCCCCACAATGTCCAGGTGGCTGCCGCTCACACAACAGCAGAGCTGTTCAAAGAATAAGAGGAAAAAAGCCGTGTGTGCATGCTCACCCAAAAGGCTCTGTGCTGTTGTTCTACATTGGAACAAAATCTATCTTTGCAACAAGTGGATGGAAATGCGTATTAACGTATTTGAGCCTCTTGAGGGGTTGGAATATCAGCCTTGCCAGCCGCAGGGCAGTGGTGGACTTGAGCAGAGGGAGGAGGAGGAGGAAGAGGGCTGAGCCACTCTCTGGCATCCTCAGGTCACTCTTCAGCTGCCGTTTTGAGGACATTTTGCAAGGATTAGCTCAGGGAGAGCCCCACAGGGTGCAAGTCCACACTGCCGAGCAGGACTTGAATGCTACGAGTTGTCTGCCTTGGGTCTGGGACCCCAGGGTCAACGGGACCCAGAGAGGCGCCTGTCATCTGTCCCTGGAATCGCTTCTGATTTTTTTTAATAAAGTTCATACAAATAGAAGTTCTAGCATTTTTTTCTGTACCAGTGGATTGTCTGCATCCCTTTCTGGTGACCCCCACCCAGAGCACCCCCATATGCAGAGCCTCGCTGTCTGCTCTTGCCACTCCTTGACGTGAGATGGTGCTGAGGCCCAGCCGAGCTCAGTTTCATTCAGTTCTAAGTAGTTCGTATCTTCCTGGTCTGGAGGGAGAGCTTCCTCTGCATCACCCCCAGGAGCACAGCTGTGGCCTTCTGGGGAGGTATCACACTGTGTGAGGATCCTGTGAGGTCACAAGATATCCTTAGCCCCAGCTCCTGTTCCTCCCATCCCCGTTCTCAGTGCAGCCTCAAAGTCCACTCTATTCCCATGAACACCTGCCCCATGGGACACATATTGCCTCTGTTCCGTACCCCAAGCCCACTGAAGAGTCAGAGAACTGACAGAGCAAGAGAACAAACGAAGAGGCAGGAGCAGAGATGAGATGAGATTTGGGAAAGGCACACATGGCTGGGGAACTGACACTAAAGGGTGCAAAGCCCAGGCCACAGCCCCTCCTGGCAGGGGCATCCTGGCAGTGCTAGCCAGCAGCCAGGCTCCAGGGCCCAGCTCAGGCCTGGCTGCAGGCACTGTGGGATGCGGGTGAGCCATGGAGTGAAAGCAGGCCTGTTCCTCTATGGGACCTTTGCAGCCAAACCCCCAGACCCACTCCCCAACCAAGAAATAGCAGGACAATTTTTTCATCTGGAGAAATCCAACCAGCAAGGCTCTGGAGCTGGGGACACGGCAGAGTGAAGGAGATGCCAAGCACGAGATGGGACTGAGAAAAGCTCAACCCCCTGATCACCGAGACTTGCCTCCTCAGCCTCCCTGGCTAGGCTTCTAGTACCATGGAAGCCAAATATGTACCCCCAGGGAGGAGACTAGAAGATTCTTTTTCTGGAGAAATTGAACCACTCCAGAGAGAAGCCCTCCACATAAGACACTCAAGGGTTTTTCCAGTGGAAAAGCTGACTGCTGTCAGATGGCTCTGGAGAGAGGGCCAGTCGCCAGGAAGTCCCATGTACCCACAAAGAGCTTCAATCAGCCTCAATGCCTCCCTCAGCTATGCACATGAAGCTAAGGACCCATGTGAATTAAAAAGATCAAAAATAAATAAGAGCCTGTGATCCCAGCACTTGTGGAGGTTGATGATCACTTCAGGCCAAGAGTTCTAGAACAGCCTGGGCAACACAGTGAGACCCCAAAGTTAAATAATAAGAGAGAGAAAAGGAACTCAGCAGAAGTAAATTTTAAGAAAATTCCCCCAAAATGCACTCAAATAATAAGAGAATGTATGCTTCCATGAAATAATACTTGATTTTTATATTGATTTAAAAAATAAAAGAAGAAAGAAGTCCAGGGAATTAAAAATGCAGTAGATAACTATGGGCTGGAAGATAAAGTCAAGGAAAGTTTTCACGAAGTAGGACCAAAAGACAAATAAATTGAATATAGATTTTTTTAAATCAGAAAATTAAAGTATCAATATAGGATATCTGAAACTGACTAAAAGAAGGTCTAGAAAGAGAAAATGAGGAAAATGGAAAGAAGGAAATTATCAAACAGTGAATACAAGAAAATTGATGAGACTGAGGGATTAGAGTTTCCAGCTTGAAGGAACTCACTAAGTACCCAGCAAAATGAGTGAATAAGACTCATATTGGTTGTCATGAAGTTTCTGAACCCAAGAATATGCAATACTAATATCCTTGTCAGGAAAAAAAAGCAAAATAAAAGTCACACTATGAAAGTTAAAACGACATCAGACTTCTAAAAGCATTAATGGGTACTAGAAGTTAAAAAAGGAATCTCTTCAAAATCCTAACAGAAATTTTTGTCAAATAATAATTCTATTACCAGCTAAACTATCAATCAAGTATAATGGTACAATAAAGATATTGTCAGATATGCACTCTCTCCAAACATTTGCCTCCCTTACACCCTTTTGCATGAAGCTACTGAAAAATATGCTCTCAAAGAGGGTAGATTAGTCTTGGGATTCAGAAACAGGTCAACATAGGAGAGAAAAAAGGGAATGTCCTGAGTAATGATTATTTGAGCAAGTAAAGGAAAGGCTCTGAGGAAAAAGGCATAGAACTGATCAATGCCTTGGTATATTCAGCTGTATAGAAAACATGTTATGAGGTTTGGATAGTTGCGAAGGAATGAGTGACAGCATATAAAAACACCAAGCAGGCCAGGTGCAGTGGCTCACTCCTTGTAATCCCAGCACTTTGGGAGGCTGAGGCAGGCAGATTGCCTGAGCTCAGGAGTTTGCGACCAGCCTGGGCAATGCGGTGAAACCCCGTCTCTACTAAAATATGAAAAATTAGCCAGGCGTGGCGGCGTGCACCTGTAATCCCAGCTACTCAGGATGCTGAGGCAGAAGAATTGCTTGAACCCAGGAGGTGAAGGTTGAAGTGAGCCGAGATGAGACTCCCTCTCAAAAAAAAAAAAAAAAAAAAAAAGGAAAGAAAGCAAGCTGATAAAAACAATGAGGTAGTTATTAATACCAAAAAAAAAAACAAAACCCTAAACAAGTGTATAAGAAAGAAAATCATGTTTTACTACAGGAAAATACTTAGTTCAACAACGAACAATATTTACATAGGCACAATATTCACATTGAATATGAGTTCAGTTAAAACTGTAAGTAAGAAGTGTTAAGATGAGACTAAATCCTTGCCTGTCCTAATGGGAAGTTCACAGACAATGTCACAAACTGACATATCACTTACAGTATCAACAGATTGCAACCGCCATATCTTACCTAGATGGCAAACTTGCCCTGTCTCCCAGGACCAGCTCTAGAGAACCCATGGGGAGAAACGGAATTAGGAAACAGCAACAACATATTGGCAGGCTGTTTTGAACTTGGTGTTTGGGGAGGAGAGAGTGGGAGAGAGCCAGGCCACTGCCATTCTTCAAGAAAAACTTCAAGAACAGCAGCCAAAATCTGCACTTGGTCAGCAAAAGCCTTGGGACAGTTGTTCCCTGACCCATCATGCCAGAATTCTGGGGCAACAGCCCAGACTTCTGGCATAGGAGACCATGGAGATAGAGCCCAAATGGAACAAAAGCCTCACTGCAGTGCGGAGTGGGGACCACAGAGATGAGTGCTGGCAGTGGGCATTCGCTCCTCCCTGTAGGAAGTGAATCGGTCTATGTTGTTGTTGTTGTTGTTGTTGTTGTGTGTGTGTGTGTGTGTTTGAGACAGAGTCTTACTCTGTCATCCAGGCTGGAGTGCAGTGGTGCAATCTTGGCTCACTGCAACCTCTGCCTCCCGGGTTCAAGCGATTCTCCTGCCTCAGCCTCCCAAGTAGCTGGGACTACAGGTGTTCGCCACCATGCCCAGCTAATTTTTTTTTTTTTTTTTTTTTTGAGACAGATTTTCACTCTGTCGCCCAGGCTAGAGTGCAGTGGCGCAATCTCAGTTCACTGCAAGCTCCGCCTCCCGGGTTCACACCATTCTCCTGCCTCCGCCTCCTGAGTAGCTGGGACTACAGGCACCCGCCACCACGCCTGGCTAATTTTTTGTATTTTTAGTAGAGACGGGGTTTCACCGTGTTAGCCAGGATGGTCTCGATCTCCTGACCTCGTGATCCACCCACCTTGGCCTCCCAAAGTGCTGGGATTACAGGTGTGAGCCACCTCACCTGGCTGAATCATTCTATGTTAAAAAAAAAAAAAAGTGACAATTCCTTCCATCCAAGAAACCAAGGGAATTCAGTGGATTCCCATTTGCCTTGACATGCTTGGCTGGCAGTCTGGCTCTGTGCCATGCTTGTCTGTCCCTCTGCCTATGGGAATGAGCCCAGAGATGCCTGACAGCATTAGGAAATTGCCAAATCACTGGCCATGGAGCAAGATGTCCAAACAAAGAGAGGCTTCCAGTCCACAGTCTGTGGGAGGAAAGCACTTGATTTCCCCAGGTTCTGATGTGCGTGTTGGAAATGCCCCCCTCCTCCTTTTTGGCTATTGGAAAGTAATTGAGTCAGTTGCTTCAAATGGACTGATGATAATTCCTACCAATTAGCTGTATAATAATCATCCTGGCCATGTTTAGTTATCTGAGCAAGAGACAAAATTACATACTATTGCATACCAAATAACTTTTATAATATATACTTAAACATTCAGAAACAGTCAGGAGCCACCAGCAGACGCTTTGTGTCTCTGATGGTTTCACTGACAAACTCTGCCATCTTGAGTCTGTTTGCACAACTCAATTTGGAAATGTAAAAAGGGACAAGAATGGCAGTATATATATGGTATAGCCAAGGTGGGGATGAATTATTTCCAGGAGTGCAATGCTGTTGGAATGGAAAATTCCATCTGTCTCATGATGGAAGCAGCTACATGCATGGAGTAAAACGGGGTTCAGCTTCCAGCTTAGCAAGTTTTCAAAAACTTTTTGGCTTCTAAAATCTTTATTGTTGTTTTTGTTGTTTTGTTTTTGGCACTGGGGGTGAATGGGTCTCCCAACCAAGAGAACATCAAGACTGGATGTGAATGGACTTCACATGGGGTCTGAACTCTCCTCTGTTGCCAGTGGCCACCTTGTTAGCTTCTTGGGCTCCCCAGGATGTGGATTTAGATTCTGGCTCTGCATCTCCCATGGAATATTAGATCAGGGAGTGGTCACAACCTCCTCCCCTGAATGAAATCTGCTCCCAGCGGATTTCAGCAGCAGGTGGACTTGAAATTGCACATGGTGGTCCTACTAGTGGGAGGACGGAAGGAATGCTGATGCCCCGACAGAGGTGGGGGGTCTTCTTTTTTCCTGGCTTCACGGTTCATATGAAGGGACTTCTACTGGAATTAATCGATTGAAAGTCTGTAAGAACTGGCAATTTGCTCTTCTATCCCAAATAGCAGCCTGCTCTGTGGAGCCAAACCTTCCCCTGGGTGGGCTACCCAGGGCCTGCATGCATGGCAGGAGAGGAGGCCGCAGTTCATATTAGTAAGCCTTGTTAGCCTTGGATCTGAAGCCAAGTCCTTCCATCAGCTTATTCACAATAATGCCCACACATCTTTGCATCTTACTTTTCAATTGGTTCTGAACTTGGAAGAAAAAAAAAGAAGGGGCATTATTTTTAAAATGGGCATTATTTTTACCCTTTAACTCCCAAAAGTCTAATCTTGTATTTTGGCTCCTGATTTCCCTCCTACAATAAGAGCAGTAAGTGACACTGGAGGTGCATTGTCTAGATTTCTGTCCCAAAGTCCTGAGGCTAAGAAGAATTGAGAGACAGCATGAACCTTGCTGCCACCGAGATACGGCATCCTAAGAGAGGAAGCAACTACATGTTTTGGAGCTTGGAGCAGGGCTTGGGAAGAGGCACAGGCCCAGCACCCACCTGTTTCTGAGTGTACAAATGGTGAAAAGTAGTGGCATGGCCTCACGGAAGCCGCAGCAAAGGACAACTCGAAATTAGATCAGCGCATCCAGAGGCTAGACTCCCCGTCCCCACCCCTGAGACTGATTCCACAGGTCTAAAATGAGACCTAAAAGCTGAATTTTTAAAAAAATATCTACCAGAAAGTCCTCGCTGTGACCAACCTGAAGAAAAACCAAGGCAGCTAGCTGTCCTATGTTTCAACCTTTGCCATGAGACTGGCACTAGACAAAGTACAGTAGAAATTCAAAGGGGATTGAGAGACACAGCTCTGCCCGGAGTCCAAATAAGTAAGATCATGTGGAGCAGAGTGATACATGGAAATGCCAACATTTGCGTTCAGTCAGCAACCACACAGGAGCAGTCAACTATCACTCCATCTGGGTCACCTCGGGGAAATCATCGTAGCCCCCAGGCCTGGGCGTCTTTATCCATCAGTGACTGTGGCTGTGCTGCAGCATGCTGAGGATGCCTTCTGGCTCTGGCCTTAACTGGTCCTTAAAGGAGAATGAGTACTGTCTGGCCCTGTGGGGTCCGTAAGTGAAGGAAGGTCACATGCTCACTGTGTCGCCCCATGTGGGCTGAGTGCAGAAAGCTGAAAAGGGTGCAACTCCCCACAAACACACACACTCCACTCAGGTCAGACACACACAAGAATCCACTTCCCTCCCCAAAAGAAGACTTAAGCGGGTGCTGGGAGAGCAGAAGAGGTTGCCTTCATGGCAGGTGGAACCTTGAATCTTGGATCTACATCCACGGATTTAGACACAAATTGTCTAGACATGAATTGTGTGGATTTCCTCCAGGCTAAGTGTTACAGGCGAGTTCTGTCAGAGAGGAACAGGAACCCAACAGCGCAAGGCAAGGATGTTCTCTTATCTGGAGGGGAGCCAGGGAGGAGTCTATAGGCAGAGGGGGCTTGAGCCCTTCCACCAAGTAGCCACTTGGGTGAGATGACGGCCAAAGTCCTGCCCATCGTTTCTGTGAATCAATCTAACCCAGCTGAAGAGAAAAGGAGAGCTGTTTCATGGGAGCTATCAGCACCTGTTGCCTGGATCCCTGGACCTCCGGCTGGTCTCACCTCTCATTGTCCTGGCTACATTCCATTGGCTTCACTTCTTGATCCACACACAGCTAGTCTTTCCAGAAGCTTCCCCATCTCAGTAAATGGCACCAAGTTCTCTCAGTTGTCTTAAGACAAAGACTAGAAGCCATCCTTGACCTGTCTTTCTTTCACCCTCCTCCTGACTCATGCTTTGAATTCCAGATGGTGACTTCTCCAGGTATCTGCAGCCATCTGCCTGTGCAAGCCACCATCATCTCTCACCGGAACCACTGCAACAGCTTCTACTGTTCCTTCCTACAATCCAGAATGATCTTTCACCAAAGTGAGTCAGATCATGTCCCTCCCATCTGCATGAGTTATCTATGGCTGTGTAACAAACTATCCCAAGATGTAGTGATGTAAATATAACAAGTATTTATCCCTTACAATTGCTGTGGGTCAGGAATTCTGGAGCAGCTTAAACTGGGTGGGTCCAGTTCAGGGTTAAGGTGTCATCAGGGGCTGCTGTCATTTGAAGGCTCAACTGAGGCGGAGGAGGCACGGGCAGGGTGATGTACTCACGTGACTTCACCGCGTGGCTTCCCACAGGCTGCTTGGCATCCTCATAACATGGCAGCCTCTTTTCCTTGAGAAAGTGATCCAAGACACAGGCTGAAGCTACAGTGTCTTTTAAGACCTGGCCTCAGAAGTCATACATTGTCACTTCAGCCTATTCCATTTGCTAGAAATGATTCACTAAGTCCACTCAAGGGGTGGCTGCCTCCACCTTCTGAAGGGAATGTCAAACAAATGATGAGCATATTTTAAACCACTCACCATCTCAAGGTCCACACCTGCCTCCTGGCTTTAATTGTTATGTCTCAGTCCCAAACACACCAAACCTGCAGAGTGTTGCTACTCCCTGGTTACTTGAGGCCTTTGTACTTGCTGTTCTAGAAGTTTCTTTAGTCAAGGCCAATCCCTTCTCATCATTCAAGTCTCAGCCCCGACCTCCCTCTTTCTGAGAGGACTTTCCTGACATCAAATTTAAAATAGTGCTCCTCATTTATCAGTGTCAGGAAGCAACTTTGTCATTTGTCGACTGTGTCTCCACCACCCGACCCTGAGCTCCTGGAGAGCAGGCTCCTTGCTGCCGCACCACACTGGCCTCAAGGCTGAGCATCCCTACAGCCTGACTGGAAGGAGCTAGCAAACCCAGGAGTGGATCCAAGAGGCTCTGCCAGAGCAGTTGTGCGGCTCCATATCAACCACAGTGTCTGACATGGAAAATCAGTGAGCTCGAAACTTCAGCCCATTTCGTTTCATTGGAAACCTGGTGAGCCCAGATCAGGAAGGTGTCACCGTTTTAACTCAGAGCCGTGTTAGGAAGCTCTCCCTCCCTGCTGTCAGGGTGAGCGTTGTGCCGTTCTAGCATCTTATGGTTTTAACCACATGATAAATGAATTCCTTCACATGAATCCCACAGAACAAACATGCACTTTTCCATTTATGAATTGGAGTTCAGAGTTGTGTTTTTTAGCTTTTCTCTAAATTTACCAAAATTTTTAAAATAAAATTACTCATGACCCCACTAAGTAAGGAATTAGGCCGGGTGCGGTGGCTCACGCCTATAATCCCAGCACTTTGGGAGGCCGAGGTGGGCGGATCACGAGGTCATGAGATCCAGACCATCCTGGCCGTCATGGTGAAACCCCGTCTCTACCAAAAATACAAAAATTAGCTGGGCATGGCGGTGCATGCCTGGAGTCCCAGCTATTTGGGAGTCTGAGGCAGGAGAATCGCTTGAACCTGGGAGGTGGAGGTTGCAGTGAGCCGAGATTGCGCCACCGCACTCCAGCCTGGGTGACAGAGTGAGACTCTATCTCAAAAAACAAAACAAAACAAAACAAAAAAGAAATTAAATCCTGGCAAAAATGAGATGTTGCCAAAAAGGACTTTGCGGGGAGAAAGTAGTAGTGGTCCCTCACAAAACGAGCAGAAAGAAGACGGAAATAAATTCTTTTCCAGAAAAGCAGTCTTTGCTGAAGAGATTCGCATTTCCTTGAGCGTTTTATCCAAAGTAGATCAATGCTACTCACCCAGAACAAGATCCAGTTTGCCAAAAACCTGGGCTTCTCTCCTGTGAGGCCCGATGATCACACGATGCCTGTACAGGTGTTCATTTCAGACGTTTTAGACACTGTCTGCACCATGTCATTTTTATGATTGTCAAGTTCCACAAAGCTTCTTTCTTCTTCTTTAAAAAGTCTCTTTAATTTTGAGAACTTTCCTGCTAATCATTTCTCCGTTTGCTAATGATCCTAACCTTCCACAAAATGACTTCTCCCTCGCCAGCCTTCATTTTACTTCTTGTGCTTTCCCTGCTCTCTTTTCCTGCCCTCGGATTTCCCATTTTTCAAGCCATAAGGCAGACTTCAGTCTGTTGAATTTCAGCTCTTTCTTCCTGTCTTGGATTGCCTATTACCTATTGCAAAGGTCATTTTAAGTGTAATTCAGCTTAAATTACTTTATTTTCTCATCACTGGATTTTTTCTCTCTCTGGTCCCTTTCTCCTTCGCAGGCCCTCCACTCTGCCTACCCACCCCCATCTAAGTTTCACTTCTCAGGGACCATTCTCAGCAGCTCCTGATGAGGCTGGATGAAAAGCATTCTTGAGTCTGTTATTTGGAAGGTTAAGATTTGCACGCTCACTGCCTGGCCATGGAGGTTGGGGCCGGAGGCAGGGGTGCCTTCTAGGATATGTGCAAACACAACTAAGATCCCAGCTCTGAGTGTGGGAGACCCCACATATAGTCTGCTGTTTTCTCAGTGTGTCAGGAATCACAGCAGCAAGCCCGGTGTGCTAGGCTGTCCAGACACTTTCCAGAACCACTGAGTGTCTCATGATGGCAGCCACTACCCGCATGGAGTAAAACGGGGTTCAGCTTCCAGCTTAGCAAGTTTTCGAAAACTTTTTGGTTTCTAAAATCTTTATTGTTGTTTTTGTTGTTTTGTTTTTGGCACTGGGGGTGAATGGGTCTCCCAACCAAGAGAACATCAAGACTGGATGTGAATGGACTTCACGTGGAGCCTGAACTCTCCTCCATCGCCAGCGGCCGCCTTGTTGGCTCCTAGCTCCCCAGGATGTGGATTTAGATTCTGGCTCTGCATCTCCCATGGAATATTAGATCAGGGGGTGGTCTTAGGGTCACAACCTCCTCCCCTGAATGAAACCTGCTCCCAGCAGATTTCAGCAGCAGGTGGACTTGAAATTGCACATGGCAGTCCTACTAAGTGGAAGGACGGAAGGAATGCTGATGCCCCAACATAGGTGTAAGAGGAGGGAGAGGCTATCAGGACAACTCCAACCTCTTCAGCCTGTGAAGAAGTGCATGTGAGAGCGTGCATGTGTGTGTGCACTTGTGTGTGTACACTTGTGAAAGTGTGTGTGCACACGTGAGTCTGAGGGCACACATGAGCATGAGTGCACACATGTGAGTGTGCACTCATGTGTAAGTGTACATATGAGAGTGAGCATGTGTGAATGTGATGTGTGTGGCTGTATATGTGAATGAATGCATGTGTGAGTGCACACGAGTGTGCATATGTGTCAGTGTGCATGCATGAGTGTACTGTGTGCTTACACACGTGAGCATTCATGAACACATGAACATGTACATGTCTGAATCCATGTGTGAGCATGTGCATGTGAATGTACATATGTGAGCATGAGTGTGTTCATATTTACACATGTGCTGTGCATGCCTGTGTGAATGTGCATGCCCATGTGTAGCGCATGTGAACATGTGTGCATAGATGTGCACGCGAATGTGCACATAGGTACATGTGTGTGCATGTGTGTACATGTGAACGTGTGCACACACGTGTGACTGTGTGTGCATGTGTGTACATGTGAACGTGTGCACACACGTGTGACTGTGTGTGTATGTGTAGGCATGCACACATGAACATGTGTGCAAATGTGTGCATGTGAATGCACATGTACATGTGTGCATCTGTGTACATGTGAATGTGTGCATGCATGTGTGTGACTTCACATGTGAGGGCATGTGTGTGAATATGCATGTGTGTGGGCATGATGCATATGTACATGTGAGTCTGCATGCATGTGGTGCATGTGTGTGCACATGTGTGAGCATATTCGTGTGAAGGTGTGTTGTGTGAATATGTATGCATGTGTACATGTGACTATGCATGTAAGCATCTGCATGCACATGTGTGTGACTGTGTGAGAGCGTGCATGTGTGTGGCAGCAGGAAGCCGCCATCTGGTGGGCTTCCTGACCCTGGGTTCTGCCTCAACTCCTGAGACATTACCCACCGCCTGGGTCTTTCCAGAAAGTTCTATCCCCAGCTTCTTCCTGGAGCAGAGTGCATGCTGTCCAAGGCCTGCAGAGCTGGGCTCTCCCTTCGACTACGGTAAGGGCCATGTCCTGGCTGAAAGACTCCGCCTCTGGGCAGTGGGGGTCCTCACCGCCTTAGGCTGACAGTGGGTTTTTAGGAGGAAGCTGAGGGCCTGGGCGTGTCCCCTGGCTGGGCCTCAGACCCCACCTTGCCAAAGCAGCAAACGCGCTGCCTCAAGTGAGTGTGTGTGGCCATGAAGCCTTGGGCAAGGGACCATACCAGAGCCTCCGAGCTGGCGCCCGTGGCCTTTGTACTCGCTGTTCTGGAAGGTTCTCTCAGCAGTGTGGTTACTTCTCTCACTGAAGTCTCAGGCCCACGGCCCACATGGCCACGGTGTCCCTTTCCCCACACCGCGCTCTTGGTCGGGGAGTGGCGCTCCCGCCACCTCCCTCCCTGCCTTTGGGGCCACAAACTGAGGACTTCTGTGCACAGATCGTCCTGCGTTGGTGTTGCCTTTGGTTGAGCAGGTGAGAAGAGCAGACACATGACAAAGGCCTGCACCGGTAGAAGGATGGGGACGACCTTAGGTCGGATGGTCGGGGCCAGGTGTGCACAGGACACACCCGGGTGCAGGGGCGCGCAGCTTCTAATGACGCGGCACTCGAGCACTGTCTAATTAATCCCGTGTTTTCACACAGCGTAACTGCGGAGCCGGGGCTGAGTTATTTGGCTACTGGAGGTGGAGCGCGGCCCTGTCCTCCCTTCTCTGCTCACAACTGAGGATGCTGCACATTGTGGGGTGCGAAAGTCCGCACGGCCTATCTGTCATCCCGCATTATCAGGAAGACGCGCCACTTCCATGCCGGGCTGCAAGGCTCCAGCAAATTGTTATTTTTATGGGAGATGATAAAGGAAATGCTACCTTATGTTCAAATCTTTACCTATCAGGTGCAAGGAATATACAGCCCCGGCCAACCCACAGTGTATAGGGTGGCAAAGCCGCAGGCTGCATCCTGGACCCTGCATGCACCCCCAGCGCACGCCCAGCCCACCCCCAGCGCACGCCCTGCCCACCTTCAGCCCACCCCCAGTTCACCCCCATCCCACACCCAACCCACACCCAGCCCACCCTCAGCCCACACCCAGCTCACACCCAGTCCACACCCAGCTCACACCCAGGTCCCCAGGACCAAAGGAGGAGGCTAGCCACAGCTTCCACAGCAGCAACCTCTTCTTTCTTTCCTTTTTTTTTTTTTTTTTTGCATATAATTTTAAAATATGCCTTCGTGGCCCAGGGTCACCTTTATGGAGAGCTCTCCAGGTTCCCTGGCACCCCCTTTCCCCGTGCTTGCCTGCAGGTTCAGGGTGTCTGCTGGAGCAGACTTTTGCACATTACTGCTCACCTCTGATATACGAGCTTGCCATTTGGAGGCTGGTAGAGCCCGGCTTCCCCCAGGAGCTCAGGGAGATTTGTGGCTTAGACATTTGCTCACTGGGTGGGGTTCCTGGGACTGTTCTAATGGAGGCCACACAGGGCCTCCACCCCATGGGACCGTTTGAACTCAGCACCCCTGGACAGCTTGGCCTGTGCCTGATATACCCCAGAGCCAGTGTCCTCTGCGTGGGGCACGGCACGGCTGAGGCCCTGCCCGGTGTCCAGTTGCTCTGAGCGGTGTGGACAAGGAGGCTGGCCTGGCCTGGGAGGACTCCAGCGTGAGAAGCCCATGGTGACAGCCCCCACTGAGGGACCCCTCCAGCCTCTCAGTCCATAGGGGCCCTGCGATCGGTGCGCGCTCCTCCCTCTCCACACCTGCTGTGTGCACGAAGCAAGGGCATCCTGGTGCATCTCTGGAGATGGGAGCGGAGGCTGGAAGCCCTTTTCCAGGTGCACGCAGGAGCCGAGTGCAGGCCCTGGAACTGGAGAGGCCGCCTGGAGCCTGTTTATCACAGGATCACAACCAGGTCCACAGCGGCAGGAGGAGGCAGCTGGTTTGAGGACTAAGCAGGGTTAATGCTCACACACTCAGCCCGCCAGGCTCCTGAGGCTGAGCGAGGCCACCACGGCTTCCCCACCTGTCTTCCAGGCGGAAGTCTGTGGGACCAGGGGCGGGTGGGGAAGCCCACCGTGCTCTATGCCCCTCTGACGGGCCTAGTTTTCATTCTGTCTCCAACACACTGGAAAATTCAATGCAGGTACATCACTTCTTGCCAACCCATCAACTAGAATTTCACCTACCACTCTTTAGAAATAAAATTGAAAATCTTAAAGTAACCCGTTTCAATCGATTTCTAAATAATTTCTGTAAAGATCTGTGCGTTTTGGGCTGTTGGAGTATTTGGGACATGCGCAGTTAACCTCTGGCCTCTGTGAGATGAGGTTTTAGATCTCCCCATCCCTGCTTCCTTCACTATGAACGTCACTGGGCAGTTTTGAGGACAAACAGGAAACAAGTTGAGTTCCTTGGAGCGGGAAATGTTCTGCAAAGTTTAAAAGTTACATATGATGACTAGAGCCATGTGATGCAATTAGTAAATACAAAACGACAGCCATCAAAAGTGTAAACAGGCACTAGACCAGCCAGGAAAGTCTTTCGGGGCCACCTAGTTGAGACGTGCGTACGTTTTTCTTGGTTTCTGTTTATGCTGGGGCGTTGACTGAGTCCCTAGAGGACACTGGGCACCTCCCGGCCCTTCCTAAGTATGAAAGAGAAGGGGCCCCGGCACAGCTGAAAGCCATCTGAGGCACGAGCTGGTGGCGGCGGTCCGGACACAGGCCCCAGGTGGCCGTGACGGCCCTGGGACGCCCTCTCCCTCCTGCCACAGGCGGGGCACGCAGAGGCACAGAGGCCCCGGGCTCCGTCCTCAGCCTCGGCTGGAGAAAGAAACAGGGAGAGCACAGTCAGAGGTGGTGGGAGGGGAGGAAACACGTAATGTGGATTGCGGAAATGAATGAAGACCAACACAACGAGAAAGCAAAGGCGCCTGGATCAGAGTTTGCCAGGTTGCCGGCCGCCCTCGCGTGTGTTCCAGCGGAGACTCACGGCAGAGGAGAGGGAAGGCTTTGCAGTGGGACAAACGGAAGGCCCCGGGCGTGCCCAGCTTGGAGGCTGTTGGCCTGGAAGGCTGGAGGAGTGTTGACGTGACAGGCCCCAGGAGCTCCAAAGTAGGAATTGCGTGGGGAGGGCCTCAGAGGCTGGCGTGGGGGCTGCCGGTGAGCCTGGGAGGGTTGCGGCATTGTAGGTAGGACAGGAGGAATTCCCAGTGGGAACCACAGTGACCGTAAAAGGAGCAGCATTCTTTAAAACAGAGCTTCTCAAACTGCGATGTTCCCGGAAGCACGCAGAGGCCCTGTGCGAATGCGGACGCAGGGCAAGGCCGCTGGGCTCTGTGCCTGGGCAGCGCTGTGCCTTCGGCTCCCAGGTGCTGCTTTCGGAAGCAAGGATTTGGGGCATCGCTGCGTTTCCTGCAGCGCCGGCCTGGCCGGTTCTGCTGTAACACACTCCAGCCTGGACCCTTCGGTGGGTGGGATTCCATTTTCTTTCAAGAGAGAACTCCATTTGAAAGCGTGGCCATCCCGGGCGCTGTCAGCTGTTGGCCTGGCTTCTTTCTTCCCGGGCTTTGCTATCAGCGCCTCTATCCCGCAGCCGTTCATTGTTCATGCATCAGGCGCACAGTCCCAGTGTTCATTCTGCCATTACCAAAACCACTGAAATTGTAATCACTGCTCTTTAATAATTCTGAATATCAAAGGAAGACAATTCTCACAGGTCAGTATTTTTGCCAAAACTTGGTATTGTGTCTTTTTCATTGTAGCCACTCTGGTGGAGGTGTAGTAAAATTGCAATGGGGTTTTAACTTGCGTTTATCCAATGATAAATGTAGCTGTGCAGTTTTTCGTATGTTTATTGGACACTTGGCTATCCCTTTTTTACTTTTTTAAAAATAGCATTATTGAGGTATAATTCACAATAACATGAAATTCACACATTTAAAGCACACAATTCTGATTTTTAGAATATTCACAGATTTGTGCAACCATCACTAGGATCTAATTTTAATCATCCTCAAGAGAAATTCTATACCTAGAGCAGTCACTCCTCAGTTCTAGGCAACCAGTAATCTCCTATTTTCTTCTCAGAACTTCATCATCTTAGTTTATACATTTAGGATTAGGATCATTTTGAGTTAATTTTTGTGTATGGTACGAAGTGGGGATCCAACTTCATTATTTGCACATGGATAGCTCATGTGCATCTGACTGTCCCAGCACCAGCACCATTTGTTGAAAAACAACCTTTTTTTTTTTAGGGTCTCACTCTGTCACCCAGGCTGGAGTGCAATGGCATGATTATAGCTCACTGCAGCCTCAAATTCCTGGCTCACAGGATTCTCCCACCTTAGCTTGCTGAGTAGCTGGGACTACAAGTATGAGCCACCATGCCTGGCTAAGTTTTTATTTTAATTTTTGTAGAGATGGAGACTTGCTATGTTGCCCAGGCTGGTCTCAAACTCCTGGGCTCAAGTGATCCTCCCACCTCAGCCTCCCAAGGTGCTGTGATTACAGGTGTGAGCCACTGAACTCAGCCTGAAAAGGCTATTCTTTTCAACAGTTGTTTTGACACCCATGTCAAAAATCAACTGACTACTAACATAAGAGTTTATTTCTGGTTTCTTGATTATATCCCATTGATCTCTATGTCTATATACCAGTAGCATCATGTCATGATGACTGTAACTTTATATTAAGTTTTGAAATTGGGGCTCTTCAACTTTGTTCTTTTTCAAGATTGTTTTGTCTATTCTTAGTCCTTTGCATCCCTAGATAAACTTTAGGACCAGTTTGTCATTTCTGCAAAAATTGCAGCAGGGGAGGGAGGGATATTGCCATGTTAACAATTTTGAGTTTTTCAATCCATGAGTATGGGATGTCATTCCATTTATTTAGATTTTCTTTCATTTCTTTCACTAATGTTTTGTAGCTTTTTTGTACAAGTCTTGCATTTATTTTGTTAAATTTATTCCTGGTATTTTATTTTTTAATGTTATTATAAATGTAATTGTTTTCTTCTTTTCAGATTGTTTTTACAAACACAGTTGATTTTTGTATATTAATCTATCTTATCATCCTTGCTAAATAATTTATTAGCAATAAAAAAGTTCTGTGAACTCCTGAGGATTTTTTACATGTCAGATCATGTCATCTGTAAAACAAAATAATTTTACTTCTTTCCAATCCAAATGTCTCTTATTATTTTTTCTTGCCTCATTGCCCCACTAGGACATACAGTAGTAAAATATTGGCCAGAAATTCTAAGAGTGAACATCTTTGTCTCATTTCTTATATTAAGAGTAAATAATTCAGTCTTTTCCCATTACATATGATGTTAGCTGTGAGTTTTCGATAGATGCCCTTCTACAGGTTGAGGTTGTACACAACTATTCCTAATTTGTTGAGATGTTTTTTGTAGTTCTTTTTTAGGTTGTTGTTGTTTTTTTTTAATCATGAAAGGGTGTTTGGTTTTGTCAAATGCTTCTGCTGCATCTATTATGATGATCGTGTGGTTTTCTTCTTTACTGTAGTGGTATGGCGTCTCATTGATTTTTGGGTGTAAAACCAACCTTGCATATGTGATCATGGTGTATAATTCTTTTTATATGTGGCATAATTCAGTTTGCTAGTGTTTTATTGAGGATTTTTAAAATTTATAATCATAAGAGACATTAGTCAGTAGTTTTCTCATGATGTGTCTGTCTGGCTTTGATATCAGGGAAATATTGACCTCCAAGAATGAGTTGGAAAGTGTTCTCTCCTTTTTGCTTTCTGGAAGATTGCATAAAGGATTGGTACTGAATCTTTAAATTTTTGGTAGAAATTACCAGTGAAGCCAATATGGACCTGGGATTTTCTTGGTGGAAAGTTTTAAAATTACCAACTCAATCTCTTTACTTCTTACAGGTCTATTTAAATCTTCTATTACGTCTGTTTTTTTTTTTTTTTTTTTTTTTTTTTTTTGAAACAGAGTTTTTTTTTTTTGAAACGTGCCACCACACCTGGCTAATTTTTGTATTTTTAATAGAGACAGGGTTTCACTACGTTGGCCAGGCTGGTCTCGAACTCTTGACCTCAGGTAATCCACCTGCCTTGGCCTCCCAAAGTGCTGGGATTACAGGTGTGAGCCATTGCGCCCAGCCCTATTTCTTCTACTTCTTTTAGTAGTTTATGTCTTTCTAGAAATTTGCTCAACGTGTCTTTGTTGTCTACATTTTTGGCATACAGTTGTTCATTGTATTCACTTATAATACTTTTCTATATGGTTTGTTGTAATGTTCTTGCTTTCATTCCTCATTTTAGTAATTTGAGTTTTCTCTCTCTTTTTTTGACCAGTCTAGCTAAAATTTGTCAGTTTTGTAGGTCTTTTCAAAGACCCTTTCAAAGGCTGACAAATTGGTATCACTGATTTTGTCTATTGTTTTTCTATTTTTTGTTTCATTTATTTCTGCTATAACTTTTATTAGTTCCTTTATTCTCCTTACTTGAAGTTTAGTTTCTCCTTTTCTAGTTTCTTAGAATGGAATAGTATGTTATTGATTTGAGAGCTCACTTCTTTCTATAATACAAGCATTTATGGCTACAAATTTTGCTCTGATCACTGCTTTGCCACATCTCATAAGTTTTGGTATTTTTTTCATGCACGTCCATGTGAAGAGACCACCAAACAGGCTTTGTGTGAGCAACAAGGCTGTTTATTTCACTTGGGTGCAGGCGGGCTGAGTCCAAAAAGAGAGTCAGCGAAGGGAGATCGGGGTGGGGCCGTTTTATAAGATTTGGGTAGGTAAAGGAAAATTACAGTCAAAGGGGGGTTGTTCTCTGGCGGGCAGGAGTGGGGGTCACAAGGTGCTCAGTAGGGGAGCTTTTGAGCCAGGATGAGCCAGGAGAAGGAATTTCACAAGATATTGTCATCAGTTAAGGCAGGAACAGGCAATTTTCATTTCTTTTGTGGTGGAATGTCATCAGTTAAGGCAGGAACCGGCCATCTGGATGTGTACATGCAGGTCACAGGGGATATGATGCTTAGCTTGGGCTCAGAGGCCTGACAATTTTGTGTTTTCATTTTCATTAATCTAAAAGTATTTTCTAATTTCATTTGTAATTTCTTCTTTGATTTACTGGTTACTTGGGAGTATATTCTTTAATTTCCACATATTTGTGAATTTTCCAAATTTCCTTCTGTTATCTATTTTCAATTTCGTTTCATTGTGTTTGGAAAGCATACTCGTATGATTTCAATTATTTAAATTTATTGAGTCTTCTTTTATGGCCTAACATATGGCCTATTCTGGAGAACATTCTATATGCCCTTGGGAAGAGTGTATATTCTGCTATTGAACTTGGGAAGAATGTGTGGGGTACTTTATGGATATCTATTAGGACTAATTGGCTTATAATATTGTTAAAGTCTTTTATTTCCTTGTTGATCTCCTGCCCAGTTGTTCTATCCATTATTGGAAGTTGTTGAATTATCTATTTCTCCCTTCAACTTCCTCAGCTTTTGCTACATTTTGGGGGCCTCTGTTGGTAGGTGCATTTATGTTAATAGTTATTATAACTTCTGGTTGTATTGACCCTTGTGTTACTATGAAATATCCCTCTTTATCTTCAGTAACTTGTTTTGTTTTAAAGTTTATTTTTTCTGATATTAGTAAAGTATGCTAGGTCTGTTATGATTGCTGTTTGTATATTATGTGTATTTTTTCATCCATTTACTTCTAACCTATTTGTATCTCTGTTTTTGTATCTCTTTTATTACCTTTTTGCATTAATTGATATATTTTCTAGTATAACTTTGTAATTCTGCTAATGATTTTTAAATCTATATATTTTTAAATTCTTTTCTTAAAGCTTGCTCTAGGCTTTGCAACACATCTAAATCTACATCAGATATGTTCTACCTTAATTCTAGTAAGATACATTGGCTTTTTTCCTATATAACTCAATTTCCTCCTCCCTTTTTTATGTCATTTTTGTTATGCATTTACTAATAACAACACATTTTTGTGATTATTATTATGTATACAATATAATCTTACATTTGTTAAAGAAACTTAAGTAAAAAAGGATTTTAATATAGTTTGTTATATTAATCTTCTTATTTATTATTTCTGAATCTTTTCATTTTTCCCTCTAGGTTTGAGTTACCATTTGGTGTCATTTTCTTCTCACAGAACAGCTTTGTTCCCAGTACCTCCTTTGTTCTCTTATTGTCAAATATGTCGCATTTCTATATGTTATAGTGCCCACAATATAGTATGATTGCATATGTATTGTCTTAAGCAATTGCTTTTTAAATAAGTAAAGATAAGAAACCGAAATGTACAAGTGCACTGTCTTTAGTAATTATGTACAAAATTACCTTTGCCAGTGTTTCTGTGTGTGTATAGAATTACTGTCTGGTGTTGCTTGCTTTCAGGTTCAAGAACTTTCTTTGGTATTTCTTGTAAGGCAGATCTTCTAGCAATAAATTTAGTTTTTGTTTATCTGAAAATGTCTTTATTTTGCATTCACTTCTGAAAGAGAGTTTTGCTGGGTATAGCAATATTGGTTCACAGGTGTTTTTTTTTTTTTTTTTCTTTCAGTCCTTTGAATACATCATCTCACTGTCTCTGGTCTCCATTGTTTTTAATGAGAAGTCAGCTGTTAATATTGTTGGAGTTCCCTTGTATATGATGAGCAGTTTTCCTCTTGCAGCTTTCAAGGTTTTCTCTTTATCTTTGGAATATTTTGGCTATGCTGTGTCTGGGTGTGGATTTCTTTGTGTTTTCGTGTCTTCTGGTTTGTTGATCATCTTGGATATGTAGATGAGGTCAGTTTAATAGTGTCCCATATTTCTCTAAGGCTTTGTCTTTCATTTTATGTTTTTTCTCTGTTCTTTAGACTGCTTAATCTCTATTGCTCAAACTTTATTTATTTATTTATTTATTTTTGAGACAGGGTCTGATTCTGTTGCTTAGGCTGGAGTGCAGTGACATGATCATGGCTCACTGTAACCTTGACCTCCTAGGCTCAAGCAATCATCCTGTCTCAGCCTCCTCAGTAGCTAGGACTACAGGCATACACCACCATGCCTGGCTAAATTTTTTACTTTTTTTTTTTTTTTTTTTTTTTGTAGAGATGGAGTCTCACTATGTGAAACAGACTGGTTTTGAACTCCTGGCTTCAAGTGGTCTTCCTGCCTCAGCCTCCCAAAGTGCTGGGATTACCAGCATGAGCCACTGTGTCTGGACTGCTCTAACTTTAAATTCTTGGATTATTTCTTCTACTAGCCCAAATCTACTGTTAATAGATTTTAGTAAAGTTTTCATTTCTATTGTACTTTTCAGCCCTAAATTTTTCAATTGATTCTTTTATATACTTTGTATCTTTTCATGGTATTCTCTATTTCATGAGTTACTGTCATCATACCTTCGTTTAATTATTTAAACATAGTCTTTCATTCTTTGAACATGTTCATCATGCTGCTTTAAAGTCTTTGTCTACTTAGTCCAATATCTGGGCCCTCTCATTGATAGTTTCTATTACTTTCTTTAAAAAAAAATGAAACACCTAGTTGTGGGTCATGTTGTGAGTCACACTTTCTTTTTTTTTCATGTCTTGTAAACTTTTCTTAAAAACTTGATATTTTATATATTATATTGTTGCAACTCTGTACAATAATACCCTCCCTCTGAAATGTGGTGTTGTCTTCATTGCTATGTTTGTTTATGTTTAGTTATGTGGCTGGGCTAATTCAGTGAAGTGTATTTCCCCTGAATTGTACAGCCTCTAATGTTCTTGCTCATATTTTTTTCTTTTCTTTTTTCTTTCTTTCTTTTTTTTTTTTTTTTGAGATGGAGTCTCACTCTGTTGCCCAGGCTAGAGTGCAGTGGCACAAACTCGGCTCATTGCAACCTCCACCACCTGGGTTCAAGTGATTCTCCTGACTCAGCCTCCCGAGTAGCTGGGATTATAGGTGTGCGCCACCATGCCCAGCTAATTTTTGTGTTTTTAGTAGAGATGGGGTTTCACCATATTGGCCAGGCTGGCCTCAAACTCCTGACCTCAAGTGATCCACCTGCCTTGGCCTCCCAAAGTGCTGGGATTACAGGCATGAGCCACCACGCCCAGCCTAATTTTTTCTTAATTTTAAATTTTTGAACCTGACTTCCTAGGAATCATCCCTGCTTAACACAGATTAGCAGCCAGCCACTGATTAGTCAGAGTTGTCCCTAAGCCCCTGAACCAGTAAGTTTTTCACGCATTACATTTGGACCTGTGTGTGCCTTGGAGACACACAGGAAGTTTACAAGTTTGTTCCCTGCTCAGCCAGGGTCTAGTAGTAGTTCAGAAATTCCCTCTCCAGTGCTCTTCAGAAAGCACAATCTTGAGCATGCACCAGCCTTTTGGAACACCACAGATGACTGATTTTAGCAGGGCTGTCTTTGACTCTTTCCCTGATCTTCCCATGAGACTCCCGGATGTTCTGCCTCTGTTGGTGTCTCAACTGCCTGTTGATCTTGGCTGATATGCTAGCTGATGGTTCATTGTTTTCAGCAATGCCCTCTGGCATAAACTTCTCCACGCTCTTTTCCAGATAAAGTTGGGCCTATTGACAGGGACAGGGTATTACCAGTCTTTGAGGCTTGTTCTACTCTCCTCTAGGTAGAACATTTTTGCTATAAAGCAGGAGCTGGGAAGGGGGCGGTTGTGAATGAGGAGCTTGTGCCTCACAGATGCCCCACCTGGATCCTCCCTAGAGAGCAGAAGCTGTGGGGTTTGGGAGAGGTTGGGAATGGGCACTACTGCCCACCTGACACCATGGCCTGGTATAGATCTTCCTCAGCACACAGCCAGGGTGATGGGCTTGCCCAATGTTTGCTCCGAGTAGCTCTTCCCCAGTAAGTTAGGGGATATGGGGGCTGCCACTCAGCTGCTGGGCCCACCAGTACTAATCTTCCATAGCACAGAGTAGTGCTCACTGGGGGATGAACGCTGACTGACTCAGGTCCTTCTTACAGATTAGGCGCTGGGAGTGGTGGGATGGGGGCAGAGCCTGGCTTCCACCACCTACATGGTACAGGTTTTGGGAGCACAAATCTGTGAAAAAATGGGATCTTCCAGTGTTCAGCCACTGCTTTATCCACCAGAATACATCTTCACCCCAAGGAGTTGGGGGATTGGGAACTGCCACTCGGCTGCTAAGCCTCCTGGAATAGCTCTCCCACAAAAGGGAGGTGGATGGGGAATGAGTGCAGCTCACAGCCTGAACACCATGCCTATCTCTTGTTCTTACCAAGTTTCCATAAATTTTGTTGAGTAAATGGTTCTCAATTTGTTGTAAATTCATTGATTCATCTCCAGCATTTGAATGATTGCCTTTGCTAATTTTGATCAGTCTAATAGATGTCTTTCTGGGGAAGAGTTTCACCAAGCTCTTCCCATCACATTTCAGAAATTCTGCTCTGACTTTGTGAAGTGTCTGTTCATTTCTTTCACATATGTTTCTATTGAGTTGTCTTTTTGTTTTTTGTTGGTTTGTGGAGATGTGTATGTTGGGATATATATATTTCTATTTACATTTATATTTATGTAGTCTGCAACTAACCCCTTTGTTGGAAATATGTATTGTGACATATTCTTTCACTTTGAGGATTGCCTTTTTAATATCTTAATGGTGTCTTATGATAAATAAAAGTCCTAAATTTTAATGTAGTCATATTGCTAATGCTTTTTTGAGGACCAATGCTTTTTTATGGTTACTATATTGTTTAAGAAGTCTTTGCTATCTCAAATGTCACAAAGATATTTTCTGTGTGTTCTTCTGAACGTGCTTTATTTTATCTTTCACATATAGATCCATGACCCCTCTGGAATTGACTTTTGACTTGGCATCAGGTTTCCTGTTTCCTCACATGGATATTCCATTGACCTAGCATGTTTATTGAAAAGATCATCCTTTCTTCACCACACTACAATATCACCTTTATCATAAATCAGGTGGTAAATGTGTAAGCCTGTCCTGGCTCTCTATCATGTTCCACTGGGAAGTTTGTCAACCTCACTCCAAATACCAAATTGTTTTATTTACTATAGCTTCATAAAAAGTATTAATATCAGGTAGTATAAGTTCTCTAGCTTGTCACCGTCTCAAGATTGTCTTGGTGTCTGTGTGTGTGTGTGTGTGTGTGTGTGTGTGTGTGAAGTCAGCTTGTCAATTTCTGTGGGAGGAAAGCAGCTAGGAGTTTGATTGGGATTGTATTTAATGTATACGTTAACTTGAGGAAAATTAATGTCATTAATATATTGACTCTTCTGATCCATGAACATGGTACATTCTTTTATTTATTTTTATCTTAAACTTTTTGTCTCTCAAAAATGTTTTATAGTGTCTAGTGCAAAGGTCTTATATTATTTCTAGATAGTTGGTATCCTCGATGCTATTGTAAGTGGCTTCATCTTAAATTTTAATTTAATTTTTGTTTCTGCTCTATGGAAATATAATTACTTTAAAATATGCACCAGACAGATATCCAGAAACCCCTCCCCTCTCATTTTTTTTTAAAGTGTTGTGTATTTGTTTACCTCAGATCAAAAGGATTCTATTGGTCATCTTCTTCATTTCATGGTGTATTATCGTCATTGGTCCATATGAGGCCAATTTGGTTGGTTTGTTTTGTGCTCATCTCATTTTATCTCCATTTCCTCCCTACCCCTCATAGACAATCATTGTCATGCACTTCATGTCTATTTATCTGTTTGTTGGTTACTGATGTGTCTCTTCTTTTAGGCTTTGGAGGTTTCCCATGTGGCAAATTTATAGTTCATGTTCCTTGCCCACCTATTGCTGTTGCTCTTTATCTTGTTGATTTTTAGGATTATTGCAATTTTCTACTTGTCTCTATCTCAAAACAAAAGACCAAAACGGAAAACATGGGTCTTTTTGCTTCTGGCCATTCATTGGCTAATGGAGCTTGATGCTGTGACAGTGGCTGTCTTAGTCCATTTTGTATTGCTATAAAGGAATACCAGAGGCTGGGTAATTTATAAAGAAAATAGGTTTATTTGGGTCATGGTTCTGTGAGCTGCATAAGCATGGCACCAACATCTGCTTGTCTTCTGGTGAGGCCTCAGGAAGATTTTACTTATGGTGGAAGGCAAAGAGGGAGCAGGCATGTCACATGTCAAAAGAGGGAGCAAAAGAGAGAACTCACTCATCACCAAGGGGATGGCACAAAGCCATTCATGAGCGATTCATCCTCATGACCCAAACACCTCCCCCAAGTGGCACCTCCAACATTGGGGATTATGTTTCAACATGAGGTTTGGAGGGAACATACATACATACTATATCATTCTACCCCTAACCCCCCAAATCTCATGTCCCTCTCACATTGCAAAATACAATCATCCTTTCCCAATATTCTTCCAAAGTCCTAATTTCTTCCAAGCATCAACCTGAAGGTCCAAACTCCAAAGTCTCATCTGATACTCAAGACTAGTTCCTTCTAGCTATGAGTCTATAAGATCAAAAACAAGTTATTTATTTCCAAGATAAAATGGTGGTACAGGCATTAGGTAAACATTCCCATTCCAAAAGACAGACAGCCACCAAAAGAAAGGGACAATGGGCCTCATACATGTTTGAAGCCCAGCAGGGAAGACATTAAACCATAAAGTTCCAACAAAATCCTTGGCTCCATATCCCATATCCTGGGCACACTGCTGCAAGGGGCAGGCTTCCAAAGCCTTGGGCAACACCACTTCTGTGGCTTTGCTGGGTGCAGCTCATGTGGCTGCTCTCAAGAGTTGACATTTCATGCCTGTGGCTTTTCCATGCTGAGATTGCAAGCCTCTGGTGGCTGTATCATGCTGGGGTCGGGGAATGGGGTTCCATTCCCACAGCTCCATTGGGTACTGCCCCAGTGGAGACTCTGTATGGGGGATCCAACCCCACATTTCCCCTTGGCACTGCACCATTAGAGGCTCTCTATGGGGGCTCTGCCCCGAGGGCAGATTTCTGCATGGGCACTGAGGCTTTCCCATACATTCTCTGAAATCTAGGTGGAAGCTGCCAAGCCTCCTTCACTCTTGTGTTCTGTGCCCCTAAAGGTTTACACCATGTGGAAGCCACTAAGGATTATGGCTTGTGTCCTCTGAAATGGTGGTCTGAGCTATATCTGGGGCTCTTTGAGCCCTGGCTGGAGCCAGAGTGACCTGAATGCAGGAGAAGCATCCTGAGGCAGTGCATGGCAGTGGCACTCTGGGCCTGGCCCCCAAGACCATTCTTTCCTCCTAGGCCTCTGGGCCTTTGATGGGAGGAGGTGCCTACAAGATCTGTGAAATGCCTTTGAGGCCTTTTTTCCCATTGTCTTGACTATTAGCACTTGGCTCCGTTTCAGTTATGCAAATATCTCTAGCAAAGGTTTGTTCCACAAGACCCTTACATTTCTTGCCTGAAAACATTCCTTTCTTCTTTACCACATGGCTGGTCTGCAAATTTTCCAAATTGTCACACTCTGCTTTCTTTTAATTATAAGTTCCAACTTTAAGTCATTCCTTTGTTCCCAAATCTGATTGTAGGCTGTTAGGAGTAGCCATGCCATGTCTTGAACACTTCACTGCTTAGAAACGTCTTTTGTCATGTACCCTAGATTCTCACTCAAGTTCAATCTTCCATAAATTCCCTAGGGCATGAATACAATGCAGCAAAGTTCTTTGCAACCACATAACAAGGGTGACCTTTACTCCTAGTCCCAATAATTTCCGTATTTCCATCTGAGACCTCATCAACCTGCCCTTCACTGCCCATATTTCTATCAACATTTCATCACAACCACTTAATCAGTCTCTAAAAAGCTCCGAATTTTCACTCAACTTTCTGTCTTCTTCTGAGCCTTCCAAACTCTTTCAACCTCTGCCCATTAACCAGTTCCAAAGCCACTTCCTCATTTTCAGATATCTTTATAGCAACACCCCACCCCTAGTACCAATTTTCTGTCATAGTCCATTTTGCATTGCTATAAAGAAATACCAGAAGCTATTTAATTTAAAAAGAGAAGACGTGTATTTGGCTCAGGCTTCTGCAGGCTGTATAAGCATGGCACCAGCATCTGCTTGGCTTCTGGTGAGGCCTCAGGAAGGTTTTACTCATGGTGGAAGGTGAAGGGGGAGCAGGCGTGTCATATGTCAAGAGAGGGAGCAAGAGAGAACTCACTCATCACTAAAGGGATAGCACCAACCCATTCACAAGGGACCCACCCCCATGACCCAAACATCTCCCACCAGCCCCCACCTCCAACACTGGGGATCACATTTCAACATGAGATTTGGAGGGGACAAACATCTAAACCATATCACCGGCACACTGACTACAGCCATGTATGGGTGGGGAAAGTCCCTAAGTTAAAAATCATGGTCAGATTGTCCTGCAAGGGAATAACGTATGATAGTGCTATTTCTCCTTAGCCCGGGATCTGGCCTAATATCGCAGTGGTGGGAAAGGGCTTCCTAGGAATGGTAATATATGGAAATAGTAGCAGTAATAATACAATGGTTCTCTACAAATGTTACTATGTGCTACTGTCACTAATATGAGTTCAATAATTGGCATTCTTATGTTCAGATGCATCCAATTTGCAAAGCATTTCTAAAAGTCTACTCATGCTTAGTGCCATTTTAAGCTTTGTATACCAAGAGTCACATTGGCCTTATCATGGTGCCTATGTATTAAGTGAGGCCAGCACATGTGTAGATACATATGTTCCAGATTTATAAGCCTTGGAATAAAAGTGCAGCCCTGACATGCACCTGGGCCCTATAGCATGCAAACACATGTGGACTGTGGGAGAGAGGACACCAGGGAGCAGGCTCTGGGTGGGTTTATGTCCCATACTATACCTCTCATTTGCCTAATTATATTGGAGCTTAGTGTATTCTTCCCAAATCTTGCTCATGTATCCTCATGAAACGCTTTTGAGTTTTCATTTTATAGAGGTTAAGCCTTAAGATACAAATGGTCGTAGACACTCCTTCATTTCATAAGTACATATTAAGTAGCTACTGTGTTCCAGGCACAGTCCCAGGCAGTAGGGGTGAAAAGATAAAAAGCCACAGCTCCAGCCCTGCTCATTGTGGAAGACACCAAGCACCCCAGGAACAACTACACTGCATTGTGCATGACTGGTTTGAAATCGTTTCCTAAGAGCCAATTTTGATAACAGAGATGAGGGGAAAATACTGGATGACCATGAGCACCTGAGAAAGTGAAGGCTTCAGAGAGGGGAGGAAAGCTGTGGAGAGAAGAGTCTGGAGGCCCTGGAAGACACGTGCTGCATAATTTCCCACTTTCTCTTGAGCCAAAAATAGTCTCAATTCGTTGAGCAACCGACTAAGTATATCCAAATCAAAAAGATCAAATTTTTGCAATAAGCTCTACCAAGTCACATTTATTTTTCTGTCTGATGTACCTGACATCAAATAAACAGTTATTTTAAAAATTGGGTGCATCACAACACTATGACATAGCCAACCTTTAAAAAAAAATGAATGATTTATTTAAAAGGTTGAATGTGTCATACGAGCCTCTAAATCAGCAAGTGAAAAATCAGACATTCCCGCAGCTGGGTAGCCAGCGGAGAACAGACAGAGGAGTGAACATGGTGCAGATTAAATAGGATTTTCCCCCCTAGGAAATTAGGAAACAGTGTGGATATAGGACATTTCAGGCTGAAATTAAAATTACCAGAGTGTATGTTCTTTGCATTATCTTAAAGAATACATGTTCAAGCCTTAAACTTTGTTATGGTAAACACTTTGTTTGATAGTGATAAGCTTTTTGTTTCTTTACGTGTGATACTGTATTAGTTCATCGTCATGCTGCTGATAAAGACATACCCAAGACTGGGTAATTTACAAAGAAAAGGAGGTTTAATGGCCTCACAGTTCCACGTGGCAGGGGAGGCCTCACAGTCATGGCAGAAGGTGAAAGGCAGGTCTTACATGGCTGCAGGGAAGAGAGAAATGAGTGCCAAGTGAAAGGGGAAACCTTTTATAAAATCATCAGCTCTTGTGAGACTTAGTCACTACCACGAGAACAGTATGGGGGAACCGCCCCCATGATTCAATTACCTCCCACCGGGTCCCTCCCACAACACGTGGGAATTATGGGAGCTACAATTCAAGATAGGATTTGAGTGGGGACACAGCCAAACCATATCAGATACAATTTAGGTGTGTGCCAAGTCCTGTGTTTAGCTCTCAGAAATCTTGGGATGTTGATAGGCCAACCAGCAAATATGTTTGCTTGTATTCGTTTTATTTCTGCAATGAAACGGGGTAAAACTGCAGAACTTGGAGGTCCTGATGAGAGGTTTCTGTCTGTGTTTTGCCGTTCCCGCCTGCTCAACCCGGTGCCTGGAGAGGGAAAGGCTGTGACCCCGCAGGAAGAGCACTCCTGGGGCCAAGGAGACCTAGGGTCGCAGCCCCATCTGCCCATTTTTAGCTTGCGACCTTGAGCAGTCTTCTAATCTCTTGGGGTCTCCTCTTGTTCATGTACAAAACAAGCGGTTGGAGTCCTACTGCCCCTCAGGGTCCCAGCTGTTTGTAATGTTCAATTACCCGGCCCGTCTACTGTTGCTAATTGTAGGATCCATGTCCTGCTTGTGTTACTCGGTGTCGAGCACAGCGTGCAGGTGCTCCGTGGAAGCTCCGTGGAAGCTTGCTGAAATGTCCTGCTTGTGTTTTACTCCGTGGCGAGCACAGCGTGCAGGCGCTCCGTGGAAGCTCCGTGGAAGCTTGCTGAAATGTCCTGCTTGTGTTTTACTCCGTGGCGAGCACAGCGTGCAGGCGCTCCGTGGAAGCTCCGTGGAAGCTTTGCTGAAATGTCCTGCTTGTGTTTTACTCCGTGGCGAGCACAGCGTGCAGGTGCTCCGTGGAAGCTCAGTGGAAGCTTGCTGAAATGTCCTGCTTGTGTTTTACTCCGTGGCGAGCACAGCGTGCAGGTGCTCCGTGGAAGCTCCGTGGAAGCTTGCTGAAATGTCCTGCTTGTGTTTTACTCTGTGGCGAGCACAGCGTGCAGGCGCTCTGTGGAAGCTCCGTGGAAGCTTGCTGAAATGTCCTGCTTGTATTTACTCCGTGGCAAGCACAGCGTGCAGGCGCTCCGTGGAAGCTTGCTGAATGGCGTGGAGCAGAGAGGGGAGCCCCGGGTGAGTCCTGGGCTTCAGGCTAGAAAGGAGGCATGGGAATCGGTTGCAAATCTGTGCACTGGAGGAGCCAGTGGTTCCTGAGTGAACATGAGACGGGTTTCCGTTCAATTGAGGATGGGATTTGGAAGAGACCTCCGGGGAAAGATGGTCAGGATGCCTCGGATAAAGGCTGGGGAAGAGAGCTGAGGTTGGGACAGTAGACTTGGGAATCATTCACCTACAGGAGACAGGTGACAGCTTCCATGCAGAACAGAGGGGCAGCGTGCAGGCTCGAGGGAAACCCACCTTCCAGGGCAGGGTAGGGGAGGAGGAGGGCAGCGAAGCGGGAGGAGCCTGGGCCGCCTCTCCCTGTGCCAGTTCCCCTGCAGGCCCCTGATGCCCAGGAAAGCCTGGCCAGCACTCACCGCAGGGAGCCTGTCACTCCAGCCGGGCCCTGGGCACCCCAGCTGCAAAGAGGAAGATGCCTAGGAGGCTCTGACCCTTCCAGTGATTGGCTCCGGGTTCTGCAAGGTTCTTTTGTTCAACAGAAATGGTTGTAAGACAGTGCCTGGGAGGCAGCCTCTAGCCTCCATACCCAGAGGCTCAGAATCCGAAGGAGGTTCAGGGACTGCCCTCGGCTGCCTATCCCCAACTGGGACTCTAGGACTGGAGCACCCCCAGCCCCTGCCACCTGCCACAGGGGCTGGATGGGCCTGGGAACAAGAGGGGAGCCCGCCTCAGGTGTCAGGAGCCCTGAGGACATCCAGCCGCAAAGCCTTCCGAGGCCACCTCTGCCCTCCTGGCATCTGCGTGGCCTTTTCACCCTGTCGGGGTCCTTATAAAAATGTTTTGAAATGAAAATAAGAGAACACATCAGGAAGTGTTTTGAAAACAAAAATAGCATTTTCATACAGGATATTATCATAATTCAAGGCTAAGATGTCACAGCTATGAAGTACAACCCTATAGTTATGACATAGCCAGGGAATTATTATTGTAGTTAACAGAAAAAATTTCTGTCAGCAATGGGTTATGTAAGCAATGCATTAAGATCATTTCCTGTGATACTCCCTGCTCTCCTGGCTGAGGCAGGGTGAGGGGACCCGCAGCAGCAGTTACCCCGGTTTTTCCTTTCCAGCCCCTGAGCTTTTGTCTATGGATAAGTGTGAGCTTAGGCTGCTGAGGCCACACGGCCCAGGGAAAATCATGGAACCTGTCAAATGAAAGACGGGGTTGTCTCTAAGGGAGCAGAGAAAGAACTTCAGTTTTGGGAAACAGACTCAGCCTCTATGGCTCTGGAAGCAGATTTATTCTGCATTTCTCTTAGACAAATAGTAAAACTACAGACCACAAAATGAAGAACTTACAGAAGCTGCCCTGTGATGAGCCCTGCGCTGAGCCCTGCGGGTCTCCTGTTGGGGAGTGGAAGGCTGTGTTTTCTAACACTGTTCTCCCGTGCTGCCCTCCACGCAAGCCCCAAGGGCGGGTCTTCCAGACTTTGCCCTGGGTACTCCGCTCTCCCGGTGGGCCTGTGGCCTGGAGAGCCTCTGGCCTGGAGAGCCTGCATCCTTCGAGCTTTCTGGCTGAGCTGCATCAACTTCGTCGAGGGTCCCAGCCGGCCCCCCACCCATTCATTATACCAGGACCCTGGCAATGCCATCCCCACCCAGTCACCCACAGCCTCCAGTGCTGCTGGGCCACCCATTTGCTAGACCTCCTGTTTCTATGGGTGCTTGGAGCCCACGTGGTGGGTTTGATCTTTTGCATCAGGAGCGGTCGCATGGCTTCTGCCCTACTGTTGTGTATTCTTTCCGTGATCTGTGACGCGCTCCCAGCTCAAACCCCCTCTGCCACCCGCGTTTCCCTCTCCAGCCAGATCACAGCATCTTGGTCCCCTGGTGCTCTGCCAGTAATCAGGGGAGTTGCCCAGTGAGGGGATACGATAGGGTGGGAGGGGCACAGCACCTGACTAAGAGGGTCTTAGGCAATAGGGAAAAACTGCTCAGACGCCATGGAGCTGGTACAGCTGTGGGGGTGGCCACTGCTGTTCCCTGCGCCGTCTGAGTTCCCCGTGACTAGCTTCCTACTTTGTGTCCTTGTGATCGTCATCTCAGGCCACACAATGGCTCAGTGGTTCCAGACATCACACTCTCCTGGCAGATGGGACACGGAGAAGGGGCAGGTCCTTCAGAGCCCTGTCATTTTATCGGGTAAGGAAATCTTTCAGAACTGGGTCACGTGCCTGGTGCTAGATCAGTCATTGACAAAGATTACCTCGTTTCAAATAAACTAGCTCTAATTCACTCCTTGGGACTGGAGGAAAGGGCTCACCTAACCTGGTATCAAGACATCTGTGCCCGATACCGGAACACAGCCAGGATCTGTTAGTAGGCAACGGGGTCCACCATGACCCCGTGTGGACCCCACTGCGTGGACACAGCAGCCGCCCCATTCCTTCCTCCTTCTCTTCCGACTCTCTCTGTGGCTCCATCTGTCTCTTGTTGACTTATTTGCACAGTCCAGGTTGGCTCTGCCCAGGCCACATCCTAGCCTGGGAGTTGATGGGACACCCAGGACAATGAGCTCCCCCAGCCCAGAATTCACAGCTGCACAGAGGGATCCCATATGCATGGGAGGGGGCAGGTGGTTCCATCTGAGTTGGCCCCCCGGGAACCTCGGGCCTCACCTTTCCCAGCACAAAGCCCTCCCAGCCACTGTCTTCCTTCTCCTTCACGCTGCTCTGTTAACACCAGATGCCAGTCAGGGGCTCGGTGTGCATGGAGCATGTTCAGCAGTTACTGCCAGAGTTAGCATCCACGTGCTCTCAGATGATTGCCAGACCAGTGAGACAGAAACTCCATTTCCAACATCTCCTTCACAGTTCGAGGCAGCGTGAGGTGGTGGGAAACGCCCTGCACCAGGGACCACCAGCCCAGCAGCCTCACTCCCGCCAGCCCAGCAGCCTCACTCCCGCCAGCCCAGCACCCTCATTGGCTGAAAACTCCATTTTGCCATCTGCAAAACAAGGGGGAAGAATTAGAATTGCAGGATTCCTTTCAGCTCCGATATTGCTTCTTCTGGTGAGTCTGCTGCTTGCACATGGCTGGTTCTTAATAAATGTCCAAGGAATGATGGGGATGGGAGGTGGGGGAAGAAGAGGTTTGGTTTTTGGAGGAGAGGGTAGTAAATTTACTGTAGCCCCGTCACAAGCCAATAAATACGGTCCTTAGAAACATGTCTGGGCCTTGATTATCTCTCTCTGGAGGGTAGGAGAGATTTCCCGATTCCTATCGTGTGCTATGCATATTTATAGTATTATTTACAAACTCTTCACCACGGAGCATTTCCCTCTCAACTCTTGTGTCTGAGCCCAGTGAGTCTCGCAGGGCCTCCCTGCCTCCACCGAGGGCCAGGCATTTCCATGTCTTCTCTCTGGCTCCCAGCTCTGCCTCTTTGGTCTGTCTGCCTGCGTTGTTATGCCCCAGCAGTGTAAAATATTTATTTTATTTGGTTACCTAACGATATTAGAAATGCAGTGTGCATTATTTATCCTCGGCCCTTGGAGACGGCCTTTGGGGCCTGGTGCCGCTCTGCAGCAATAAGTGTGCACGCAACTCTCTGTGCTGTGCTTATTTTGTTTACTAGAGAATTTAGTACAGGTGGAGGGGCAGGGAGACTTCACCTTCCTCCTGGGAAGAGTTTTCATCAGGTTGTAAAGACGTAAATTTAAGTGTGCAGCAGGGCCGCGGGGAGCCAGCATTTCCATTCGAATTGGGATGACTCCACTCAGTCCCCGAAACCTGGGGAACAGCGTCCAAGGTGGCATCAGCAACTCCAAAGGCCAGCCCTGCCGGTTGAGCCTGCCCATTGTCAACCAGAGGGTGCCTGCAGTTTGGTTCCTATCCTGGCTATGGTGGGTGGAGGCCCGGAAGCCACTATCCCCGACCCCAGCCAGCTCCTCCCATGGGCCTCCCTCACTTCTCCATCGGTTTGATCCAGAAAAAAATGCTGTGCACACATTGCTGCAATATTGTTTTTTTCTCTCCCCACCCAATATTGAAGCCTCTTGGCCGATGGAGTCATTGGTTTATGTTCAGGGAGACAGAGAGGAAGTCAGAGGCTGTCTCTGAATTATGTGCCTGGACTTACCGATATGCTTCTGCGATGCAAACACTCCTGATTTATTCTCTGCAGCTGGAGCCTGACCTTTTACTCTTGTTCTTCTCCCCTGGGGCTCTTGAAGCAGCAAACGTCTTTCCATCCTGACCTGTGTGCAAGGAGACAGGCCCCTGATCCTAGGCGTTCCGGAAGCTTCCATTTTGCTTGTGATATTGGAGAATCCTGTTGTCTCAAAGCCTTCCAGCTTTTAGAGGCTCTGGGAAGCCTTCCTCTTCCATATTTCAACCTGGAGAATGTTGCAGAACAAGGCTCCAACGCTTGGTAGTGTTTCTAGAAATAGAAACCCGGGGGCAGCTCTGCAGATGGCAGCGTGACCAGTTCCACTAGAGAAGTGGACGTGTGCGCAGTGGATTTGCAGCCCCCAGAGGTGTGCTCCGCGTTCCCTCCGCTCTGCACTTTATGGCTGTCCAGCTCCCTGAGGCATTGGATGGGGTCTGCTATTTCCTAAGGCGGCATCTTCCTCCTGGACAGTCCCATGAATGCATGTAACTCCACACTGGGGCCCAGGAAGGCCGCAGAAGGAGGAAGAGCCAAGCCAGGGGAGGAGGGAGAGGGAGGCTGGGGAGCGCCCCTGGGCCCATCACTGGTGAAGGTGCAGGCAAGAGGATGAGCCCCGCAGATCACACAGGAGCCACACCTGGCACTGTTTCTGTGGTGATGGTTGCTTTCTTGTAAAGAGTAGGATGGGTTTTCTGCACTCCTGGGGGCTTCACCAGTGAGCCAGCAGATGCTGGCTGGCTGCTTATGGGTGCTGGCCACTCACCTCATCATTCCTGGGCCAAATTTCCCAAAGCCAAATGGCTTGGGAATGAGACCATTCGATAAAAAGAATAAAGATTTTGGGTGAAAAATGGATTATTAATTCAAGCTGCACCCTCTGTCCCAATAATAAATTACCCAGCATTAGGGAAAACAGGCTGCTAAATTAAAACGAATATGGGAAGGTGCTGGGTGCCCGGTCCGGCGTGGGGTACCGCTCCCCCCTCGCCCCCAGCCGGCTGCTCCCTGGTTGACAGTTTCTGCAAGCCCAAACTGACAGCTCTTCAAAACCTGCCCAAGAAACCCAGCATTAATTAAGTCATTGCTGGACTGTAATTTCCTTGAGAAGTAAAAAATTCTCACACAAGAAAAGGTTACAGAGACCTTTTCTGTGTCAAAATTACCATGCGGCATGAATATTAATGCTCTTAATGAAGACAACCTTTTTTTCATCAAGAAGGTTCTGGAGCAGGTGCCAAACCTGAAGTCTCACTCCGTGGGTTTTATAGTCTCGGGAAATTGGCACAGTGCAATTTTTCCATGAAAGCCAACATTCCCGCCACAGCCACGCCCCTCCTGGTCTGTCCCCAACCCCACTGGCCACCTCTTCTCTAAGGTGTTGAGGACAGGGGACTTGCTTGGAATCAAAGGTGTGATTCAGCCTGTCAGTGGTGCTGGGACAGAGAGGTAGGGACGACCAGTAGCCTGGCTTGTGCCCCCGGGTTGCACAGGCCATTCCACAAGGCGGGCAGTATCTGCATCCCTGATTGTCCTCAGGACACATTCGGATGCTGCTCCAAGGGAGACAAAGACCAGAGTCGACATGATGGCCTCCTCCAAACGCTTCACTGCCCTTGTTGCAGGGACACCCCCCAGCTAGAGGACACTGATGGCCCTGCTGGCCCCAGGGGTCCCCTGAGGGTGTCACCTGCCTCAGCCCTTGCAGGCGACTGGAAAAGCTGGTAAAGGTGCGGCTGGGCACCTGCTGGGAGGGGCCTTGATGGGGAGGGGTTTGCGGGTCTGGGTCGGACCCCAGCAGCTCTTCCTGTTTTTCCTATTCCAGGGGCAGCATCCAGGGAGTTTTCAATGTCACTGCACTTTGATTTTTTTCTCCCGGAAAACTAAGATGCTCTCTTCCCCTTGCTCAACCCCTTTAGATCTGGGGGGATGTGAAGAGGGGTAATTTGGAGCTTGTGCTTGTCAGTGGAGCATTTCAGTACCTCTACTAAGAGAGACTCACAGTGTAAACACTATTATTAATAATAATTCAAGGAAATGTTTGACTGCATCTTTTTTGGTCCTTGTTTGTCACTGCCCCATTTTTCTGTGCCTTCATTTTATGAAGATACTGAAAACAAAAACAAACACGCTGGTCCCACACCTAAGGGTTGTTTCAGTGCCGATGAGAGGTTTGGGTGATCCCCCCAGGGCGATGAAATCACAGGTGCCCAGATGAGAAGAGATGATTTATTAAAGCAAACTTAGGAACTAACCATTTACTTAGAAGTTTATTCTGCATTGCGAATGCACAGTGTGACGGTTGCAGCCTCCAGGGTGAATCATGTGAGCCTCCGAGCAGCCCCGGGAAGCACCTGCAGACGGGGAGCAGGTGCCCTCGGCAGCACAGGTGGAAGCAAGGACCCATGTGCCACTCCCTGCCCCCCAAAGTCATGGGATAGATCATCTCTGTAATTGCATCTCCCTTCATTTTTTACCTATTAGTCATTTGTGACGTAATAAAAGCTATGGCTAAGCAGTAATAATAAATCTGGCCGCTTCTGTTGAGCCATCTAATACCCTGTGTATATTTAAAAGGTAAGCATGATATATAGTTATGAGTGCTGATGTAATAGCTATTAGATTTATAATACAGCCAAGAGGCATTATTTTATTATAAAGAGCAATAGTTTACAATCTTATTATTGTTTATTACTGACGTCAGTATAGGTCCATAACAAAATCAGGTTGCAACCAGAAATAAAATTCATAAATGTCATCAGTTTTGCCAGGAATTGGCGCCTCTTTGGACCCATGGCAATTTTGGAGGCAGGTTCACCATCACCCAGGTGCGAAGTCCACGGCCCACCTGCTGACACGGCACCTTTGCACTTTCATTTTGTTATTGGGGAAACCGAGAATAGCATGTCTCCAAGTCCTGAGAAGATTTTGCAATAGAAGACTTACAAGGAACCAGATGAGAATGAGTGTGGGTGCCTACCACAGGCAGACAGAGGCCCCGGCCTGCAGCTCTGCTCCTGGGAAATGACCCCAGGGGAGGAAGTGAGCATTGGCAGGAGCGTGGGGTCAGCACTGTGCTGTCTTCCTTGATTCCAGGTGGCTGAGCCAGGCGAGAGTGCCAAAAGTGAATCCTGTGTCTCTCACGGCTCTACGGGCTGGTTTTCCACCAAACTTTCCCAAAGATGTTCATTTCTCCTGGAAAAAAGGAAACTTAGAATTGTGACCGTCCAAATCAGGGCATGTCAGAAAAATTAAACCACACCGCCTGGCACACGTCTGTGAGCCCATCCACTGGTTTTTATCACTCAGGGGCTCTGCTGTTTAATGTCACCAGTGCAGGCCAGTGGAATTCCAGCCTTATTAGGGAAAGGGTCTGGACTGCTGAGTTGAACACCACAAGGGGCTGGACCTACCCGGTTGAGGGCCATGCCCAGGGTGGATGGAGGGCGGGAAGTTAGGACTTGAAATGATGATGTGTTAGTTCAGGGTGAGCCACTCTTGAAAAACAATCATTTTATTTGCAGCAAAGGAACACATATAGTTACTTTCTCAAGATTTCTCATTGTTTCTGAAGCCTGCTAGACAATAGTGAAAAAAAATTACATGTATCAAAATATATACTTGAAATCTACAAAGTCCTTCCATGGGGCAGCTGGGTAGAGTCATCCTGAGAGCTGAGCTTCTAGCTGTTCCCCTGCCTTGTCTGTTTGGGATTTTGCTTGGGATCTTTTAATGCCAACCCAGTGAATCCCAGGAGCGTGAAGATGAGACATGGAGTTGTTTGGTCAAAGCCACATGTCCTCAGCAAGTTTCTTCTCTGCACCCCGCATCACTTGCAGCAAGAGAAGTTCCTCTGTCATGGGACGCTCGTGCGGTTCTCATCCTTCTTGCCTGGATGATGGTGAGCGCCCCGAGGCCAGGTGTGCCTCTGACCTTCTCACCTGGACGATGGTGAGCTCTCTGAGGCCAGATGTGCCTCTGACCTGCACACCTCAATGATGGTGAGCTCCCTGAGGCCAGGTGTGTCTCTGACCTTCACACTTCAATGATGGTGAGCACCCTGAGGCCAGGTGTGCCTCTGACCTTCTCGCCTGGATGACTGTGAGCGCCCTGAGGCCAGGTGTGCCTCTGACCTGCACACCTCCAAGACGGTGAGCTCCCTGAGGCCAGGTGTGTCTCTGACCTTCGCATTCCCCTGCAGTGCTTGCTTTGCACATGGCAAGGGTTCAGTGAATGAAATGTGTGCATGTATTTTCATGTCAGGCTTTGTCTGAAGCACCCACCTTCTCATGGGAAGGCAGGATGATGACCACCTTTGTGTTCTCAGGCTGCAGTTGCTCCAGCCAATCTATGGACCACCCCATTTCCACCAAGTCGGTGAAAACACCGTCCTAGTCATTGAATCCAGCAGGCAGTGTTTCTGCATTTTGGTGCCCATTTAAATTCACAGTGACCACACACACACATGGGCCAGTCACATACTGCAAAACATCTTCAGTGCTTTCCACCCCTTAGCAACAACTACACAGTCCATAGAAATCGCTAGGGCCTTGATTTCCCTTTGGGAAAACCAGAAGCATTATATTGCAGCCTATGGAGCCTGGTTTCTATCCTCATGACCAACTTTCCACTTGGAAATAAATAGATGACAATGACCAAACACAGCCCCTCAAATAGCAAGTCCTCCATAAATGCTTGTCGAATTAAAGTAAAATGAATTAGTCAGTTCCATTTGTACAAAAATAACAAGTAAGTGCCTTGAAAATAGCCAAGCAATCGGCTCGGGAGTGGGAGCCATGGAGGGTGTGGTCAAGAGGAGCCACATAACTGGACTCAGGGCAGGGGACTGGACACAGCCATTGGGACTTCTTGCTTAAGAGTCACTGCCAGCTCCTTGGGGAGTCCCTTTGCTTCCTCTTCTTCAGTGTTTCCTCACTCTCCCCACAGCCAGAGTGGCTGTGCCTGGTACCCAGTGAGGCTTTTGCTCACCGAGCCCTGGGTGGGTGTGGAGTGGCCTGGGGAATGTGCTCACACAATCCCACACAGGGATATAACATTCTGAGCGTGTTGACTGGTACTATCCAAGATTTAATAATCATGAACTCCACCCAAACTATGCATGCTATAAAATGGCATTTTTAATATCACGGACCTGGTGACATTTACACACCACTTGAACTTTACTTCAGTGGTTTATATATTACCATCCACGATCCTTTAGAAGTGTGGCTTCAAAGTAGTTTATTCTCTGCCTTAGAATTATTTCTGGACTTTGATACAATCGCGTTTTGAAGGCCTCCAATAGTTTTAAGCTCCTCATAATAGTTACCATGGAATATTCTATTTCAAGGTGATGCTAAGGCATGCAGTAATTTTCAAAACCATAAACCACAGAGCAGTGTTTCCATACATCCACTAGAGGTAATAAAATAAAGACTTCCCACTTCCATGAGTCTTTAGAATTAGATCTAGAGAATCATTCCAATGACACAGCAGAGCGGGGCTTCCTTCCAGCCTCACCCCAGACTCTGACTGAGGAGAGTGATGTGGTTTGGCTCTGTTTGGCCCCACCCAAATCTCATCTCTAGCTGTGGTCCTTAGTGTTGGAAAAGGGGTGTGCCCACCCAAATCTCATCTCGAGTTGTGGTCCTTAGTGTCAGAAGAGGGGTCTGGTGGGAGGTGATTGGATGATGGGGTGGACTTCCCCTTGCTGTTCTTGTGATATTGAGTGAGTTCTCACGAGATCAGATTGTTTAAAAGTGTGTGGCACTTCCCCCTTTGCTCTCTCTCTCAGTGCCATGTGAAGACGTGCCTGCTTCCCCTTCACCTTTCTGCTATTATTGTAAGTTTCCTGAGGCCTCCCCAGCCATGCCTCCTGTACAGCCTGCTGAACTGTGAGTCAATTAAACCTCTTCTCTTTATAAGTTACCCAGTCTCAGGTAGCTCTTTATAGCAGTGTGAGAACTGACTAATACAGTAGAGCTTGCATTTTCCACAAAGGCCCAAGGTTGGTGGCCAGAATTGCCAGGTATCCCCTGTTGCTGCTGGGACCCAGCTGCACAGCACAGCCTCCCAACTGTGTCCTTCATTTGTGGGGCTCAGAAGCAGCAGAACATCCTCATCTCACCAAGCCCGTTTCTTCCCCGAGGGCAGACTCTGTGTGGCAAAGACAGTGTCCCTGTGATGACCCTGCCTAGACCACACACCATCATCTATCTTGCCTCTACAGCAAGCAGTCGGGATAATAAATACAGTCCCAACGGGGCCACTCCCCAGCTAGACTGAGAGCCCTGGAGGACAGGTTTGGGCTGGGTGTGTCACACACAGGCACTAACAAGGTGCCTGGCTCCCAGCAGACCACCGGGCATGCTTGCTCTGTGTTATTCGTTATAATCGCACATCTTCCATGGCAAAATATGAGGCTGCTGCATGTTCCTGCGTGTGAGATGGAAACAGTGATCCCTCAAATTACTCGTGCATAAAGCCTGCTGTTTGCTTGGAGCCCATAGGCTGAAGGTCTGCAGATGATGACGCTGAATTTTACCTCTTCCATGCCTGCCTGAAGTCAGTGGTCAGAAAAAGAGAGAAAAAAAGTCCGTTTGTTTTTCTGCTGGTGGTGCACAGGCTGCCCTGCATCTACGTCTGCCACCTGTGGGGCACGCTTCCAGAGAGGGGTCCAAGACTGCTCCTCAGGTGGCCTGCTAAGTGCTACCCACTTCAGGACAGTTCCTGAGCCCAGAATTAAGTCCAGGTCTTCTGGACATGAGCCCCGGGGATGCTGTGAAACACCCCCACCCTCTGAATAACATCCTCCTCTGCACACTGCTCATTGCCCCGCCCACAGCCTGTAGCTCCAGCTGCCCTCGTGTTGCAGGCCTGGCTCTGGGGCGGGGGGGGTCTCATCTTTTTCACTGTTGGCTTTAAGGAGTACATGCATCTACATGCTTTATGGCTACACACACAAGCTCACGCTTATTGCTACAACTCCACTGCCTGTCCTGGAAGAAAAGGGAGGGCAGGTTGGACTGCTGAGGGAGATGACGAAGGGCAGAGTGTGTCCCTGGTGTGCCCATCCTTGTCACTCATGGCTGGTAGCCATGGAGGGTCCTGACTGCACTTGCAGGGGCTGCCTGGGGGGCGCTGGGCATCCTGTGCAACCAGGCTGGTGGGGACAGAGACCTCGGACCCATGCTGCTACCTCACTCCACCCTCCCACCCCATCTATCAAAAATGCATATTCAAACTCAGATCCACCTTGGTGACAGCATTCCAAATGGTTTCAATTGGGGTCAATGGGCTCCTCTTTCAGGTAAGGCATCTGGTGTCCACCTATGGAGCCAGTTACCCATGCCTCAGGTGAAGGGAAACTGGGCAGGAAAATTCCCAGGGAGTGTCTTCCAGCCACAGAGGCAGAAGCCAAGGCAGTGGCAGGCACTGCAGCTCCCAGGACTACAGCTCCCAGGATTACGGCTCCTAGGATTCAGCTCCCAGGATGACGGCTCCCAGGATGACGTGTGTGGAACAGGCCAGCAAGTGAGAAGGGCCCACAAAATGGCACGGCTGGAATCTGCAGGTGGAGGCGACTCCAGTCTGGGTGCATGGTGTCTCTGTTACCTTCAACAGTCCACAGGGATGCTCTGGGGTCCCTGCTTCCTGCCCTGGGATTTCAGATGGCTCTTGGGCCACTCATGCAGCACTAGAAAACTCTGTGTGACTCAACCAAACGTGGTGGTTTAAATATAATGTTGGTAAAAACATTGTATTTCTCTAAACATTAAGGCCGTTTCTCATAACAAAATCAAAGCCCTACATACATGATTGTTGATGTCATGTTTGGAAGCACAATCCATTAAACGTGGTGTGTGTTGTCATTTAGGGCTCAAAGGAGAAGTAGAGTGAATTGTGGAAAGAGAACTGCCCTAAGAAATGAAACTCTTGCTCCAGTCCTGGCTCTGAAATGCTCCCTGTGACCCCAAGCTAGTCGTTTCACTTGGGGTGATCAATTCCAAGATGAGGAGGATAATTTCTAGACTCCCCCAACAATGCAGCCTCAGAGTGTGACAGTGACCCTGAAAGCTGTAAAACTCGAATCTGAGATTCAGGATAGGGACATGGAACAATGGATCAGAACACGCATTATTCTATGGAATTCTAAGAAATGCCCAGAATCCTAAAAAAAGACATCTTAGACTGGGAAGAATGATGAGCTTATCAATCAGTGATTTGGGGACAACTAGATATCCATTTGGAAAGTATAAAATTAAATTTCCTTCTTATCCTTCACACAATGATAAATCTAAATATAAAAAAAATACTAAAAAATAAGGGGAATTACATTTAATGTTAGAGAGAAGGGCTTTCTTAGCATAGCACCAAATTGAATCAGTGAGAAAAAGTTTAAATCTCTACTAGCAAAGAACGCCGAGAAAACAGTTATAACATAAATGACAAACTCAAAAAATACTTGCAGCATGTTACAAAGAGTTAATATTCATACTATATAAGGAGCTTCTATAAATCAATAAGAAAAATGCAGAGCTCAATGGAAAAATGAACTGCCAATGAACATGTAAAAATATGAGTAACCTCATTAATGCCATAACAAACATTAATGTTTTGCGCGCGCACACACACACACACACACACACACACACACACACACACACATTGCTTTGCAGGCAGGCAGAGATGAAAAGGGTGATAATATCCATTGTTTGCAAGGATATAGAAAACGGTTATGTTTGTAGGCTGTTGGTGGGATATTGTTGCAACTTCTTTTGGCAAGTAAGTGAGCTATATCTGCCCAAGTGTATGCACGCCCTCTTTTTTGTTAAAGGCAAAAAAAAAAGTTATACATGTCCTCATAAATACTACATTTATAATTTTTAAAGTAGAAGAGATATTCTAAGTTTGCTGGATGAAAAATAAGATTTTCTGTTTTGGTTTCTATAACCATTTAGGTACTCATTTTAGGAAAACCCAATATATGAAAAACCAAAATGTAAAGCTGCAATTAAATAGAGGTCGTTTATTTGGTGTACTATGTGGTCCACAGTGAAGCCCTTACATAACACCCTGAGACGGCCTGAGATCACGCGGTTTTGAGTCACTGCCAACTTTTAATGCTAAAATATTAAAAGTTACTGCCCATGAAAATAAATCCAATGTGAAGATAAAGCTTTGTTTAAACTTTTATGCAAGTCAAAACTCAATTTGTACATGATTATCAAAAGCATGTGACTATACATTTCTCATCCCTCTTAAGCACATTGCAAGATCTACTGGCTTGGTCTCCATCATCAAGTATACCATGGGATGTAAAAAGTTGTGCCTACGGGTCGGGCGCGGTGGCTCACGCCTGTAATCCCAGCACTTTGGGAGGCTGAGGCAGGCAGATCACTAGGTCAGGAGATGGAGACCATCCTGGCTAACACGGCAAAACCGCATCTCTACTAAAAATACAAAAAATTAGCCAGGCGTGGTGGCAGGTGCCTATAATCCCAGCTACTCGGGAGGCTGAGGCAGGAGAATGGCATGAACCCAGGAGGCAGTGAGCCGATATCGCGCCACTGCACTCCAGCCTGGGCGACAGAGCGAGACTCTGTCCCCCGCAAAAAAAAAAATGTGCCAAGGTTTGGAGACTTTTCCAAACAACTCTCTTCATGTCTAAAGGGAAGGGTTTAGAGCAGCATGCTTTCCTTCTTTAGACAGCCATCCATCTATTTGTCTGTCCACCAATTAGGATTTATCGACGGCCTGTGGTAGTAAGGCTGGTGCTTGGTACTGAGGGAGAGAGAGTAGTTAGGGGGACAGGTTCTGTCCTCAAAGGAGGCTGTAGTCTCCTAAGGAGATGTTATCTTTATACCTGACAGCACATGCGTGTTTCTGGCAGCATGCATGCTGCAGTGCTTTAGAACAGGGCTCAAGATTTTCTTGAGAGGGCCAGAGAGTAGACATTTTAGGCTTTTCAGGCCAGAGGGTCTCTGTCACAGCTACTCAACATTGCCATCATACCATGAAAGCAGCCATAGAAAATGCACAAGCACATGAATGCAGCTGTGTACCAATAAAACTTTATTTACAAAAACAAGTGATGGGCCACATTGGCCAATGGGTTGTAGTTGGCCATGCTTTAGAAGGTTAGAGACAGGAGTCAGCTGGAGCTGGGGCCATGTGGAAAGGCATTATGAGGAGTGCAAGAGCTGGGCTGGGTCTCAAAGATGAGATGATTAGGGAAAGTCAGGACATGTAGAAAACCCAGTGTGGAGAGAGAAAACGGAGCACTGACAAGGGCAGGTGCACCCTAGGGTTTGGGGCAGTAAACAGCTCAGTTAGAAGGGACGAACCATGGCAAGGTGGCTTGGGCCCCGTGTTGGGGAGGGCTGGCTACCCAGACTGACCAGATTTTCTTTATCCATCAAGCTAGCGGGTTGGAAACATTTTTTATTTTTAATTTTTATTTATTTATTTATTTATCTATTTATTTATTTATTTATTTATTTATTTTTGGAGACAGAGTTTTGCTCTTGTTGCCCAGGCTGGGGTGCAATGGCGTGATCTCAGCTCACCGCAACCTCCATCTTCCGGGTTCAAGCGATTCTTCTGCCTCGGCCTCCCGAGTAGCTGGGATTACAGGCATGTGCCACCATGCCCAGCTAATTTTGTATTTTTTAGTAGAGATGGGGTTTTGTCATATTGGTCAGGCTGGTCTCAAACTCCTGACCTCAAGTGATCCACCCACCTTGACCTCCCAAAGTGCTGGGATTACAGGTGTGAGCCACCATGCCCAGCCTGGAAACATTTTTTAAAGGAGGCAAAATTATTTTCAAAATAACTCTTATGATGAGACCTGGTATAAAAATGAAGAAATACAGAGCTTCTCTGAATAGAGTGGAGTATCTGGCAGTGGGGGCTCTGAGCTGTGACTCCTTGACCATCACCTCCCCTAGAGGCACTTCTAGGGCCTGCTGGGGCAGGGGACCACAGCCATAAAATCCTCCCATAGACATTGAGGATCGCTGGACATTGTGGAGCCAACAGAGGGGCGTGGCCAGAGAGTGGGTTGAGCAGGTGGGTCTGAATCCTGGAGGGAAGTGACGCTACTTAAACGAATGCCTCTCACAAAAAGTCAAAGTCATCCATAAAGCAGTCCTGCTGAGGCCCAGACACGGAGGCAGGAATGGTAAGCGGAGGACAGCCGGGGCGCTGCTCGCTCACGTCTGGAGGGGCTGCAGCTTTCGGGACTGGGACAGGGGTCTTTTGTGGATGGGAGAAAACATCACAGTCATCGCTTAATCAAAAGCGGCATTTGTGACAGGAAGAGAAAAGATCAACTTGACACCAGACTCAAATGACTGGACACTTTCAAAGTAGCAGGACCTGAAAGCAAACCCCCCAGTACCAAAAGAGCTCCTTTGGGCACTTGGAGAGCCCCTACATGTTAGTTCTGAGAAGTTATTGATTTTATAAGCCCAGATGACTGATATCGCACAAAGCTGCAGCATCATTGAGAAATCCTGCCTCTGCCCCTTCTTATCTATGCAAACCTGGGTAAGGAGCAGCCACTCAGAGGCTCAGTTTTCTCATCTAGAAAACCCACACTGCAGGATGGGAATGATGACCAAACGGGCGAGGCTCTTGGGAAGCCCCAAGTTCAGCTCCCGGCTCACAGTAAGAGTGTGATCCCTGTGGTGGTTGTCATTAACGAAGCCCACCTGGTGAACCTGGAAATTTCAGTCATGTTTGCTGCTGAGGGAAAATGCACACCATTCCTTTGCTGTACCTACATGTGCTTTGTTGTAGGACAGACCACACCAGCCAAATTGGACTTTCTCGATAGACTGTTCTTGGGAGCCTACTGATACCTCGCTGAACTGCAGGAGGCTTTTGGTTCAAGTTCATGGAATATTTTCATCCACAATCTGGAAGATCTCTGGCAAATCTGTGGCTTCCTCTTCCACCAGTGGCAGGCATTACTTGCTGATCTCAGAGTTCCTCCTGGCTGTGCCAGGATGTGCTCTCAGAGTCCTTCTTAACACATCGCTCCAGGGGACTTTTATCTGTCAATCAGAGGTGATCAGAGGCAACCCTTGCCACTGATTTGCCATTCTTGGTCTACAAAATGGAAGTTGGGGTGAGGACTTTCCTGAACCAGGCTGATTTCACGCAGGCTTCACCCCGTTGCTGTTCTAAGCACTGCTGCTCACCAGGATTTCCTTGCACTGCCTGCACTGGTGCCACTGAGCATCTGAGAACCAATGGGTAAGGAGCAGAGGGGCACGTAGTCAGTCAGTGCATTACAGTTTCTCTCTCTTTCTCTCTCTTTCTTTCTTTCTTTCTTTCTTTCTTTCTTTCTTTCTTTCTTTCTTTCTTTCTTTCTTTCTTTCTTTCTATCTTTCTTTCTTTCTTTCTTTCTCTCACTCTGTCACCCAGGCTGGAGTGCGGTGGCATAATCTCAGCTCACTGCAACCTCTGCCTCCTGGGTTCAAGTGATTCTCCTGTCTCAGCCTCCCAAGTAGCTGGGATTACAAGTGCCTGCCACCATGCCTGGCTAATTTTTGTATTTTTAGTAGAGATGGGGTTTCACCACATTGGCCAGGCTGGTCTCAAACTCCTGGCCTGATGTGATCTGCCTGCCTCAGCCTCCCAAAGGGCTGGGACTACAGGTGTGAGCCATAGCACCCGGCTGGATTATAGTTTCTAAGATCATTGGCAAAAGGTTACATCAGGCTGGTGCCTCGGTGAGCCTGAGAACACAGCAAGGTTCCTGCTCAGCGTCTCTCCTTGGTAATCTTTCTTGTCTCTCCCTGTCACTGCCCTCTTCATTGATGGGTATCAATTTCCTCATCTACAAATGGAAGAAATCATCTAGGTCAGTGATTTTCAAATGTCTATAGCCACAGCCTTCTTCATTCAAGTAGCCTGTGGCTTGGTGTATTAGTGTCCTAGGACTGACAGGACGAAGAGCCACAAACAGATGTGTTAAACAGCAGACAGGCACTCTCTCACAGCTGTGGAGGACAAGGTGTCGGCAGGGCTGGTTCCTTCCGAGGGCAGGAGGGAGAAGCTGTTCCAGGCCTCTCTCCCAGCTTCTGGGGGTTGCTGGCAGCCGGGCCTTCCTTGGCTCATGGAAGCATCATCGTGGTCTCTGCCTTCATCTTTGCCTGCATGTCCCTGTGTGCCTGCCTGTCAAATTTCCAATTTTTAATACGGATACAGTCCTAGTGGATTAAGAACCACCCTGGTGACCTCATCTTCATGAATTAGGTCTGCAATGACCCTATCTCCAAATAAGGTCACATTCTGAAGTACTGGGGGTTAGGACTTCAAAATATGAATTTAGGGGTGGGCACAAATAACATTTCAACACACAACATTTGGAAGTTTGCTTTGAAACATAGATTTTTAAATGCTGCTTCCATCGTAGTCATGTAGAAGGCTGAGAACCTGGCCCTGAGGCATTGCTCTCAGCTCCAGCTGAAGATCTACAGGCATTTCTTTGGAGCATAGTTTAAAATTCACCATACTTGTATAGTAAAGAATTAACCTGACCCAAAATGTCTAGCTCTGTCCCTGCCTCCCAGGAGATGATCTTCAGGAGGAGGGTCTTTGTGAATTTGGGAGCCTACAGTGGGGGCCCTGGGCCCCACAGGATCTGCTCTACCTGCGGATAGGGCTGGAGTCTGAAAGTCACAGGCAGCACAGGCGGCCACCCCCACGTGACTGAGCCCCATGAAAACCCCAGGCACTGAGGCTTGGGGGAGCTTCCATGTGGGTTGTCACACCCCACGTCCAGTGGAGTCCTGCTGTCCCCAACCCCGCGGAACAATGGGAAGCTCACGCCTGGTCTCTCGGGACCCTGTCCAACACCTGTCTCCTCTTGGCTGATGGTAAGCTGAAGCGCTGTGGCTCTGACGGCTTCCTGTGAGTTCCGCCAGTCTTTCTAGCAATGATCAGACCTGAGGGACGGCCTGGAAATCCCTAACCTCTGTAGCTGATGTCAGAAGTCAGGGCGGTCTTTTGCAGATGACTTCCTAACCTCACAAGAGAAGATTTTTCTTCTTTTTTAAACGGATAATTTTCAAACCCGCACAAAAGAAGATAAAGAGTATCATGACCGCCAGGTGATTATCAGCCCCCACAACATCATGGCTGGGCCTGCCTTGTCGCATGGCCATCCACCCCTCCCCATACCGTATTGTTTATTTTGAAACAAATCCCAAGCATCCTTTTATTTCCTGATGAAGGATCTTTTGCTTCTTGTCAATCTTAGGGTTTCGATTCTGTCCCTCTTTATTTTCCCTCCTCCTTTGCCCTCTGGAGCTGTCTCTCTCTTCCTCTCCCTTTCTTCCTCCACCAGTTTTGCCTCCCACTATTCTCCAACACATTCATAACTTCCATCCAACTCTTCTTTCCTTGCTTCCTCTTTTCCTCCAAATTATAAATGACCATGACATGGAGGTGAAACAAATTTTATTTACCAAATTCATTTGTTCCCTGTTTTTAGTTTTAAAATCAGATGAGCTTAGAAAGAAAAAAGAAAACTAAATGAAATTGTCTCCCAATTCTTGATCTTTTCTTTGTCTTCTCCCTGCCTCCAGTCCTTATCAGTGGCATCCAATAAAAAAAGACAGTCCCTTTACACCAGGGAGATAGAGGGTCAGACTCTCGGGCGGATTGTTGCTGGCCGAGGATCCATCCAGGGAACCTATGGTGTTCCAATAGGGAACACCTTGAGATCAACCAGAACTCTCAAAGGTATGGGCAGTGAGCTGGGCGGTGAGTGTGGGAGGAGACACTCCATTGGCTCTAGGTTCGCAGCTTGACAAGGATGGGGAGGTCACTAGCTCCTGGAAAAAGCAGTGGAATATGAGCAACCTAGAAAAGGGAAGGTCTGTTGTACGAGCAGGAGGAGGTTCCACAGGGATGAGTGAGGGTCATTAAAGGGAAAATTTTGCAAAAATCTATCCTACAAGCAAGACTGTTTACCCTCTATTGAGAACTAGGATTAGTGCTTTAAAAACATCTTTGCATTTGTTCTTTCCCAGTGATCAGTCGTTAGGAGGCAGAAATAATAAATGGGCAGAAGTGAGTCAGACAAGAACGGTGGGGCTCATTCCGTGACACAGATACGCCCACCTGGCCGGAGCTGGTTCCGGAAAGGTCACTGGATTCCCCCTGGTAATCACTGGAGGGCTCTGTCCATCACTCCAGGGCCTGTGCCTGCACTCGGTGCACAAGGGGGCCCTTTGGCCTTCTCCACGCTTTGTGACAGAGATAAGGGTGCACGGAGACGACTGAGGGAAATGGCAACATGATTTTTAAACACTAAGAATGAAGAGAAGCGATTACGGGATGCACGTGGCCCTCATGGGCCTTGGCTCTCCCAAAGAAGTTGGAGAGAAGATCAAGAGCGGTGGTGCTGCTATTTCACAAGTTTGCATTCGTTTTTTTCTAAGCCTTATGCCAGCAAGCCTGTAAGGTGCTGGCATCTGCCTCATTTTAAAGATGGGAGTGGTGGGGACCGTGCACAGCCACACGCGTGGGAGGGGTCTGTGCCATGCCCAGCTTTCCCCTCTGCACTCAGAGCATTTGGAGAGCGGGAGGGAGGGGAGGACAGGGAGGCTGGGAGCACCGCCAGGCTGAAGGCACCTGGTCCTGGGCAGGACCTGCAGCTCGCAGGCCCTCCTCCCTCGGCTGCATTCCCGGATCCTCGCATTCGAGTCGCCGTGATTAAGAAGGGCCATCTGGGAACAGATGCCGTGCTAATATATGCCCTAAGAGGCGGGTCTTGGGCAGCCCCACTGCAGGCTGGCAGTTCCCAGCTCAGCCCGTTTATTTCTTACCTGCCGTTCACTGGGGCTCTCGGGTGGTTTATGTCATGTGCGGTAAAGAAATGACCATAGAAAGCCCGCCCTGCTTTGGTCATTCTGAGCTGGCCACCAGAGACTCACAAAGGGCTTGCAGAGCCAGGGCGGAGCGTAAATCCCTGGGCTGGCCTGGGAGGGCCACGCTGGACCAACGTCCCTGCTGGGCCAGGCTCCGCGCGGCCGGCTGCGGGAGCCTCTGCTCCCGACACCTGCCTGCCCGACTCCTGGCCCCCACCCCATCCGCAGAACGCCAGGCATGCCAGGGCGGCCGGGCAGGGGCTCCCGGCCAGCGTCCTCCCCCAGGCAGGCAGCACCTCTCGGCCGTCAGCAGTGCAGCCAGGCGCCCATCCGGCAGCCGCTTGGTCTGGCCCAGCCCCACCTGCACAGAATGCTGCTGCACCAGAGAGTCCTGGGCCATTAGCAGGGCCCTCCCGGAGCCGGAGAAGTGAGGGGCCAAGTCCACTCCAGGCCAGGCGCAAGCCCGGGAGCAGAGCTCGGGCGCCCTCTCCTTCCATCTCAGTACAGCACCCTGTTCCTCCTCCCTCTGCAGGCCGTCTCTGGGTTTTCTTACTGAGATGGTCAAGGGTGAAACCCGAGGGGCTGCTCTGTCCTTCCGCTGCTGCGCCCCTGTGGAGAGAAATGAGCCCCCTCCCCAGTCACAGCGATGAAACTAGCTCAGGGACCACTCACGTCAGCCCCAGGAAGGACGCCGGCCTGGGTGGGAAGGGTAGGGTTCCCAGTGCTGACTCACCGTGGGGCTCACGGCTGGCAGAGTCTCAGTTACCAGGTGACCTGGATGTGTGAGTGTGCTTGCCTGTGTAGGCTGTGTGGCTGTGTGAGCGTGAAGCAGGTGTGAGTGTGAACTGGGTGTGAAGCATGTTTGGTTCTGTGAGTGAATGTGATGTGTGACTCATGAGCGTGTTTGTGAGTGTGGATCGAGTGTGTGGATCCAATGCATGAATCGTGTGTGTGTGGATCCTGTGTGAGCATCCTGTGTTTTGTGTTTGTGGGTGTGGACCCTGTGAGAGTGTGAATCCTGTGTGTTTGTGGGTGTAAACCCTGGTGAGTGTGGATCCTGTGTGTTTGTGAATCGTGAGTGTGTTTTCTGTTGGTGGGTGTGGACCCTGTGTGTGAATTCTGTGTATTTTGGGGTGTGGACCCTGTGTGTGGATTCTGTGTATTCTGGGGTGTGGACCCTGTGTATGAATTCTGTTATTTAGGGGTGTGGACCCTGTGTATGAATTCTGTGTATTTTGGGGTGTGGATCCTGTGTCTGTGAATCTCGAGTGTGTTTTGTGTTTGTGGGTGTGGACCCTGTGTGTGGATTCTGTGTATTTTGGGGTGTGGACCCTGTGTGTGAATTCTGTGTATTTTTGGGTGTGGATCCTGTGTGTCTGTGAACCTTGAGTGTGTTTTGTGTTTGTGGGTGTGGACCCTGTGTGTGAATTCTGTGTATTTTGGGGTGTGGACCCTGTGTGTGGATTCTGTGTATTCTGGGGTGTGGACCCTGTGTATGAATTCTGTTATTTTGGGGTGTGGACCCTGTGTATGAATTCTGTGTATTTTGGGGTGTGGATCCTGTGTCTGTGAATCTCGAGTGTGTTTTGTGTTTGTGGGTATGGACCCTGTGTGCGAATTCTGTGTATTTTTGGGTGTGGATCCTGTGTGTCTGTGAATCTCGAGTGTGTTTTGTGTTTGTGGGTGTGGACCCTGTGTGTGAATTCTGTGTATTTTTGGGTGTGGATCCTGTGTCTGTGAATCTCGAGTGTGTTTTGTGTTTGCGGGTGTGGACTTTATATGAGCCTGAATTGCATGCGTGACTGTGTAAGTGTAAGCGAGCATTTGCATGAGTGTGCGAGTGTGAGTGTGCATTTGCTTGAGTGTGTGAGTGTGCCTTTGCATGAGTGTGAGTGTGCACTGGCACCCGGCTCATGGAGCACCTCTCCAGTCCTTGCAGGTGGGCAAGGGTGTGGCCTGGAGGGAGGCCGAGACCTGTGCCAGGAGGGAGGTGCGGAGTCTGTGTTTCTGACCCCAGGAGATAGCCAGCTCCGGGCTCACAGGTGGCAGTGGACGCTTGACCCCACCTGGGCCCCTCACCGCCCTGCAGTCCCGCATCGCCAGCTCCCTTGTTTGGCTGCTTTGGCTCAGCCCGTGGGTTCAGGATGGAGCCAGGGGCAGGGGCTGCACAGGACATTGGCAGCAGGAGCTGGCTGACCCGTGTCCCTCTGTGCTGAGGCCGTCCACAGCCACCAACCTAGGGAAGATATGATCACCTCGGGGAGGCCACCTCCTGGCACCAGCCTCTCGCCAGCCCCTCGCCAGCCCCAGGCCCCACCAGGAGCCCCAGCCTCCCTGGGGCCTCCCTTGGGCTTCCCTCGGGCCTCCCTGCTGGGTTGGGTGCTCCCTTGCCTGGCCAGGCTGTCATGCACAGAGCCCCACACCAGGGACAGGTGGCCGTGACTGACAGGGCCTCTGTGCCTGTACAAAGCGGGCAGCCGGCGACCTTTGTAAGGGGAGAGGCCCATTCCCTGTGGCATGTCTTCCCCACCCTCTGGCCTGTGCATTCCACAGTGAGCATGACACTCATTTCCTGGATGGAAAATGTTAGGACTTCAGTGCATGCCACAGCCTTGTACAACCAAAAGCTTTTGACACCGTGGAAGTAAAACATCTCAGGTCTATTAACACCAGGGAGGGGACAGACTTGCTGCCTGTGAAGACACCTGCCATTCCAGCTGCACCACAGGCCACAGTGCAACAGAATCCCAGACCACCAACCCCCTGAACCCAGGTTAGACGGAAAAATAAACTTCTAGACCCTTCCCTGGAGTCATCTTACCCACAGGGCTAGCACCTGATGTCATTATCATGCTGGTAAATGTGAGATCACGGCCTGCGTCCATCTGAAAGTGTCATTTAGGAACTGCAGCCCACCTGGTGATCTTCAAGGAAACCAACCATAGCAGGGCCTGGGTGCAGAACACCTGCTCAGCACCGCCATCCAGGGATGTGAGTGCAAGACAGGAGGGCTGGCCAGCTCTCCTCCTCGGAAATGTGCCTTTTGGTTAGATGGAAATGCTAAGGTGGAGGGTGTGCAGGCTCCCAGATGTAAAATGTCAGCATCCCAGAAGGAAGTGTGAGCGCTGCGTATTTCCACAGCCTCTTGTAGCCCCTTTGCACCCCACCTAAAGACAACCAGAAGGCACAGCCTGTCTTCATGCAGCACGGCAGGGTGCCATGAAGCCAGGCAGTGCCATCACTGATATTGTGGTTATGCTGTGGTTTTCATAACCCCAGAGAAAATACTAGAATGAGAAAAAGGGATATGCTTTCCCATTTGACGGGACTACGGTATTTACACAAAAATCCAGCTTTCTGGCCAATCATTGTGTACACATTTCTGGCCAATCATTGTGTATCATTGATGGTCAATCATTGAAAGTCCTTTAATGGCCACCTCCATTTCATGGAGGTGTAACCTCAATCCTTTTCCCATCAAGACACGAAAGTTAGCTCTGATAGATTCTAATAACAAGCAAATATTTACTAAAATAAGATGAAAGGGTCTGTTGTGCAAGAACCACCAAGGATTTCCATTCTCCAAGGCCCGGGAACATTTTCCTTCAGGATAGGAATTGTCTCCAAGGCCCTTCCCCCTGCAGACACATTCCATGGTGGAGGTGTGTTGCCGTGGGAGGTGAGCCTTTCTTTCTCAGCAGTTCCAGCTCTGGCACTGGGCGTGTGTGGTGAGTGCTGAGGAAGGGGCTGGGCACAAAGTGTCCTGGGTGGGGGAGGGAAAGAAGGATGGGGGGACCCCACGGAGTCCATGTCACATCCCTGCATGGAGGGGAAGCGCAGCTATTGCTAGGACAATCTGCAGCATTGACAGTCACTGATTTTTACAGGAATGAACAGAAAGAGAGGGATGGGAAAGAGCGCCCAAAAGCCTGTGTGCCCCCGACGGGCCTGTGGCCACCTGAGCACAATGGCCTTCTGTGCCCTTCCCCTAGCAGTGAGTGGGGTCTGTCCTGTGTGCTGGGCACAGCCGTTTTCCCAGCAGGACAAAGGCTGTGAAAGGCTGAGGGGACAGAGGACTCGAGGGGCCTCCCGTGGGCCTCGTCAGTACCTCTGCACCGTCCCCTCCCACTCCCGCCCACCCGCCTTACACCAGCTTCTCTGGGACTTTGGTGTGGGTTGAGGAGTAGAGAGTCAGGAGGAGCTAGGTGGGCAGGAGGGAGGGTCCCACACTGGACCTTTAGTCCCACACACTGAACCCAGCTTCTCAGCAGTGAGCAGCGCGCTCAGCAGGAGGAGAAGGGTCCTCTCTGCACGCCTGCGTCTCAGGTGGGCCATGCGAGTGCATGAGGAGATGCCTGGGGATCCTTCCTCAAAGCCACGGCGTGGACTGCCCTGCATGCTGAGGCGGGGAAGCCCGAGAGGGCCTGGGAGGCTGTTTGGTTCTTCACCTGGTGCCGCATGCAGAGGAGCAGGCCGGGTACGTGTGCATGTGTCTCCACATGTGTGTGCTTGTGTGTGTGCATGTATGTCCGTGTGTGTGCTTGTGAGTGCATGTGTGTCCATGTGTGTGTGCATGTGTGTCCGTGTGCATGCTTGTATGTGTGCATGTGTCCATGTGTGAGTGTGCTTGTGTGTGTGTGTGTGTATGGATCCATGTGTGTATGTATCCATGTGTATATATGGGATATGTATTTGTACATGTTTGTGGATGCGTGTGTACATGTGTGTATATGAGTGTGTATATGTGTCTGTGTGTTTGTACTTGTAAGTGGTGTGCTTGTGTGCATGTGTGCCCATTTGTGTGAGTGTGCTTGTGTGTATGTGTCTGTGTGTGTGTATATTTCCGTGTGTATGTCCATGTGTGTATATGTGCATGTGTATTTGTACGTTTGTGGATGCGTGTATACATTTGTGTATGTGAGTGTGTGTATATGTGCTTGTGTGTTTGTGTGTGCTTATAAGTGGTGTGCTTGTGTATGTATCATGTGTATGTATCCGTGTGTGTGCATGTGCATTTGTACATGCTTTTGTGTATGTATGTACACGTGTATATGAATTTTTGTATATGTGCCTGTGTGTTTGTGCATGCTTGTAAGTGGTGTCCGTGTGTATGTGTCTGCGTGTGTGTGCATGTGTATTTGTATATGTGTTTGTGTATGCATGTGTACATATGTGTATATAAGGGTGTGTATATGTGCCTGTGTGTGTGTGCCCTCCACATATGTGCATGAGGACTTCCTTGTAATTGGTGTGATGCTCTGATGGCAGAGGGATCCCGGGACTCGGGGAACCCAGGTGCAGCTCCCTGCACACATCTCATTGCTCAGAGCTTCTGGCCTGGCCTCCTCTGATCTCCTTTTCTGGGTCCTGGGAGTACCCTGCTTCGGAAGGACAGTTCCCGTGCTGGCCTCGTGCACTGGGCCGCGGTGGATTCACTTTGCAGCGTCGCGGGAATCCAGCTTTCCTCTGCCATTATCCAGCTAACCTGAAACCTGGCGAGAACGACAGCAAGAAAAACTGCTGGGACAGTGAGATGATGGATTTCAAATCATTATGTTTTTGTTGTACTTTTGAATGAGCATTGAAATTTATCTCTGGGAACTGATGAACAGCAAATGAACAAAACCCCATGACAGTCCTAATCCTTCTCCTTAATATGTGCACCAGAGGGGGCTGTGCTGTGGGTCTGACTGGGAATATTAACCATTCCAAAATACATTTCGGTTTCATTTTTAAAAAAGGCAAAAATGCCTTACTGTAGATTTCTACTTCCCTCTAGAAGAAAAAACATGATGCTGTTTTAAACTGCAGCACTGGAAAAAAAAAATGTGAAATATGTGATGTGGTGTTTTTACCAACTGTCTAAATAAAGGTTTAGTGAGTCACTATGGAAAACAGAAAATCTTCCTTTAAGAGCTGCAGTTTAAGAGTGTTTTTTTTCTTTTTTCTTTTTCTTTTTCTTTTTTTTTTTAATGCAAAAGCTTCCCTTAGGTTTGTAACTTACACATTGCCCATCTGCTAGATCCTCCCCGGCCTGAATTTACAGCAAATCTGAGATTTCAATGTTCAAAAAATGCACTTTGGAAATATGCCTCTGTGGCCGGCAGCATCTATGCGGATGGAAAGAGGGAGCTCTGGGCTCCGGGATCCTCTTCATCCGTATTCAAAGAAACCCTGGGTCTCCAGCCTGCATGTGTGAAGTTGGACCAGCATCCCGGAGCTCAAACACGGGGGGTGGGAGACGAGGCTGCGTCCTTGTTGGGACTTCACCTGTTTTCCAAAGTCGTACAGGAAGAGCCTGGAGACCACGCCACCCCAGAGCGTCCCGGCTGGTGACCTTGTTCGTCCATGGGTCTGGGGGGAGCCTGCAGTCGCCAGGCTCCTGAGCTTGAGCTGCTGATCCCGCTGGCTGCAAACACCTCGCCGGGAGGCAGGCTCTCCGTTTTTTATTTTCAGAGGAAACCTGGCTTTTCTTTCTCATCCAGACTTTTGCTCCAAAGGCTACAGCCAAAATGCCACTGGTCTGTTAAGCTGACTAAGGTTACACCTCAGTTTCTTTTAATGAAGTAGAAACAGTTGTCCCGACATCAAAAATTACATCCAAGAACGAGCTTCAAAGGCCCAAGTAGTTTTCACAGCTCCCGACTTATTTTTCTGTCTCAGGGTCCCATTATTAATGAACTCAGTCGCTTTCGCAAACACAACTGCACAAGTGTTTCCAACCACATCTATAAAACTATTTAATGCACTTTTCAGAACAAGGCGTCTTACAGCCATAGTAATTGCAGTTTTACTAGACCTTTAAATGAGAAGCAACCACTTATGAAGTTTTGATATGGCGAGCTGATTAGACAAGTTAAACACAAAGGCACCATTTATGGGGGCTGTGTACCCACGTGGGCACCCCGCGCACAGGCAGTGCGGCGTCCTGCTAGGTGCACAGCTTTATACCACTTACAGGTTGCAAGTAGCAACGAGAAAAATGCTAGATTTTACAGGAAAATAATATTCATAAATCTCCCGCTGTGAATTACAGTATAACTCAGAGCTGTCTTTGTTTTGCTGCTGCGATGAAGTCAATTCTGTTTCGGGTGGAAATGATACACACAGAGCCCAAGGTGGAAGCCAGTCCCCTCGCATTTGGTGAGGTTTGTAGCCAGTCCCAGCTGGAGCGCGGAACAGCTGAACCCACTCGACGCCGGCAATTCCTGGAGTTTTCTTTTCTCTTCTTGAGAGCAGAGCTGCGGAGGACGTGAGGGGACTTTCTTGGGTGCTGTGCCCTGAGGTGAGGCCCCTTTATCCTTTTCACCAGGCGGTATTGCCTCACACCGGTTCCCCAGAGGGAAATGGTCCCAAAGGTACCTCTCCCGGGCTGGCCCTGGGGACCGCGGCTGGTCACTCTTTCTTCATGCTGATGTCGTGGAAGGGGTGGTCGTGTGTTTCAAACAGAGAGCAAGTACACATGCTCATATTCCACACATCTTTTGATCCATCCAAACTATACGGAGACATGCAATTTTGTTCATGTTTTATTGTCCCTAGAAGAGTTCATTTTCCCCAAAAGATCCCCGCGGCTCAGTGGTAGATCCCAGCATGGTCACTGATCCTCGGTCCCACATGTGAGGTCACTCAGTCTCTCTGAGGGTCAGCGTCTTCACCTGTGAGTGGGCATGGCAGTGCCCATCCATGGAGTCTGCAGGAGGCTGACGCCCACTGAAGGACACCACAGCCCTGTGGGTCCCCGTGGGATGGGCACTCTCTGGGACTGTTAGGTCCCACAGGTGCGCCTCTTTCCTGCAACGTGCCTTTCATGCCCCTTTAGTCCCAGAAGCCCATCTCCTTCTGGACTTCTCCCCGATGAGCTGGAGAGATGGCATTGTCATGCCCAAGTCCTCTCTGCTCCTTGTCTGCACGCGGCTGAGCTCTCACAGCCGGAAACATCCTCCCCTCTGGCGCAGAGCCCACACACTGTGGCCTTACCTGTTGATTTCAAATACTTCTTCCTTTGCCTGGTTCCCTCTCCTTGGGGAAGTTCCAGAAAGCTCTTGCTCAATTGTCTAGAAGCTCAAGGACAAAGCACCTGTCTTGAGAAGCCCCAGGTTACACTGCCTGTAGCTCAGCTCCTTGCAAACAAGTTTAGATTGTGATTTAAGAAAAGCGGGTCATCTTTCTTTCTCTCCATTTGGGGCTCCAACCATAGACCTAAATACTGTCAGAAGACTGCATGGCAGGAGCTCCAAGACGGGAAGGGGGGTCGCTGCTCAACAGAACCTTTATTTGGTGTGTTGCTTTAATTAAAGGAGAATGTCTGGGGCGGGTGGTTCTCTCGGGCCTCTGCAGAGCGTGGGAGCTCAGCATCATCCAGGATGCAGCCAGCACAGGGGCCCCGGGGGAAGGTGGCATCCCGGGGGCCAGGGCCGGGGCTGTGCGGGAGGGATGCCAGCCATCCTGTGAAGGCTCCAGGTGGAAACCACGGCCATCACCACACCGAAGCCATCATCTGGCCACTACCGGCTCTGCTCCCAGGGTCAGGGGCACGCTGGGGGGGCACAGGTATGGGGTTACTGCCCTTACCTGTGCCAGCCGGGGTCAGAGGCCAGACAGTGCCAGCACAGAGGGGCTTCACTTGGCTTGGACTCCACACGTGCTCTGGAACAGTCGTCTCACCCGTGAAGGGAGCAGCATGTGTGCTGGGAGCAGGGCAGGGAGCGCACTGCCGCCTGGGGAGCTCTCCCAAGACCCAGAGGAAGGGCACTTCCTGGCACCGCATCAGGGCACACAGCGCCCTGCAGGGCTGTATCTCCCCAGGCAGGGGCTCTGCACGGGGTGCTCTTCCGACAGCCAGAGGATGCTGCCCAGGGCCTCCTGCGGAGAAAGCTGCGGGAGGTGGGCACCCACTGTGCACCCAGCAAACAGCGTGCGGCGTGTGCATGTGAATCAGTGTGTGAGCGTGTGACTGAAAATGTGTGTAGGTGGTAGGTGGCTGTACCTGTGTATGTCTGTGTGTGTGTGTATTGTGTGAGTTGGTATGTAGATGTGTATTGTGTGTGAGTGTGAATTGTGTGTGGGTGTGTGTGGGTGCCCATGGGCGTGTCTCTGTGGGTATATGTCTGTATGTTCCTGTGTGTGTTCATGTGTGTATCCATGTGTGCGTCTGCAGGTGTGTCCATGTGTATGGGTGCCTCTGTGTGTGTCCATATGTCTCTGTGTGTCTGTGTGTATCCATGTATGTCTTTGTGTGTTCATGTGTGTCTGTCTCTGTGTGTCTGTGTTCACGTGTGTCTTTGTGTCTGTGGGTGTGTCCATGCATGTGTGTATGAGCACACGTGCACACACAGGTGAGTGTGCCACACACCATTGTCTTGGCCCTTGCACATATCAGTTTTCTTCCTCAGTGAAGAGTGCGCGATGGAACAAGGACCCGCGTGTTGGGCTCCATCCCCTTTTCCTCAGGCAACGTTTCATTCCCTTTCTTCCTGAGCCGGGCGTTCAGCCACAACCTGGCATAGGAGCCTCAAATCCCATAACACTGTCGGAAGAAGAGGGGTCAGAAGGTGGGCTTCCCAGCGGTGTAGTTCATCAATCTATCTTTTCCCCAAAGCTGTCTTTTATTCATGAATTTTCCAAGTACCGCAATGCATTCTTGACTCTGTGAGCGGCAGTCACATGGATGTGTCCACAGCCCAGCTGCCTTTCGGTTGGAATCCAGCTCGTAGGTGCCAAGCCCTGCGAGGCTCCTGGCCCCCACAGCAGCCACAGAGTGGCCCAGGACCACCAGACACACTCAGAGGGACCAGTACTGTGCCACAGAGGCTGCTTCCCAGGAGAAGGCCCAGTTCCTTCTCTCATCGCAGGCTCGAGATGAGCCCCAGGTAGGCTCTGGATGCATGTGTCTGCCAGAACCAGGGTTCCTATTCACTGCCAAGTGCATACCAGCAGGCCCGAATTGCACCAACCCAGCGGGATGTGCACAGCCACAAGGCAGGGACGTCCTCAGGGAAGGACGGATGGCGAACCTGGAAAGGCATCTCAGGAGCAGAAGCAGCTGGAACCCCTCAGGAGTCAGGGTGGAGAGCGGCCTGAGAGGAGTGCCGAGGACCCCGTATTCCTGAAAGGACAAGCCTGTGCCAGGTAGACAGGATGGAGCTGTCAGGGAGCACTCATGGGGCCTCCCTCCTGGAGAAGACAGGCACGTGACAAGGATGGCCCAGTCAGCACTCACAGAACACCTGAGAGGGTTGACTTCACCTGTCAACTCGGCTCGGCCATGGCGCTGATGGCCAAACCCCAGTACAGATGTTGTTGTGTAGGTGTTTTTCCATGTGATGAACGTCTAATCAGTGGACTTCGAGTAAAGCAGATGACCATCTGTCATGTGTGTGAGCCCCAACCCATGAGATGAAGGTCTTCCAAGCAAAGGCAAAGGTTTCTGGAGAAGGAATTCTTTTTTTTTTCCTTTTTTTTAAATTATTATACTTTAAGTTTTAGGGTACAGGTGCACAACGTGCAGGTTAGTTACATATGTATACATGTGCCATGTTGGTGTGCTGCACCCATTAACTCGTCATTTAACATTAGGTTTTAGAGAGAGGGTCTTGCTCTCTTGCCCAGGCTAGTCTTGAGCTCCTGGCCTCAAGCAATCCTCCTGCTTCAGCCTCCCAAGGTGCTGGGATTGTAGGCATGACCCACTGTAGCAATTCTGCTCTAGGTAGTTAGAGAGCTTTTGGACTCTAGACGATGACATCAGCACTTCCCCGGCTCTCACCTGTCCTGCAGATTTCAGACCTGCCAGCCCCATCAGTCATGTGAGCCAATTCCTTAAACTCTCTCGGCTGGATGCGGTGGCTCATGCCTGTAATTCCAGCACTTTGGGAGGCCGAGGTGGGTGGATCACTTGAGGCCAGGAGTTCAAGACCAGCCTGGCCAATATGGTGAAACCTGTCTCTACTAAAAATACAAAAATTAGCTGGGCATGGTGGTGCGCACCTGTAATCCCAGCTACTCAGGAGGCTGAGGCAGGAGAATAGCTTGAACCTGGGAGGCAGAGGTTACAATGAGCTGAGGATGCACCATTGCACTCCAGCCCGGACAACAGAGGAAGACTCTGTCTCAAAAAAAATAATTAAAAAAAAAACCTCTCTCTCTCTCTCTCTCTGTACACACACACACACACACACACACACACACACACGGTTTGCTTCTCTGGAGAGCCCTAATACAGCATCCAAACCCTGATAAACTTTTTCTGGTCTGCAATTGTTTCATTTGAAAGAGACCCAGTAGATTTGCTTGGCATCTGGGGAGTGGGTGGTGGGTGGGGGACCGTCTGAATTTTGGTCCTTATTTTTCAGGTTTCCCTCTGGCTTGGACTTTATAGTTAAGTTGGTAGACCTCTTCATACCAATGATTACCCTAGAAACGATGCTCAAGCCGTGAAGAAAAGAAACAGTTTTAAAGCGCCAACACACACACACTCATGTGCACGTCGGTGGCACACGCAGCTGAATCTGGACTGAAGAAATATTTTCTGATAGAAGTCAAGCTTGATAAAAGGAATGTGCGCTCCACATGTGAAAGTACGGTATTAATAATTAAGCCATGCGATCATTACCTCAGGATATTATTTCTTAAATATCTCTTGCAAAGGCAATATGATTACATATGAATGATATCAATTTTCTACCAACAAAAAAATCTGCAGAAATAGGAATTGAATTACACTGTCCAATTTGCTGTAAAGTTCACTGTATGTGAAGAAATTAATCAAAGCTACCACCACCCATTTTTATGGGAACATAAAATGATGTGAACTTCCATTTTTAATAAAGATGCATAGCACTTTTATGAAGACTGACTAATAACACTATAATGAACTGAAAAGCTACTGATATATTAAGAATGAAAATTTTGAGGAGTGTATTTACTGAGACTTTTTCATGAGAGGCGGTATTTCTCTGAAGTCTCTACTTGAATCATTATAATGGCTCAAAACAGAGGCAAAATTTTCAGGGAGAGCACAGCATGAGTGTTGTAGAAATTTATCCTCAGGATGTGAGAATGGTCCCAGAACGGATGTGCCTAGAGAACAGTACTTGTGCTCCATTGATGCCCAACGCCGGGTGTCTGGGCAACGGGGCAGAGCAGAGGGGGCTACACCGGAAAGCTGCGGCTGCTCCTTTTTATCTTCCTCCTTCACCTCTTCACCCTCAGAGCACCAACAATCCACCAGTAATTTCTTGGGAGCCACTTCCCGGAACAGAAGCCCCTGAAAGATGAGGCGATGGGATGTTAAGGTTTTGCTTCACCATGTGGCATCTTCGTGCAGCTCCACCTCTCCCAGCTCTGGGCAGGGCCCTCATCTTCATCCTCAGCCTCAGAACCTGGGAAAGAATGCAGACACATGAATTGTAAAACAAATGCCTTTGACTGTCTGAGTCAATTCTACAACAGAGAATCACAGACTTCGTAATTTATAAAGAACAGAGACTGGCTGGGCGTGGTGGCTCACGCCTGTAATCCCAGCACTTTGGGAGGCCGAGGCAGGTGGATGACTTGAGATCAGGAGTTTGAGAACAGCCTGGCCAACATGGTGAAACCCCATCTCTACTACAAATACAAAAATTAGCCAGGTGTGGTGGCGTGGGCCTGTAGTCCCAGCTACTCAGGAGGCTGAGACAGGAGAATCACTTCAGCCCAGGAGGCGAAGGTCACACTAAGCCAAGATTGCACCACTGCACTCCAGCCTGGGAAACAGAGTGAGACTCCATCTCAAAAAAAAAAAAAAGTAAAAAAAGAAAAACTAATATAAAGAACATAAACTTATTTCTCACCATTCTGGAGGCAGGGAAGTCCAAGGCCAGAGGGCTGCAGTTCAGTGTCTGGTGAGAACTGCTCTCTGCTTCCAAGATGGTACCTGGAACGCTGCCTTCTCTGGAGGGTGAAAGGGCAAGGAGGACCAAACTCACTCCAGCCCTTTCATAATGTCATGAATCCATTCATCTCTGGAGGGTGAAAGGACAAAGAGGACCAAACTCCCTCCAGCCCTTTCATAATGTCATGAATCCATTCATAAAGGTGGAGCCCTCATGACCTAAATGCCTCCCATGAGGCCCTGCTCCTGGTGGTGGTACGGGGCATGCCAGTGCCACTTTGGGCAGATGGAACAATTTGCATGAGCCCCAGTTGGCTCAGAGGCATCTCCAGGTATCAGAACACCCAGAAGCCGGCATCTCAGAATGTCTGTGCTCACCCAACGAGAAGCTGCCTTAAGCCAAAGATATCAGCACCCAACACAGAGCTCAAGGCATGGACTCATGGTCCCATCTGAAGCGGCGCAAATCACCATGTTTTTGTTCATGTATTTTTTTTCTATTTTCAGAATAAAAAATTAATCCATGCTTACTATAAAAATGTGTAAATACAGAAAAATATAAATAAAATAACGATTATCCAAAATTCTCCCTCCTGGAAATAACATCTGTTAGCATTTTGGTATATTTCCTTTCATTCACATGCACACACACACACACACACACACACACACACAGGTCTACATATGCAGACATACATGTACGATTGTTATAAAACAACCTCACATTTTTATTTTTTATTGCTTTTCAAATTTAATTCTGAATGGTTAACTTATATTCCTAGTTTGAAAACCAGAAAGTAGAAACTGTTTTTTGCCCTAACGTTTTGTGATGAGCATTTTTCCAGGCCATTAACATTTCATAAACGTGTTTTTTAATGACTCCAAAATGTAACACATGTGGATGCACATCATTTACTCAGCCGTCCTCTGTGGGTAGGTGTTCAGGTTGTTTCCAGTTTTTCACGTTTGTAGCAACTCAGTTGAGCTCCTGAGCGCGAGTGTGTCCTGCAGTTGGATTGTGGGATGGTCTTTCAAGACGAGAGAGAGTGGAGGGAGAGGAGAGGAGCCCCGTAGGAAGCCGGCCTCCACCCAGTCTGCAAACACACCTGCTCCCCTTGCCAGCCCCGGGCTTTGCTGCCGGCCCTGGGGGCTTCATGGAATGGGGCCTCCTGGGCTTGATGGCTGGGGAGCTGGCATCTCCAGAGTCCCTTCCTCAGCCATCAGCACACACTGGAGGGGCCAGGAGTGGAAGAGCAGCGATGTCTGTCCTGGGTCGGTCACACCAACACAGCGGGAAAACTCTGAGAGCAGCTAGAACCAGCCCATCTGGAATGTTGAGAGACCCAGAAATAATTGGACCTAACTCTGTTACTAGATAGGAAAGTGGGACTGTAGGAGCTGAGAAACTTGCCCCACATTTGCACAGTTGGTTCCTAGCCATGCAGGACGCACCCCAGGCGGTCACCCCCACCTTCCCCGGGCCCTCCTCCCACGCTGTGCTCCACACTCAGTGCTCTCAATGCAGCATGGACGCACCTTCCTCAGGCCTTCACTCCCTCCTAGTCCAGAGCTTCTGGATTCCTCGCTCCTTGTCCCCCTCTCTGTCTCTCACTTTCTTCTGCGTCTGCATACATGGTTTCCCTTCTGTCTTTTCTCTTTGATGCCTCTGTCTCTCTCTGTCTATGTGTCTTTCTCTCTGTCTGTCTCTAACTCTGTCTCTTTTTCTATTTCTGTATCTCTCTGTCTCAGTACCTCTCTCTGTCTCTCTGTCTCTGTATCTGTCTCTCTCTATTTCTGTATCTCGCTGTCTCTGTCTATCTCTATTTCTGTATCTCTGTCTCTGTGCCTCTCTCTGTCTCTGATTCTCTCTCTGTATTTCTGTATCTCTCTGTCTCTGCCTGTCTCTGTCTCTGACTCTCTGTCTGTATTTCTGTATCTCTCTGTCCCTGTGCCTCACTCTGTC